>NC_000002.12:148398708-148701739 GCF_000001405.40 Homo sapiens
AGACAGGAAGTCCTTGCCCATGTCTATGTCCTGAATGGTATTGCCTAGGTTTTCTTCTAGGGATTTTATGGTTTTAGGTCTAACATGTAAGTCTTTAATCTATCTTGAATTAATTTTTGTATAAGGTGTAAGGAAGGGATTCAGTTTCAGCTTTCTACATATGGCTAGCCAGTTTTCCCAGCACCATTTATTAAATAGGGAATCCTTTCCCCATTGCTTGTTTTTCTCAGGTTTGTCAAAGATCAGATAGTTGTAGATATGTGGCATTATTTCTGAGGGCTCTGTTCTGTTCCATTGGTCTATATCTCTGTTTTGGTACCAGCACCATGCTGTTTTGGTTACTGTAGCCTTGTAATATAGTTTGAAGTCAGGTAGAGTGATGCCTCCAGCTTTGTTCTTTTGGCTTAGGATTGACTTGGCAATGTGGACTCTTTTGTGGTTCCATATGAACTTTCAAGTAGTTTTTTCCAATTCCATGAAGAAAGTCATTGGTAGCTTGATGGGGATGGCGTTGAATCTATAAATTACCTTGGGCAGTATGTCCATTTTCACGATATTTATTCTTCCTATCCATGAGCATGGAATGTTCTTCCATGTGTTTGTATCCTCTTTTATTTCCTTGAGCAGTGGTTTGTAGTTCTCCTTGAAGAGGTCCTTCACATCCCTTGTAAGTTGGATTCCTAGGTATTTTATTCTCTTTGAAGCAATTGTGAATGGGAGTTCACTCATGATTTGGCTCTCTGTTTGTCTCTTATTGGTGTATAAGAATGCTTGTGATTTTAGCACATGGATTTTGTATCCTGAGACTTTGCTGAAGATGCCTATCAGCTTAAGGAGATTTTGGGCTGAGACGATGGGGTTTTCTAGATATACAATCATGTCATCTGCAAACAGGGACAATTTGACTTCCTCTTTACCTAATTGAATACCCTTTATTTCCTTCTCCTGCCTGATTGCCCTGGCCAGAACTTCCAACACTATGTTGAATAGGAGTGGTGAGAGAGGGCATCCCTGTCTTGTGCCAGTTTTCAAAGGGAATGCTTCCAGTTTTTGCCCATTCAGTATGATATTGGCTGTGGGTTTGTCATAGATAACTCTTATTATTTTGAGATACATCCCATCCATACCTAATGTATTGAGAGTTTTTAGCATGAAGGGGTGTTGAATTTTGTCGAAGGCCTTTTCTGCATCTATTGAGATAATCATGTGGTTTTTTTCGTTGGTCCTGTTTATATGCTGGATTACGTTTATTGATTTTCGTATGTTGAACCAGCCTTGCATCCCAGGGTTGAAGCCCACTTGATCATGGTGGATAAGCTTTTTGATGTGCTGCTGGATTTGGTTTGCCAGTATTTTATTGAGGATTTTTGCGTCGATGTTCATCAGGGATATTGGTGATCCTTATATTTTAAAAGATCATTGAATTCTTTCAATTTTGTTTTATTTATAAACATAGAATGTTTTTATCTAGTGGAATGTTGATAGAATCCTTTTTTAACTTTTTCTTTTTTACTTTTTTTAAATTTTTTTTTCAGTAATATGGTATTCCCCAGAAAGAATCCTAATATACAAAATAAATTAAAGTGAAGCTGGTTCTGGTTAAAGCAGGGTTAGCACCTAAGACAGAGCAGGAATGTTAATTCTCTATTACCAGTGCTTATTAAGTATTTGTTTTCTCCCAGTTATTTTCTCCAACTCTAACTCTATTGCCATCCTGGCCCTGGGCTGAAACCCTTATTCACTGACATAATCAGAAACTGGTTATAATGAGATCCTAGCTCCCATTCCACCTGGGCAGGATGATTTTTCAAGAAAGATTCTTGTTTCAAAGGTATTTGGAATCTCCATCCAACATGAAGGTTGGTTTATTCTTTTTTTATGTAGGAATTAAAGAAACTTGATGAAAGAAATATGGAAAAGCTTTCAGTAAATCAGAAGAGTTCCCCATTGTAACATAAGCTCTGAATATCACTTTCTGAGAGGTATGATCCTATTAGCCCTATTATTAACTATATTTTTGAGTAGACTTATCAAACTTGCAGTTAGCCAAATGTCTTTTTTATGTCATATACTATAAATTATATCTCTTCCATTTAATCTTATATTTAAGGTGATTTTTTACCCTTTTATGGATATTTGGATTCTACTTCTGCATTCATTCTTGCTGATATTGTCTTCATCCTAGTTAATGGAAAATAATGTTTATTTGAATAGCACTGCAGAGAAAGCCTTTTGATCTACCAATAGAGAACTATCTAAAAGGAAATTGAGTCATAAATCTGTGGATGGTTGTTTAGTCAATAATAAATATATCTGACTTTTGAGATATCATCTAGCTCTTGTTTTGTCATCTGGTCCATAAGGAGATTTTGAATGACTTTGCGAAATACCTTCTTAAAATCAAATTAACTATGTCTAGAGCATTTTTCATATCTGCCAACCAAGTAATACTTTCAGAAAATGATTAAGATTAGTCTGACATGTCTTGTTCTTGATGAAGCCAAGCTTGCTTTCACTGCCTTCCTTTCTAAACATGTGTAAAACTATCTGCTCATTAATTCCTTCAAGAAATCTTGCGGAGTTCAGCAGCACGGTTTAAAGCCTGGCTGGTTTATAATTTGAGGTCTCCACATTCTTTTCCTTTTCAAAAAAAAAACATAGAAACAGTTTTATTCTCTAGTCTTCCAGCATGACTTCTATCTTTATAGTTCTTCAAAGATTACCATCATCAATCCAATCATTTCATCTCCAGTTTCTTGTATTCAATTCTTTCAAGAAATCATGTGGGTCAAAATGATTGCCCTAATTTAAAGCAGGTGAAAGATCTGCTACTATTTCTTCATCTGTCTGAGCTTATGATTTATTCTGGTTTTTAAAAAAATTATTTTGAAATTATTTTAGAGTTCAGGAAGAGTTGCAAAATTGTGCAGAACATTCCTATATACCCTTTAAACCCTCTAATGTTAACATCCTGCCTAACCATAATCTAATTATCAAAACTAAGACATTAACATTGGTACAGTATTGTTAGCTAAAGGCTTTCTTTTCATTTCACCAGTTATTCCATTAATGCACTTTATCTTTTTCAGGATCCAATCCAGGATCCCACGTTACATTTAGTTTTCATGTCTCCATCATCTCCTCCAATCTGTTAGAATTCTTCAGTCTCTCCTTACTTTCATGACCTTGACACTTTCAGTACTATTCAGGCATTTTGTAGATTGCCCCTCAATTTGGGTTCTTCTAATATTTTCTCCTTAGTAGATTAAGATTATGCATTTTGAAGACAAATACTTGGAAGTGATATCCCGTTCTCGGTGCTTTATAGTAGGGTCACATGATGTTGATTACATCTTATTATTGATGAGACTAACCTTATTGCTTGGTTTAGAGGTTTACATCAGGCTTCTGCACTGTAAAGTTGCTATTTTCCCCCTTTGTCATTAATAACTATGTGGAAAGAGATACTTTGAGACTATACAGATATCCTCTTTATTCCTAAACTTTCACTTACTATTTTTTAGCATTCATTAATGGATCATGCCTGCTATAATTATTACTAGAGTGGTCATTATAACAGAGTTTTTTTATTTCCTTCATTCCTCCTACTTTTATTACGTGAAATTCTTCAATAAAGAAGAGCTGTTTCTTCTTTTATTTTTAACAGCCTCTTGAGATATAATTGACAATAAAACAGCACATATTTAAAGAGTGCATTTTTATGTTTTCACACACGTAAAACACTGCAATCAAGATAATGAAAATACAACCACCAAAAGTTTTCTTGTATTTCCTTCTAATTCCTCCCTCCTACTTCTCCCCATCTTCCATGCTGTTCCCAAAGACTGTACTGCTTTCTGTCACTATAGATTAGTTTACATTTTCTGGAATTGTATATAAATGAAATAATGCAGTATATACTCTTTTGTCAATTGGCATCTTTCACTCAGGATAATTATTTTGAGATTTATTCTTGCCGTTACATAAATAAATAGTTCTTTTTTTCTGAGTTATGTTCCACTATATGGATATACTACAACTAGTTTATCTATTGACTTGTTGATGGATATTTGGGTGTTTTTTGTTTTGATTATCACAAATGGCTATTCTGGCTTTCTTTTGATTAGTGTTAACAGAAGTTATCAGATAGTTGTTTTTTTTTTCTCTTAAGTCTGGGTGCTGGAATAGAATCAGGTAGTAGAGTTATCAGGCCACTGATAATTCTATTCATTTTATTTTCAGTTTCATTTCTCGCTCTGTTTCATTTTGGATAGTTTCTATTGTTATATCTTCAAGTTCACTAATCTTTTCTTCTGCAATGTCTAATCTGCTATTAATCTCATCTAGTGTATTTTTATCTCAGACACAGTTTTTATCTCTAGAAGTTCAATTTGGCTCTTTTTAAAAATAGCTTTTATATCTCTCTATCTTTTTAAACATATGGAATACAATTATAATAACTATATTAATGTTCTTCTTTTTTTTTTTTGAGACAGGGTCTCACTCTGTCACCCAGGCTGGAGTGCAGTGGCACAATCTCAGCTCACTGCAACCTCCACCCCCCAGGTTCAAGCGATTCTTGTGCCTCAGCCACCCAAATAGCTGAGATTACAGGCACGCACCACCACACTCAGCTAATTTTTGTACTTTTAGTAGAGATGGGGTTTCACCATGTTGGCCAGGCTGGTCTCAAGTTCCTGACCTCATGTGATCCACCCTCCTTGATCTCCCAAAGTTCTGGGATTATAGGAGTGAACCATCAAGCTCAGCCATAATAGCTGTATTAATGTTCTTGTTGCTAATTCTAAAAATCTGTGTCAGTTCTGATGTTTCCATTGATTTCTAACTAAAAATTTAATTGATTTAATTGTAGATTTGCTTGCAATTTTAAGAAATAATATAGAGAAATCCTATGTGCCTTCTGTCAAATTTCCTTCAATGGCAACATCTGGTAAAATTGTAGTAAAAAATCACAACCAGAATATATCGATACAATGCACCAATCTTGTTCAGATTTTCCCAAATCTACCTGCACTCATATCTGTATGTGTGTGTATTTCGTTCAATACAATTCTGTCCCATGTGCAGATTCATGTGTCTACCTTCACAGGCAAGGTACAGATTTGTGCCATGGCCAAAAGGATCACTTATGTTACCCACCTCTTTCTTGTCCCCACCCTCACCCCCATTCCTAACCCCTGCAACAACTAATTTGTTCCCCATTTCTAAAAGTTTGCCATTTCAAAAATGTTATATAAATGAAATTATAGAGTATATAAACTTTGGGTATTGGCTTTTTCATTCAACATAATTGCCTGGAGGTTCATCCAAGATTGATTAATTTTTCTCTTCATTATGTGTTATATTTTCCTGCTTCTGTGCATGCCTGATCATTTTTATTGGCTGCTAGCATTATGGGTTTTTTTTTTTTCTTGTTGCATCCTGGGTATTTGTTTATGCCTTTAAATATTCTTCAGCTATGTTCTGGGATGCAGTTAAATTACTTAGAAAAAAACATTTGATCTTTTTAGGTTTTGCCTTTAAGACTCATTAAGTGTTACTAGAACAGTATCAGTCTAAGTCCTCTTATTCTCCACTGCTGAGCAGAACACTTCTGAATATTCTACCCTATACCTACGAGTTTGAATTATTTTAGTTCTGAGCTCTGTGTGACTTTCTTTCAAGCAATTATTTTCTCAGCCTCAGTTATCCCCTCACATGCTGAATACTCAAAAGGAAACTTCTATAGATCCCTGCATTTCTCTCCCAGTGTGTTTCTCTCTTCTCTAGCATTCTATTCTGTAAACTCACACTGCATTGGTCTCCCTTGACTCTTCAGATACGTTTCCTCTACTTAGGATTTCTGCTGAGCTCCAGCTAGGTTTAAGCTCTTTGCGTGCAGCCTGGAAACTCTCTCAAGACAATAAGCTAGGGACGTTCTAGGGATCACTTCATTTGTTTACTATTTCTGAGGGACTGCGCCTTCATTGCCTGCTGTCCATTGTCTTAAAAACCATTGTTTCATATATTTTCCCTGTTTTATTTTTGGTTGTTTCAGGCAGGAGGGCAAATCTGACCCTTATTTTTCCAGGTTGACTTGAAGCCAGAGTCATTACTTATTATTTTACAGTCTATTACTTATTTTTTATCTAATTTATTTTATCACTTTGATATAAGTTTGAAATTTGAAATATAATTTTATTTTTATTTTATTATTGCATTGTTCATCCAAGTAAAAGTCTTTTCCATACTATTCTTGTTGTTCTGAACATAACTTTAAAGATTTCTATTTATATCTTTAGGCTTTTAATTTGTTCTGGACTTGATAAACATTTTGACATTTTTGTCACATAGCTTTTCATTTCCTCTCCCTTTTCTTTCTACCTTTATTCCTTCTTTCTATTCAATAAATATGTTTTTGAGTGTGTATAATATTCTAGATGCTGTGCTAAGCACTGGAAATAATTTCATGAAAAGGATAGAAAAAATATTTGATCTCTTGCTTAAATTCTAGTGATGGGAGAAAGGAAATAAACACATAAATAAAATTATTTTAGTACAGAATATGTGCTATGTAGAAAATAACATGCTTTTCAAGGTGATATTTGAGCTAAAACAGTAACGAGTACTACACGAGTGCTGAGAATAAGTCTGCTTACTTCCCACAACTAAGTAAGATACTTCTGAGTATTCCACCCTATGCCCCATGAATTATGAAGTGATGAGCAACAGCAGTTATCGGAAGAGCTGGAAGAGCATGCCAGGAAAACGGAACAGCAACTGCAGAAGCCAAAAGTCAAGAATAAGTTCGACATGTTCAAGGAACAGAAAGAACAGGATGACTGGAGGGTCATCCAGGAAGAAAGGAGTGCTGCAAAGTTAGGTCAGGAAAGTATTCAGAAGTCAAAGCACATAAGCGCTAAAGGACTGAATCTTAGATTATGTACCTTGCCTTTTACTCTTGAAATATGGCTTCATTATACCTGAGGCACTTAGAAAATTCCTTGTACAACCATTTGAGCCTGTACAGCTATCTCTTTAGGCTTGTATGTTCAGAGAGTCCTTTTTAAAAAAAAGTAAATTAATAACTTCAAGACCTTCTTTGTCTTCCACATAACAGTTGCTGGTAGCTGGGCATAGTGGCTCCTGCCTGTAGTCTCAGCACTTTGGGGCACTGAGGGAGGTGGATTGCTTGAGCCCAGGAGTTCGAGACCAGCCTGGGCAGCATGGTGAAACCAAATCTCTATAGAAAATATAGCCAGGGGTAGTTTTGTTTAGTGTGCTGGTTATATACTAAGTTGATTTAAATAAATAAATAATTAATTAATTAATAAAAATTAGCCAGGAGTGGTGGTACATTCCTGTAATCCCAGCTACTCCAGAGGCTGAGGTGGGACAATCACTTGAGCCATGAGGCAGAGGTTGCAGTAAACCAAGATTGTGCCACTGCACTCCAGCCTGGGCAACAGAGTGAAACCCTGTCTCAGTAAGAACAACAATGAACATAATTTCTGGCCATGTACTTTTTTCTGGCTTTGAATACTTTGAAATATAGTTTTCCAATGTCTAAAATAACTGTAACACTCCCATTGTACATTTCTTAGGCTGTTATAATCTCCAAGAAAACATGACCCATTATTCCAATTATTCCTGTTATTATTGGTCAGAGTTAACTACAGAGAAGCAGCTTGAAGGGACAGCTATGAAGAAGGCATCCAAAATTTCATCAGATTGTCAGCTTTTATCACAAAGACTTCCAGCAGATTGCTTCTTCCAGTCAATTCTCAACACAGCAATAAGAGATACCTTCCTAAAGTGCAAATAAGGTTTTGTCACTCCTCTTGCTTATACTCTTACAATGGCATCTCATTGCAATTAAAATAAAAAGCAAAACATTATGATGTCTAATAAATCCATACATGATTCCCTCCTCACCTATTTTTCCAACCCCATCTCATGCCAGTCCCACTTTCCTCATTACACTCAAGTTACACTTCATTACAGTGAATTCTTCCTTCAGCTTCTAAAACATACCTACCCAGCTTTTGTCCAGCTCCGTAGTTTTTCGCATCCTGTTTCTGTTGCCTGGAATACTCTTCCCCTGATTCTCTTCCTACGGTCAGCTTCTTTCTCATCCTTTAGGTCTTGTTGAAATGCCACCCTCTCAGAAGAGACTTCCCATTTATCTAAAGGTGGTCTTTCCTGCCCATATGCTCTCTTGAACCCTTATTTCTTTCATAACATGACCTGCAATTATTTTACATATGAAGTTGGTTATTGGTTTTTGATCTGTATGCACCATTACAATGTAAACTCCAGGAGAGCAGGGTCCAGATACAGAATCCCCAGTGCCTAGCATTATGTCTGATACATAAAGTCCAGTAAGGGAAAAAGGACATTTAGGTGTTGAAAATCCTCATCATCCAAATACTACTGATTCAGTATGAACCAATAACTCTTATGAATCTATTTTCGAATAAGATGAAAAAGATGAACATAAATGTTATTGTCTCATAACATGCATTTTTACTAAACATAATTTTATTTTTAGTTGTTTATGACAAATTTCCACTTGTATTTTGTAAGACTAATGAAGACTTGATAATGTGGAATTTCCCAGTGGCTTTCTGAGTGTGTGTGTGTGTGTGTGTGTGTGTGTGTTTGTGTGTGTGTGTGTCTGTGTGTCTGTATGTATTTATGTATCCTTGAAGTAGATTGATGCTGCCAGAAATTTATTCAAAAAACATAATTTATATAGTAGTAAGATGTTTGGCAATGCCTGATGTAAAACCGTGATTGAAAATATGAATTAGCATGGGATTTTATCACTTTGTCATTCAGCATCAGTCACTTAGTACTCTTAAATTATAGCACTCATATTATAATATCCTGGATTTCTTTTTCAAAAATAATATTATGTTGTTGAGGTGTTCATACCTGAAACACTAGAGTTATCATTGCAAACACATCTATAGATTTAATTGTTCATTATGAGTGAGAAATGAACGGACGATCTAAATTTAAAGTTTATTTGAGGGTTTCAGGGCTATTTTCTTATACATTTGTTAAATTCCTTTCATTTGTCCCTCTTGTTTTTAGTGTAAAAATTCATAGTTACTTTTCAAGGTTGCCCACTGTGTTTAATAGATGCCTTATATGTCAACATCCGTTTTCTGATTCCATTTTGTATATTTTTCTGACAAAAACAACCAATCAATAGCTGGTAATACTGCTTAGCCATGAGCTAGAATTAATATATGCTCCCACACATTACATAACCTATTTCAGAGACTGACTGTGTAGATCATTAGAGGCTAGTTTATTAGCTGATTGGTTAGTCAGACTCATCAGTATTCATCTTGAGAATTATAAAAATAAAAATTTTAAAACATCCCAATTGATGTTAAAAAAGAAAAAGCTGCAATAAAGAAGAAAATCTTCAAATGGTACCTTCAATTCGAAATAAAGAAATCTTTATATTTTACTCTGCACCTTTGCTTCTGTATCAGGTTGCCATGGAAATTTTTTCATTAACATTAGATTGATTTGCCCAGAGATAAAATTGCTTGCATCATTTCATCTTTTAACGTTCCTGAAGCCTCCTAAGCCAACTTCAGTGTTTTAACCTCCAAGTCGTTCCAGATTCCCAAGAGTTTCTGCCTTGCTGAGTATTTTTGAAACTCAAACACAGCACATTGATTTCTTCAATGTTAGCATCAAGGTTGCTGTCATGTTTTCATTCTGTATGGGTGCAAAAATAATTTTAAGCATTTTGTGTCATCAAATAAAAATCTTGGATTATAATCTATAGAATTCCAAGGACATTTACATAATAAATATAAAGAAACAAAGACAAATGCTTGTATAAAGGCTTCTATTTAATGTTCTAGTCTTTTTTGCTGTAAAACATTAACATCCATGTTAATGAAAATAAAAAATAGTATGTAATTTGGGTAATTGGGCTTCATACACCCCTATTTATGTATTAAAATTTGTGATTGAAAGGAAATCTAATTGGCTCTCTGTATCTGAGGATTCTACATCCATGGATTTAACTAACCATGGATCAAAAATATTTGGAAAAGAAAATTACATATGTACTGAACATGTATGTACAGGCTTTTTTTTTCTTGTCCTTATTCTGTAAACAATGCAGTATAGCAACCAGTCACATAGCATTTACATCGTATTAGATATTATAAATAATCTAGAGATGATTTAAAGGATATGGGAGCATGGACATAGGTTATAGGCAAATACTATGTAATTTTATGTCAGGGACTTGAGCAGCCATGGATTTTGTTATTCATGGGAGGTTCTGAAACCAGTCCCCTATAGATACTAAGGGATGATTGTATTCAACTTGTGTATATTGTCTAAAATAAACATAATTTTGACTGGGTGTGGTGACTCATGGCTATAATCCTAGCACTTTGGGAGGTTGAGTGAGTGGATCACTTGAGCCCAGATATTTGACACCAATCTGGACAACATAGTGAGACCCTGTCTCTACAAAAAAATAAACAAAAATTAGCCAGACGTTATGGCACGTGCCTGTAGCCCTAGCTACTCGGGAGGCTGAGGTGGGAGGATCACTTGAGCCCAGGAGGTAGAGGATGTGGTAAGACATGATCATGCCACTGCACTCTAGCCTGATGACAGAGCAAGGCCCTGTCTCAAAAAAAAAAGAAAGAAAGAAAGAAAGAAAGGGAGAGAGAGAGAGAAAGGAAAAGGGAAGGAGGGAGGGAAGAAGGGAGGGAGGGAGGAAGGATTGATTTTTTTCTAAGTACTGTGATTGCTTCATGCTACTTAAGTGTAGCTCTGAAGTGTTTTCTAAAAGTTATTCCACAGTTTTTAAGGGAACATACCATGTATTATTTCTTTTGAACACCTAGACATATATATAAGTAGACGCTCACTACATGTTTTATGCACTAACATTTAATTTTAGTGTCTAAAAATGAAGATACAAAGAATAGTTTTACTAAGGCCAACCAGGGAAGAAAATCTCAAGGTATTTTGTGTTAAAGGAACCCAATTTCACCATCTATAGATACTCAAATACTATATGTGTGATATTTAAATGTCAATAGTTTTACACTCAACATGTTCTTTGACTCACTTTTCTTCACTTGACAGTATGTATGGGGAGTCTTTCCATATCACTATAGAACTAGCTTTTTTAAGTGTTGTATTCTCTCTGTAGTATGAATGTTTTATAGATTATTCATTCCCCAACTAATAGGAATTTAGAGTTTTTTGTATTTTTTACTCTAATGTTCAATGCTACCAAGAATATCATTTTATGTAACTTGTGCACATGTTTGATTATTTCTTCAGACCTGGTGAAGAAGAACAATTGTTCTTCCAAAGGATATGCACATTTAAAATTCTTGTAGATAATGATACATTACCTTCCCAGAAGAATATAACAGTTTGTCCTTTTACCAGTGGTTTATAACACTACTTTTCCATGTCTTTGATAAAACTTGATATTAGCAATCACTTTTAAATGTTTACAAATTTTATGAGTAAAAAGCAATACTTCTTTATTAGTGTATTTTGCATTTTATGATTACTTCTAAGATTAAGCATCATTTATTATGCTTACTGGTCTTTTGCATTTTCTCTTCTCAGTCTGTCCATATGTACTGTCCGTTTTACTTTGGGGCTCTCTATCTTTTTCTTATTGGTTTGTAGGTGTTCTTTATACATTCTGGATATTATTTTTTTGAGAGAAATAGAGGGTCTCACTCTTTCACCCAGGCTGGAGTGCAGTGGCGTGATGTCAGCTCGCCACAGCCTTGACCACTCTGGCTCAAGCAATCCTCCTGCCTCAGTCCCACTGAGTGGCTAGGACTACAGGCGTGCACCACCACACCTAGCTAACTTTGGTATTTTTTGTAGTGACAGACTTTTTCCACTTTGCCCAGGCTGGTCTTGAACTCCTGAACTCCAAGTGATTCACCTGCCTCGTCCTCCGACAGTGCTGGTATTACAGGCAGTGCTGGGGTTACAGGCATGAGCCACTGCACCTGGCCAGGATATTAATATTTTGACTCTTGAATATGTTGCAAATATTTTCCCCAGGCTATCAGTCGAATTTTAAGGTTTTTTTATGATTCTTTTGCAGAAGAGAAGTTTTAATTTTTTTAACTTTTATTTTAGATTCAGGGGTACATGTGCAGGTTTGTTATATAGGTAAATTGCATGTTACAGGGAGTTGGTGTACAGATTATTTCATCAGCCAGGTAATAACCATAGTAACCAATAGGTAGTTTTTTGACCTTCACCTTCCTCCCACCCTCCACGCTCAAGTGGGTCCTGGTGTCTGTTGTTCCTTTCTTTGTGTCCCTGTGTACTCAATGGTTAGCTCTCACTTATAAGTAAAAACATGCAATATTTGATTTTCTGTTCCTGCATTAGTTTGCTTAAGATAATGGCCTTGAGCTCTACCCATGTTGCTGCAATGACATGCTCTTGTTCTTTCTTATGGTGTAATAGTATTCCATTGTGTATGTATACCACATTTTCTTAATCCAGTCTACTATTGATGGGTATTTAGGTTGATTCCATGCCCATAATTCTGCAATGGGCATATGCGTCCGTGTGTCTTTATGATAGAATGATTTATATTCCTTTGGATATGTACCCAAAAATGGGATCACTGGGTCGAGTGACAATTCTGTTTTATGTTCTTTGAGAAGTCACCATACTGCTTTCCACAATGGCTGAACCAGTTTGCACTGCCACCAGCAGTGTATAAGCATTCACTTTTCTCCGGGAACTTACCAGCATCTGTTCTTTTTTTTTTTTTTTTTTTTTTGTAGTAATTGCCATTCTGACTGATATTAGATGGTATCTCCTTGTGGTTTTGATTTGCATTTCTCTGATGATTAGTGATGTTAAGCATTTTTTAATGCTTGGTTCCTTGGAAGTCTTCTTTTGCAAAATGTCTCTTAATGTCCTTTGCCCACTTTTTAATGGGGTGTTTGTTTCTTGTTCATTTAAGTTCCTTATAGATTCTGGATATTAGAACTTTTTCAGATGAATAGTTTGCAAATATTTTCTTGCATTCTGTAGGTTGTCTGTTTACTCTTGATAGTTTCTTTTACTATGCAGAAGCTCTTTATTTTAATATTGAGTCACATTTCTCACTTTTTTGCTTTTGTTACAATTACTTTTGGCATCTTCATCATGAAATATTTCCCAGGGCCTATGTCTAGAACGATATTTCCAAGGTTATTGGTTATCTTCCAGGGTTTTTATAGTTTAAAGTTTTACATTTAAGTCTTTCATCTATCTTAAGTTTGTTTTTCTATATGGTATAAAGAAGGGGCTCAATATCAATCTTCTGCATATGGCTAGCCAGTTATCCCATCAACATTTATTGAATGGGGAATCCTCTCCCCGTTGCTTGTTTGTCTTGACTTTGTTGAAGATCAAATGGTTGTAGGTGTGCAGCTTTACTTCTGGGCTCTCTATTCTATTCCATTGGTGTATGTCTCTGTCTTGGTACCAGTACCATACTGTTTTGGTTACTGTAGCCTTGTAGTATACTTTTTGTGTGTGTGTGTGTGTGTGTGTGTGTGTGTAGAGAGAGAGAATATATATATGTATATATATAGAGAGAGAGACAGAGACAGAGACAGAGAGAGAGAGTGAGAGAGAGTTGGATAATGTGATGTTTCCACCTTTGTTCCTTTTACTTAGGATTGCTTTGGCTGTTTGGGTGCTTCTTTGGTTTCACATGAATTTTAAAATAGTCTTTTCTAATTCCATGAAGACTGTCATTGGTAGTTTTGTAGGAATAGCATTGAATCTGTAAACTGTTTCTGGTAGTATGGCCATCTTAATGATATTGATTCTTCCTCTCCATGGGCATGGAAGTTTCTTCCATTTGTTGTGTCATCTCTGATCTCTTTGAGCAGTGTTTTGTAGTTCTCCTTGTAGAGATCTTTCACCTCCCTAGTTAGCTGTATTCCCAGGTATTTTATTCTTTTTGTGGCAAATGTGAATGGGATTGTGTTCCTGATTTGGCCTTAGCTCGGATGTTGGTTTATAGGAATGCTACTGATTTTTGTACATTGATTTTGTGTCCTGAAACTTTGCTAAAGTTTTTTTTCTTAATGAGATCTAGGAGGTCTTGGGCAGAGACTGTGGAGTTTTCTAGATATAAAATCATATCGTCTGCAAACAGATGGTTTGGCTTCCTGTCTTTCTATTTCAATGACTTTTATTTCTTTCTCTTGCCTGATTGCTCTGGCCAGGACTTCCAGTACTGTGATCAATAGGAGTGGTGAGAATAGACATCCATGTCTTATTCTGGTTTTCAAGGATAAGGTTTCCAGATTTTGCTCATTAAGTGTGATGTTAGCTGTGCCTTTGTCATAGATGGTTCTTATTATTTTGAGGTATGGTATGTCCCTTCAATGCCTAGTTCATTGAGGGTTTTTTAACATAAAAGATGTTAAATTTTATCAGAAGCCTATTCTGCGTCTATTAAGATGATCATGTGAATTTTATTTTTAGTTCTGTTCGTATGATAAATCACATTTATAAATCTGCATATGTTGAAGTAATCTTACATCCTAGGGATAAAACTTAATTTATCATGGTGGATTAGCTTTTTGTTGTGCTTCTTAATTCAGTTTGCTAGGATTTTGTTGAGGATTTTTGCATTGAAGTTCATCAAGGAGATTGGCCTGAAGTTTTCTTTTTTTGTTGTGTCTGCCAGCTTTTGGTATCAGGATAATGCCGGCTTCATAGAGTGAATTAGGGAAGAGTCCCTCCTCCCCCACCTTTTTTTTTTTTTTGGAGTAATTTCAGTAGAAATGGTACCAGATCTTCTTTATACACCTGGTAGAATTCAGCTGTTAATCCATCTGGTCCTGGGTTTTTTTCTGGTTGGTAGATTTTTATTAATGATTCAATTTCAGAACTCATTATTGGTCTGTTCAGGGATTCAGTTTCTTCCTCATTCAATGTTAGGAGGTTCTTTGTTTCAAGAAATTTATCAATTTCTTCTAGGTTTTCTAGTTATGTGCATAGAGATATTCATAGTAGTATCTGAGAGTTTTTGAATTTCTGTGGAGTTGGTGGTAATGTCCTCTGTGTCATTTCTGATTGTGTTTATTTGAATCTTTTTTCTTTTTTCTTTATTAGTCTAGCTAGCAGTATATCAATCTTACTTATTTTCTAAAAAAAAAAAAAAAGCCACCTTTGGATTTGTTGATCTTTGGTATGGTTTTTTGCCTCTTAATTTATTTCATTTGATTTTGGTTATTTGTCTTCTGCTGGCATTGGAGTTGGTTTGGTGTTGTTTTTCTAGTTCTTCTAAGTGTGATATTATGTTGTTAATTTGAGATCTTCCTCACTTTTTGATGTAGGCATTTAGTGCTATAAACGTTTCTCTTTACACTGCTTTAGCTGTGCCCCAGAGATTCTGGTATGTTGTATGTTTGTTCTCATTAATTTCAAAGAGTTTCTGGATTTTGGCCTTAATTTCATTATTTACCCAAAAGTCATCCAGAAGCCGGTTAATTTCCATGAAATTTTGTGATTGTGAGTGATTTTCTTAGTATTGATTTCGATTTTTATTGCACTGTGGTCCAAGAGTATGTTGATATGATTTCAGTTTTTTTGAAGTCACTGAGAATTCTCTTACAGCCAAATGTGCAGTCAGTTTTAGAGTTTGTGCCATGTGCATATGAGAAGAATGTATATTCTGTTGTTTTCAGTGGAGAGTTCTGTAGATTTCCATTAAGTCCATTTTGTCAAGTGTCCAGTTCAGGTCCCAGATATCTTTTTTAGTTTCCTCCTTGGTGATCTGCCTAGTACTGTTAGTGGGATGTTGAAGTCTCCCACTATTATAGCGTGGGACTCTACATCTCTCTGTAGGTCTCCAAGAACTTGTTTTATGAATCTGGGTGCTCCTTTATTGGGTGCATATATTTTTAGGATAATTTGGTCTTCTTGTTTAATGGAACCGCTTACCACTATGTAATGCTCTTCTTTGTCTTTTTTGATCATTGTTGGTTTAAAGTCTGTTTAGTATGATACTAGAGTAGCAACCTCTGCTTTTTTCTGTTTTCTAATATCTTGGTAGATTTTTTTCCATCCCTTTACTTTGAGCCTATGGGTATCATTGCTTGTGAGATGGGTCTCTTGAAGACAGCATACTTCTGGGTCTTGATGCTTTATTCAACTTGCTGCTCTGTGCCTTTTAATTGGGGGATTTAACCCATTTGTTTTCAAGGTCAGTATTGATGTGTGAGAATTGGATCCTGTTATATTGTTATATTGTTAGCTGGTTATTATGCAGATTTGATTGTGTAGTTGCTTTATAGTGTCAATGGTCTATGTACTTGAGTGTGTTTTTGTGATAGCCAGTAACAGCCTTACCTTTCCATATTTAGCACTCCTTTAAGGACCTCTTGTAAGGCAGATGAGGTGGTAGTGAATTCCCTTAGCATTCACTTGTCTGAAAAGGGTCTTTTTACTCCTGTATTTATCAAGCTTAGTTTAGCTGGATATGAAATTCTTTCTTGGAATTTCTTTTTTTTAAGGATCCTGAATATAAGCCCCCAGTCTCTTCTGGCTTTTAGGGTTTCTGCTGAAAGGTCCACTGTTAGCCTGTTGGGGTTCCCTTTGTAGGTGACCTGCCTCTTCTCTCTTGCTGCCTTTAACATTTCTTCCTTCATTTAAACCCTGGAGAATCTGAGGCTGTGTGTTGAGGATGTTCATCTTGTATAGTGTCTTGCAGGGGTTCTTGGCATTCCCTGAATTTGAATGTTGGCCTCTCTAGCGAGGTTTGGGAAATTTTCATGGCTGATATTATCAAACATGTTTTCCAGGTTGCTTGCTTTCTCTCCCTCTCATTCAGGGATGCTAATGAGTCATAGATTTGGTCTCTTTACACAATTCCATATTTCTTGGAGGTTTTGTTCATTCTTTTTTATTATTTTTTATTTTTGTCTGACTGAGTTATTTCGCAGAACCAGTCTGCAAGCTCTGAGATTCTTTCATCAGCTTGTTCTATTCTGATGTTAATACTTGTGCTGGTATTATAAAATTCTTGTAGTGTGTTTTTCAACTCTATCAGATCAGTTTGGTTTTTTCATAAAATGATCATTACATCTTTCAGCTCTTCTATCATTTTATTTAATTCCTTAGATTCCTTGGATTGCATTTCAACTTCTCCTGAATCTCAATGAGCTTTGTTCTGAGTCATATTCTGAGCTCTATTTCTGTCATTTCAGCCATTCAAGCCTGATTAAAAACCAGTTTTAAGGAACTGGTGCCATCGTTTGGAGGTAAGAAGATGCTCTGGGTTTTTTTGAGTTACCAGAGTTCTTGCACTGGCTCATCAGTGTGGCTTGGTGTTCCTTCAGTCCTTGAAGTTACTGTCCTCTGGATAGGGTTTCTTTGCTTTTATCTTCTTTAATGCTTTTGCATTTGATTGTGGTCTAAGGTGGGTTCAGTTGATTGGCTTTGTTTCTGGAAGATTTTAGGGGACCAAGGCTCAGCTCAGCACTCATGGGCTGCATGCTGTAACTTTAAGGGGCTGGTACTGGGCCCCCAGCTTTGTTCTCTGGCTCTTTAAGGTTAGGAACCTGCTGCACCAGAAGGGCCAAGGTGTACTCAATCCACTGGCCATGGTGCTCCAATGGATGGTGCTAGCCAAAGCAGTTCATTAGGGCAGTGGCTGCAGAATCCATGCTCACTCACACATGCCAGCAACCATGGCAGTGCAGCAGGTTGCACACACATCAGCTGGGGCCAGGCACTGGTGGGGGTGGGGTTGCCAGTATCTGTGCATGTGTTTGCACAGGTAGTGTAAATATTTATGTAGTCAAATTAACTAGTCTTTTGTATTAGGACATTTGCTTTTCGGTTTTTTATATATTTAATTTTTTTTTATATCAATAGCTCTAGGGGCACAAGTTGTTTTTGTTACATGGATGAATTGTATGGTGGTGAAGTCTGGGATTTTAGTGTACCCATAACCCAAGTAGTACACATTGTACTCCAATAGCTAGTTTTTCATCCCTCACACTCCCCCACCCTCCCTCATCTGAGTATCCAATGTTCTTTATACCACACTGTATGCCTTTGCATACCAATAGCTTAGCTCCCACTTAAAAGTGAGAATGTGTGGTATTTGGTTTTTGATTTCTGAGTTACATCACTTAGAATAATCACCTCCAGTTCCATCCAAGTTTCTCCAAAAGACATTAGTTCATTCTTTTTTATGGCTGAGTAGTATTCCATGGTGTGTTTATATATATAAATCAGTATACACCATATTTTCTTTATCCACTCATCGGTTGATGAACATTTAATTTGACTCTATTTCTTTGCAATTGTAAATTCTTCTTCTGTAAACATACATGTGCAGGTATCTTCTTGACATAATGAATTTTTGTTTTTTAGACAGGATCTCACTCTGTCACCCAGGCTGGAGTGCAGTGGTGTGATCTTGGCTCACTGCAACCTTTGCCTCCCAGGCTCAAGCAATCCTTTCACCTCAGCTTCCTGAGTATCTGGGTCTACAGACATGTGCCACCATGCACAGCTCTTTTTTTTTTTTTTTTTTTTTTGTACTTTTAGTAGAGATGGGGTTTTGCTATGTTACCCAGGCTGGCCTTGAACTCCTGAGCTCAAGTGATCTCCCATCCTTGGCCTCCCATAGTGCTGGGAATACAGGCATGAGCCACTGTGCCCAGCTGGTATAATGATTTATTTTACTTTGGGTAGATACCCAGTAGTGGGATTGCTGCATCAAATGGTAGATCTATGTTTAGTTCTTTGAGAAATCTCCATGCTGTTTTCCACAGAGTTTGTACTAATTTGCATTCCCACTATCAGTGTGTAAGCATTCCCTTTTCACCAAATCTACACCAACATCTATTGTGTTTTAACTTTTTAATACTGGCCATTCTGGCTGAGGTAAGATGTTATCTCATTGTGACTGTAATTTGCATTTCCCTGATTATTAATTATGTCGAGTATTTTTTTCATATGTTTTTTCGCCATTTGTATATCTTCTTTTGAGAAATGTTTAATCAAGCCATTTGCCCACTTTTTAATGGGTTGGGTTTTTTTTTGTGCGGGGGGGTGTTTTTTGTTTGTTTGTTTGTTTGTTTTGAGACAGAGCCTCACACTGTTACCCATTCTGGAATACAGTGGAGTGATCTTGGCTCACTGTGACCTCCGCCTCCTGGGCTCAAGCGATCCTCCCACCTCAGCCTCACGAGTAGCTGAGACTACAGGCACCCACCACCACGTGCAACTAATTTCTTTATTTTCTGTGAAGACGGGGTTTCACCATGTTGCCCAAGCTGGTCTTGAACTCCTGAGCTCAAGCAATACCCCCATTTCAGCCTCCCAAAGTGCTGGGATTACAGGTGTGAGCCACCACGCCCAGCCTTATTTATTATTTTTCTTGCTGCTTTGAGTTTCTTGTAGATTCTGAATATTAGTCCTTTTTCAGATGCATAGTTTGCAAATATTTTCTCCTATTCTGTGGGTTGTCTGTTTACTCTGATGATTATTTCTTTTGCTGTGCAGAAGTGTTTTAGTTTAACTAGGCCCCACTTATTTATTTTTTGTTTTGTTGCATTTGCTTTTGGGGTTTTCATCATAAATTTTTTGCCAGAGAAATCAAGAAAGAAAAATAAATAAAGGGTATTCAAATTGAAAAAGAGGAAGTTAAACTAACTCTGTTTGCCAATGATGTGATCTGATCTGATACCTAGAAAACACTAAAGAGTCCTCCAAAAGACTCCTAGATTTAAAAAATGTATTTAGCAAAGTCTCAGTTTACAAAATCAATATATACAAATCAGTAGCATTGGTATAAACCAAAAACAACCAAGCTGAGGATCAAATTGAGAATTCAGTCCCTTTTACAATAGCTACAAAAAATAAAATAAAATATTTAGGCATATACTTATCCAAGAAGGTGAAAGATGTCTACAAGGAGAACTATAAAACACTGTTGAAAGAAATTATAGATGACACAAATGGAAATATATCCCATGTTCATGAATTGGAAAAAACAATATCATGAAAATGACCATAGTGCCCCAAACAATCTACAGATTCAATGCAACTCTTATCAAAAATACCAATGTTATTCTTTATAGAATTAGAAAAAAAAATTCTGAAATTCAAATGGGACTAAAAAAGAGCCAGAATAGCCAAAGCAATTCTAACCAAAAAGAACAAATCTGGAGGCATCACATTACCTGACTTCAAATTATGCCATTATACAAGGCTATAGTAACCAAAACAGCATGGTACTGGTATAAAAGTAGATATACAGACCAATGGAACAGAATAGAGAACCCAGAATTAAAACCAAGTACTTACAACCAATTGATTTTCTAGAAAGAGTACAGTAATATGACTTGGGGAAGGGACACCCAATTCAATAAATGGTGCTGGGAAAATTGGATAGCAACATGTAGAAGAATGATACTGGATCCCTATCTCTTTCCATATGCAAAAATGAACTGAAGATGAATTAAAGACTTAAACCTAAGACCTGATAACCATACAAATTTGGGAACAAACCCTAGGAAAAACTCTGTTGGACAACCTAGGCATTTGCTTTTTATATCTTTTAGAAGGCCATCGTAAATATGACACAAATACACAAATTCTTCTATATTTTTTAAAAAGCACATATATTTTACTTTGGTTTAGTTTTTAAGTCCTGAGTCATCTGGAATGCATTTCTGTGAATTTTATGAGCTATGAAAATAACTTACTTTTTTCAGATGGGTATTCAATTGCTCCAATATCATTTATTGAATTAGCCAGCCTTTTTTCAGCAGTTTAAAATGCCACCAGTGTCATAACTAAATCTGTATATTATGTGGGTTTGTGGCCACTCTCTTGTTACACTATTTACCTATTCCTGCACCAATACTATAGCTTTTAAAGTATATTTTACTATTTGGTAAGGTAATTTACCTTGCTTTTTATATGTTAGTATTATATCCAGCCACCCTCTACCTACCTTTCTCATTGGTTCTCATAATTTTTCAGTTTGGGTTTCCTAGGTAACTGATCCTGTAGACTTCAACTACTGACAGTTTTATCTCTTTATTTCTATTAATCATACCCCATATAAGAGTTATTTATTTTCCCAAACATTTAAGATCAGTCTAATTCCAGATAAACATCTCTGGAGGAACTCATTTCTATCAGCTTCCCCAGAAGTTTTTCTTCCTTTCTATCCATTCCTCACCCAAATTTAGTCCTTCTCTATTCATCCAAGGTGGATTTCTAAGCCATATGTAAGCCTGGGGGAGGTAAGGAAGAGATTCAAAAGTGAAATATCCCATTATGACATTAACCTTTTCTGACCTGATACAAAATTGTTTTGAATTGTTTTTCCCCTTTATATGAGCATTTAATGACTTTTTTTATTATACTTTTCATGAGACTGTGCTTGTCTCCCCAGCATTTTGTCTCTTTCCTGCCAGACTTTTCATCTTGCTTGTCATATGTCCAAAATTACTTTCCTTCCTCCCTTATACTCATACTGCAACTTCTTTAACTTCATGTAAATCTTTATTATGGCTTAGAGTCTATGTTCCATATTTTCAGTAACACAGTTAGCATATCCCAAACTTTATTACCCCTCTGTCTTTTGTCCCCCAACTTCAAAACCCATCTCCTATTTCATTTTTGTATTTTTCTTATATTTTAAAAACTTTATTTTTGAAATAATTTAACAATGACAGAGAAGTTGCAATAATTCAGAGTTCAACACTAATTCAGCAGTTATTAACATTTTCCCACATTCTCTTTATTATTCTTCTCTGCCTCACCTCTGTGTATTTGTGTATATGTTTTTAGAACAGTTTGATACTATATTGCAAACATCACATGATCTGTTTTGTTTTCACTTTTTCTATCACTATACTCAAGCCAGGTCCAGCTCTACCCATATTGCCCTCTTGTCTGATAAGTCATGTTTTGTTTTGTTTTGTTTTGTTTTGTTTTGTTTTGTTTTGTTTTGTGACAAGGTCTCACTCTGTTGCTCAGGCTGGGAGTACGGTGGTGCTATCTCTGCTCACTGCAACCTCCTGCCTCCCAGACTCAAGTGATCCCCCACCTCAGCCTCCCAAGTAGCTGTGACCACAGGCACACACCACCACACCCAGCTAACGTTTTTGTATTTTTGGTAGTGACAGGGTTTTGCCATTTTGCCGAGGCTGGTCTTGAATTCCTGGGCTCAAGTGATCCACCTGTCTTGGCCTCCCAAAATGCTGGGATTACAGGCATGAGCCACTACACCCATGAAAAGTGGTGCTCTGCTAGATTAAGTCACACTTTGAATTCTGTCACAAATTTGTGATCACTATCCTCAAATTGCCGTTTAATACTGCCTGTGAGAGGTCTAATCTCAAGATGGCTGAACAGGAACAGCTCCGGTCTGCAGCTCCCAGCAAGATTGACGCATAAGGCACGTGATTTCTGCATTTCCAACTGAGCTACCTGGTTCATCTCACTGGGACTAGTTGGACAGTGGGTGCAGCCCATGGAGGGAAAGCCAAAGCAGGGTGGGGCATCGCCTCACCTGGGAAGCACAAGCGGTCAGGGTATTTCCCTCCCCTAGCCAAGGGAAGCCATGAGGGGCTGTGCCATGAGGAACAGTGACTTCTGGCCCAGATATTGCGCTTTTCCCATGGTCTTTGCAACCCGCAGACCAGGAGATTCTCTCAGTGCCTACGCCAACAGGGTTCTGGGTTTCAAGCACAAAATTGGGTGGCTGTTTGGGCAGACACGAAGCTAGCTGCAGAAGTTTTTTTTTTTTTCATACCCAGTGGCACCTGGAAATGCCAGTGAGACAGAACACATTCACTCCCTTGGAAAGGGGGTTGAAGCCAGGGAGCCAAGTGGTCTGGCTCGGCGGATCCCACCCCCAGGGAGCCCAGCAAGCTAAGATCCACTGGCTTGAAATTCTTGCTACCAGCACAGCAGTCTGAGGTCCACCTGGGACACTCGAGCTTGGTGGAGAGAGGGGCATCCACCATTGCTGAGGCTTGAGTAGGCAGTTTTACCCTCACAGTGTAAACAAAGCTGCCAGGAAGTTCGAACTGGGCAGAGCCCACCACAGCTCAGCAAGGCTGCTGCGGCCAGACTGCCTCTCTAGATTCCTCCTCTCTGGGCAGGGCATCTCTGAAAGAAAGGCAGTAGCCCCAGTCAGGAGCTTACAGATAAAAATCCCATCACCCTGGGACACAGCACCTGGGGGAAGGGGCAGTTGTGGGTGCAGCTTCAGCAGACTTAAATGTCCCTGCCTGACAGCTCTGAAGACAGCAGTGTATCTCCCAGCACAGCATTCGAGCTCTGATAAGGGTCAGACTGCCTCCTCAAGTGGGTCCCTGACCCCCATGTATCCTGACTGGGAGACACCTTTCAGTAGGGGCTGACAGACACCTCATACAGAAGAGCTCTGGCAGGCATCTGACAGGTGCCCCTCTGGGAAGAAGCTTCCAGAGGAAGGAACAGGCAGCAATCTTTGCTGTTCTGAAGCCTCTGCTGGTGATACCCAGGCAAACAGTGTCTGGAGTGGACCTCCAGCAAACTCTAGCAGACCTGCAGCAAAAGGGCCTGACTGTTACAAGGAAAACTAACAAACAGAAAGGAATAGCATCAACATCAACAAAAAGGAAATCCATTCAGAGACCCCATCTGAAGGTCACCAACACAAAGACCAAAGGTAGATAAATCCACGAAGATAGGGAGAAACCAGCGCAAAAAGGCTGAAAATTCCAAAAACCAGAATGCCTCTTCTCCTCCAAAGGATCACAACTCCTCACCAGCAAGGGAACAGAACTGGACAGAGAATGAGTTTGACGAATTGACAGAGTTGGCTTCAGAAGGTGTGTAATAACAAACCCCTCTGAGCTAAAGGAGTGTGTTCTAACCCAATTCAAGGAAGCTAAGAACATTGAAAAAAGGTTAGACAAATGGCTAACTAGAATAACCACTTTAGAGAAGAACATAAATGACCTCATGGAGCTGAAAAACACAGCACGAGAACTTCGTGAAGCATACACAAGTATCAATAGCCAAAATGATCAAGTGGAAGAAAGGATATCAGAGAATGAAGATCAATTTAATGAAATAAAGTGAGAGGACAAGATTAGATAAAAAAGAATGAAAAGAAACAAAGCCTCCAAGAAACATGGGACTATGTGCAAAGACCAAATCTCTGCTTGATTAGCATACCTGAAAGTGACGGGGAGAATGGAACCAAGTTGGAAAACACTCTTTAGGATATTATCCAGGAGAACTTCCCCAACCTAGCAAGACAGGCCAACATTCAAATTCAGGAAATACAGAGAACACCACAAAGATACTCCTCGAGAAGAGCAACCCCAAGACACATAATTGTCAGATTCACCAAGGTTGAAATGATGGAAAAAATATTAAGGGCAGCGAGAGAGAAGGGTCGGGTTACCCACCAAAGGGAAGCCCATCAGACTAACAGCAGATCTCTCAGCAGAAACCCTACAATCCAGAAGAGAGTGGAGGCCAATATAAAGCATTCTTAAAGAAAAGAATTTTCTTTTTTTTTTAAAGGCTAAAATATTTAATTATGTTTTTAAAGCACATGAATTCTTTACATTTCAATAAAATATTTCCAAACTATATTATCCCAGAAAACAAAACATGATTGCATTTTCAACCCAGAATTTCATATCCAGCCGAACTAAGCTTCATAAGTGAAGGAGAAATAAAATACTTTACAGACAAGCAAATGCTAAGAGATTTCATCACCACCAGGCCTACCTTACAAGAGCTCCTGAAGGAAGCACTAAACATAGAAATGAAGAACCGATACCAGCCACTGCAAAAACATACCAAATTGTAAAGACCATCGACACTATGAAGAAACTGAATCAACTAATGGGCAAAATAACCAGCTAGCATCATAATGACAGGATCAGATTCAGACATAACAATATTACCCTTAAATGTAAACAGACTAAGTGCCCCAATTAAAAGACACAGACTGGCAAATTGGATGAAGAGTCAAGACCCATGGGTATGCTGTATTCAGGAGGCCCAGCTCATGTTCAAGGACACACATAGGTTCAAAATAAAGGGATAAAGTAATATTTACCAAGCAAATGGAAAGCAATAAAAAGCAGGGGTTGTGGCCAGGCATGGTGGCTCACGCCTGTAATCCCAGCACTTTGGGAGGCTGAGGCAGGCAGATCACGAGGTCAGGAGATCGAGACCATCCTGGCTAACACAGTGAAACCCCATCTCTACTAAAAATACAAAAAATTACCCATGCATGGTGGCAGGTGCCTGTAGCCCCAGCTACTCAGGAGGCTGAGGCAGGAGAATGGCATGAACCCAGGAGGCGGAGCTTGCGGTGAGCTGAGATTGCGCCACTGCACTCCAGCCTGGGCAACAGAGCAAGACTCTGTCTCAAAAAAAAAAAAAAAAAAAAAAAAAAAAAAAAAAAAAAACAGCAGAGGTCGTAATCCTAGTCTCTGATAAAACAGACTTTAAACCAACAAAGATCAAAAGAGACAAAGAAGGGCATTACATAATGATAAAGGGATCAATGCAACAAGAAGAGCTAATTATCCTAAATATATATGCACCCAATACGGGAGCACCCAGACTCATAAAGCAAGTTCTTAAGGACCTACAAAGAGACTTAGACTCCCACACAATAATAGTGGGAGACTTTAACACCCCACTGTCAGCACTAGACAGACCAACGAGACAGAAAATTAACAAGGATATTCAGGACTTGAACTCAGCTCTGGACCAAGGCAACTTTATAGACATCTACAGAACTCTTCACCCCAAATCAACAAAATATACATTCTTCTCACCACCACATCACACTTATTCTAAAATTAACCACATAATTGGAAGTAAAACACTCCTCAGCAAATGTAAAAGAACAGAAATCATAACAAACAGTCTCTCAGACCACAGTGCAATCAAATTGGAACTCAGGATTAAGAAACTCACTGAAAACCACACAACTACATGAACACTGAACAACCTGCTCCTGAATGAATACTGGATAAATAACGAAATTAAGGCAGAAATAAAGATGTTCCTTGAAACCAATGGGAACAAAGACACAATGTAACAGAATCTCTGGGACACATTTCAAGCAGTGTTTAGAGGGAAATTTAGAGCACTAAATTCCCACAAGAGAAAGCGGGAAAGATCTAAAATCAACACCCTAACATCGCATTTTTAAAAAACTAGAGAAGCAAGAGCAAACAATTTCAAAGCTAGCAGAAGACAAGAAATAACTAACATCAGAGCAGAACTGAAAGACATAGAGACGCGAAAAACCCTTCAAAAATCAATGAATCCAGGAGCTGGTTTTTTGAAAAGATCAACAAAATAGATAGACCACTAGCCAGACTAATAAAGAAGGACAGAGAGAAGAATCAACTAGACACAATAAAAAAAATGATAAAGGGAATATCACCACTGATCCCTCAGAAATACAAACTACCATCAGAGAATGCTATAAACACCTCTAAGCAAATAAACTAGAAAATCTAGAAGAAATGAATAAATTCCTGGACACATACACTCTCCCAAGTCTAAACCAGGAAGAAGTCGAATCCCTGAATAGACCAATAACAACTTCTGAAATTGAGGCAGTAATTAATAGCCTACCAACCAAAAAAAGTCCAGGACTAGACAGGTTCACAGCCAAATTCTACCAGAGGTACAAAGAGGAGGTGACACCATTCTTTCTGAAACTATTCCAAACAATAGAAAAAGAGGGAATCCTCCCTAACTCATTTTATGAGGCCAGCATCATCCTGATACCAAAACCTGGCAGAGACACAACAAAAAAAGAAAATTTCAGGCCAATATCCCTGATGAACATCGGTGCAAAAATTCTCAGTAAAATACTGGCAAACCAAATCCAGCAGCACATCAAAAAGCTTATCCACCACGATCAGGTCAGCTTCATCGCAGGGATGCAAGGCTGGTTCAACATGTGCAAATCAATAAATGTAATCCATCACATAAACAGAATAAATGACAAAATCCATGTGATTATCTCAATAGATGCAGAAAAGACCTTTGATAAAATTCAACATCGCTTCATGCTAAAAACTGTCAATAAACTAAGTATTGATGGAATGTATTTCAAAATAATAAGAGCTATGTATGTCAGCCCAAAATCTCCTTAAGCTGATAAGCAACTTCAGCAAAGTCTCAGGATACAAAATCAATGTGCAAAAATCACAAGCATTCTTATACACCAATAACAGACAAACAGAGAGCCAAATCATGAGGGAACTCCCATTCACAATTGCTTCAAAGAGAATAAAATACCTAGGAATCCAACTTACAAGGGATGTGAAGGACCTCTTCAAGGAGAACTACAAACCACTGCTCAATGAAATAGAAGAGGATACAAACAAGTGGAAGAACATTCCGTGCTCATGGGTAGGAAGAATCAATATTGTGAAAATGGCCATACTGCCCAAGGTAATTTATAGATTCAATGCCATCCCCATTAAGCTACCAATGACTTTCTTCACAGAATTGGAAAAAACTACTTGAAAGTTCATATGGAACCAAAAAAGAGCCCGCATCGCAAAGTCAATCCTAAGCCAAAAGAACAAAGCTGGAGGCATCACACTACCTGACTTCAAACTATACTACAAGGCTACAGTAACCAAAACAGCATGGTACTGGTACCAAAACAGAGATATAGACCAATGGAGCAGAACAGAGCCCTCAGAAATAATGCCACATATCTACAACTATCTGATCTTTGACAAACCTGACAAAAATAAGAAATGGGGAAAGGATTCCCTATTTAATAAATGGTGCTGGGAAAACTGGCTAGCCATATGTAGAAAGCTGAAACTGGATCCCTTCCTTACACCTTATACAAAAATTAATTCAAGATGGATTAAAGACTTACATGTTAGACCTAAAACCATCAAAACCCTAGAAGAAAACTCGGCAATACCATTCAGGACATAGACATGGGCAAGGACTTCCTGTCTAAAACACCAAAAGCAATGGCAACAAAAGCCAGAATTGACAAATGGGATCTAATTAAACTAAAGAACTTCTACCCAGCAAAAGAAACCACCATCAGAGTGAACAGGCAACCTACAGAATGGGAGAAAATTTTTGCAATCTACTCATCTGACAAAGGGCTAATATCCAGAATCTACCATGAACTCAAACAAATTTACAAGAAAAAAACAAACAACCCCATCAAAAAGTGGGCTAAGGATATGAACAGGCACTTCTCAAAAGAAGACATTTATGCAGCCAAAAAACACATGAAAAAATACTCATCATCACTGGCCATCAGAGAAATGCAAATCAAAACCACAATGAGATACCATCTCACACCAGTTACAATGGCAATCATTAAAAAGTCAGGAAACAACAGGTGCTGGAGAGGATGTGGAGAAATAGGAACACTTTTACACTGTTGGTGGGACTGTAAACTAGTTCCACCATTGTGGAAGTTGGCGTGGCGATTCCTCAGGGATCTAGAACTAGAAACACCATTCGACCCAGCCATCCCATTACTGGGTATATACCCAAAGGATTATAAATCAAGCTGCTATAAAGACACATGCACACGTATGTTTACTGCGGCACTATTCACAATAGCAAAGACTTGGAACCAACCCAAATGTCCAACAATGATAGACTGGATTCCATATACACCATGGAATACTATGCAGCCATAAAAAATGATGAGTTCATGTCCTTTGTAGGGACATGGATGAAGCTGGAAACCATCATTCTCAGCAAACTATCACAAGGACAAAAAACCAAACACTGCAAGTTCTCACTCATAGGTGGGAATTGAACAATGAAAACACATGGACACAGGAAGGGGAACATCACACACCGGGGCCTGTTGTGGGATGGGGGCAGGGGGGAGGGATAGCATTAGGAGATATACCTAATGTTAAATGAAGAGTTAATGGGTGCAGCACACCAACATGGCACATGTATACATATGTAACAAACCTGCACGTTGTGCAGATGTACCCTAAAACTTAAAGTATAATAAAAATAAAAAAGAATAAAAAAATGAAAAAAGAAGGAAATACCCAAAAATGTCCACAAAAAAAAAAGAGCTATGTATGACAAACTCACAGCCAATATCATACTGAATGTGCAAAAACTGGAAGCATTCCCTTTGAAAACCGGCACAAGACAAGGATGCCCTCTCTCACCATTCCTATTCAACATAGTATTGGAAGTGTTGGCCAAGGCAATTAGACAAGAGAAAGAAATAAAGGGTATTTGAATAGGAAGAGAGGAAGTCATATTGTCTGTGTTTGCAGATGACATGATTGTGTATTTAGAAAAGCCCATCATCTCTGCCCAAAATCTCCTTAAGCAGATAAGGAACTTCAGCAAAGTCTCCGGATACAAAATCAATGTGCAAAAATCACAAGCATTCTTATACACTAATAACAGACAAACAGAGAGCCAAATCATGAGTGAACTCCCATTCACAATTGCTTCAAAGAGAATAAAATACCTAGGAATACAACTTACAAGGGATGTGAAGGACCTCTTCAAGGAGAACTACAAACCACTGCTCAAGGAAATAAGAGAGGACACAAATAAATGGAAAAACGTTCCATGCTCATAGATAGGAAGAATCAGTATCGTGAAAATGGCCATACTGCCCAAAGTAATTTATAGATTCAATGTTATCCCCATCAAGCTACCATTGAGTTTCTTCAAAGAACTAGAAAAACTACCTTAAATTTCATATGGAACCAAAAAAGAGCCCTTATAGCCAAGACAATCCTAAGGAAAAAGAACAAAGCTGGAGGCATCACACTACCTGACTTCAAACTATACTACAAGGCTACAGTAACCAAAACAGCATGGTACTGGTACCAAAATAGATATATAGACCAATGGAACAGAACAGAGGCCTCAGAAATCACACCACACATCTACAACCATCTGATCTTTGACAAACCTGACAAAAACAAGCAATGGTGAAAGGATTCCTTATTTAATAAATGGTGTTGGGAAAACTAGCTAGCCATAGGCAGAAAACAGAAACTGGACCCCTTCCTTATACCTTATGCAAAAATGAACTCAAGATGGATTAAAGACTTAAATGTAAAACCTAAAACCATAAAAACGCTAGAAGAAAACCTGGGCACTACCATTCAAGACATAGGCATGGGCAAAGCCTTCATGACCAAAACACCAAAAGCAATGGCAACAAAAGCAAAAATTGACAAATGGGATCCAATTAAACTAAAAAGCTTCTGCACAGCAAAAGAAACTCTCATCAGAGTGAACAGGCCACCTACAGCATGGGAGAAAATTTTTGCAATCTATTGATCTCACAAAGGGCTAATATCCAGCATCTACAAAGAAGTTAAACAAATTTACAAGAAAAAAAGAGACAATCCCATCAAAAAGTGGGAGAAAAATATGAAGAGACACTTCTCAAAAGAAGACATTTATGCAGCCAACAAACATATGAAAAAAAAGCTCATCATCACTGGTCATTAGAGAAATGCAGATCAAAACCACAATGAGATACCATCTCACACCAGTTAGAATGGTGTTCATTAACAAGTCAGGAAACAACAGATGCTGGGGAGGATGTGGAGAAATAGGAACACTTTTATACTGTTGGTGGAGTGTAAATTAGTTCAATCATTGTGGAAGAGAGTGTGGCAATTCCTCAAGGATCCAGAACTAGAAATACCATTTCACCCAGCAATCCCATTACTGGATATATACCTAAAGGATTATAAATCATTCTCCTATAAAGACACATGCACACATATGTTTATTGTGATACCGGTCACAATAGCAAAGACTTGGAACCAACCCAAATGCTCATCAATGATAGACTGAATAAGGAAAATTTGGCACATATACACCATGGAATGCTATGCAGCCATGAAAAAAGATGAGTTCATGTCCTTTGCAGGGACATAGATGAAGCTGGAAACCATCATTCTCAGCAAACTAACACAAGAACAGAAAACCAAACACCATATGTTCTCACTCATAAGTGGGAGTTAAACAATGAAAACACATGGTCAGAGGGAAGGGAACATCACACACTGGGGCCTGTCATGGGGTGGGGGGCTGGCGGAGGATAGCATTAAGAGAAATACCTAATGGAGATGATGGGTTGATGGGTGCAGCAAACCACCATGGCACATGTATACCTATGCAACAAATCTGCACATTCTGCACATGTACCCCAGAACTTAAAAAATACTGCCTGTATATTGATGACTATTTTTAAAATTTGCAAACATATTGGTTTTTGGCAATAACATTTTCTTATGGCATTTTATTTTTATGAGAATTTGACCAGAGCATACATTCTGTGTGAATTCAGTTGTTTGGAATCACTGAGATTTCCCTTGCGGCCAACTATTTATTTACAATTAATGAATTTAGTGCTTACTATTTAGTGCTTACTTAGTGCCAGGCACTAAGCCCTTTGCAAATCTTCATTTATTGCATTTTCTGAACAATCTATTATCTTCATTTGGCAGATAAGGGAACTAAGGGAAGGGGAAGTAACTGTCACTAAGTCTCACAGCAAGTAGCAGACTAAGATGTAATCCTAGCAGTCTGGATCCAGAAATTATGCTCTTAACCAACATACTGTGCTAATTTTTTCAATTTCATATGTTGTTTTTTTAAAAAATGTGTATCTATAATTCCTATAAATTTATGTCATTCCCTGTGTGTTTCCAATAGATTGAGCACACTGGTTTATTATAGTTTAGATCTTGTATATCTTCATTAATTTCTTGCCTATTTTATTTATCCATTTTTGAGAAATGTTTGCAGACTGTCTATTAATCAACTTCTCATTGTAATTCTATCATTTACAAATGTCAATTATTTTTAGGCTATTGTTAGGTATATTTATTTTCAGAGATTTTATATCTAATAGATATTTCCACTTAATATTACATACCATGTTCTTTATCAATATGTTTTTTAAAACAATAAGAGAATAAAATGAAAAATCAACCTTAAACTCTAAACAACTTCATCATTTCAACATGAAATTCATATTCTCACTCACAAACAATTAAGTATTACTTTTGTAACAGCAAGAAAAGTCCTCTTACCCAACACAATCTGAACCAATAGTTGGTTAATTGAAAAGATTTGTTTAAACAGAGAATTATCTAAAATTACTTATAATTAAACATTTTGTTTTACCTAGAATAAATTTATACTGGCTTTTTATGAGTTTACTGATTGGAGTACAGTCTGTCTTTACACATAATGTAACATAAAACACTTTCCTTTCTTCCCCCTACTTTGGAGAGGAACAAGAACTCAAAGCCACTTGCAAGGTGATCTGAGTACAGAATTATTCCAGATTTTTAGGATTCCTTTCCCTAAAATTCTCCTCTCTCTCATTTCATTCAACCTTATTTTTTAAAAGGCTGGTGTTAAAACTTTTCTTTCAACTTATTTTTCATAGAAACATTCACTTTTTATACTTGTATTTCATCAGTTTACAAAATATTTTATTAAATTTCCAAATTAGACCAATAAATATTACTGTCTCATACCACTTTGGAAACAACACAACTCATATTGGAAATCATACAACCAGCAAGAGCAGAGGTAAGCATTCTGTCTGGCCTTTAACATTTGTTTTAGGTTTGGTGTACACGTGCAGGTTTGTTATACAGGTAAACTGCATGTCACAGGGGTTTGGTGTACAGACAGTTTCATCACCCAGGTAATAAGCATACTACCTGATAGGTATTTTTTCTGATCCTCTCTCTCCCCCCACCTCCACTCTCAAGTAGGCCCCAGTGTCTGTTGTTCTTCTGTTATCCACGTGTTCTCATTGTTTAGCTTGCACTTATAAGTGAGAACATGTAGCATTTGGTTTACTCTTTCTGTATTTGTTTAGGATAATGGCCTGCAGCTCCATCCATGTTTCTTCAAAGGACATGATCTTATTCTTTTCTATGGCTTCATAGTATTCTATGGTGTATATGTGCCACATTTTCTTTATCCAGTGCACCATTGATGGACATTTAGGTTGATTCCATGTCTGTCCTGTTTTGAATAGCGCTGCAGTGGACATACACGTGCATGTGTCTTTATGATAGAATGATTTATATTTCTTTGGTTGTATACCCCAAAATGGAATTGCTGGGTGGAATGGTAATTCTTTTTTAAGCTCTTTGAGAAATCACCAAACTGCTTTCCACAATGGCTGAACCAATTTATACTCCCGTTAGCACTCACTTTTCTCCAGAACCTCACCAGCATCTGTTCTTTTTTTACTTTTTAATAGTAGCCATTCTGATTGGTGTCAGATGGTATCTTCCTGTGGTTTTGATTTGCATTTCTCTGATGATTAGTGATGTTAAGCATTTTTTCATGTGCTTGTTGGCTGCATATATGTCTTCTTCTGCAAAATGTCTCTTAATGTCCTTTGCCCACTTTTTAATGGGGTTGTTTCTTGTTCATCTGTTTAAATTTCTTATAGATTCTGGATATTAGACCCTTGTCAGATGCATAGTTTGCAAATACTTTCTCCCATTCTGTAGATTGTCTCTTTGCTCTGTAGGTAGTTACTTTTGCTGTGCAGAAGCTCGTTAGTTTAATTAGATCCCATTTGTCAATTTTGGTTTTTTGTTGCAGTGGCTTCTGCTGTGTTCATCATGAAATCTTTGCCAAGTCCTATATCCAGAATAGTATTTCCTAGGTTATCTTTCAGGGATTTTATAGTTTTAGGTTTTACATTAAGTCTTTCATCCATCTTGAGTTGATTTTTGTGTGTGGTATAAGGTAGGGGTCCAGTTTCAATCTTCTGCATATGGCTAGACAATTATCCCGTCAACATTTATTGAATGGGGAATTCTTTCCCCATTTCTCGTTGTTGTCAACTTTGTTGGAGATCAGATGGTTGTAGGCGTGCAGCTTTATTTCTGGGCCCTCTATTCTATTCCATTGGTCTATGTGTCTGTCTTGGTACCAGTACAATGCTCTTTTGGTTACTGTAGCCTCGTAGTATAGTTTGAAGTTGGATAATGTGATGCTTTCACCTTTGTTCTTTTTCCTTAGGAGTGCTTTGGCTATTTGGGTGCTGTTTTGGTTTCATATGAATTTTAAAATAGTTTTTCTAATTCTGTGAAGAATGTCATTGGTAGTTTCATAGGAATAGCATTAAATCTGTAAATTGTTTTCAGTAGTATGGCCATTTTAATGATACTGAGTCTTCCTGTCCATGAATATGGAATTTTTTAAATTTGTCTGTATTGTCTCTGATTTTTTTGAGCAGAGTTTTGTAATTCTTGTTGTAGAGATCTTTCACATCCCTGGTTAGCTATATTCTTAGGTATTTTATTCTTTTTGTGGCAATTGTGAATGGGATTGTGTTCCTGATTTGACCTCAGCTTTGATGTTGTTGGTGTATGGGAATGCTACTGATTTTTGTTCTTCGATTTTGTATTCTGAAACTTTGCTTAATTTTTTATCAGATTAAAGGAAGAGACTATGGGGTTTTCTAGATATAAAATCATGTCATCTGCAAACAGGGGTAGTTTGACTTCCTCTCTATTTGGATGCCTTTTATCTCTTTCTCTTTACTGATTGCCCTGGCCAGGACTTCCAGTACTATGTTGAATAGGAGTGGTGAGAGAGGGCATCCTTGTCTTGTGCTGGTTTTCAAGGGGATTCTCTCAGCATTTGCCAATTCAGTATGATATTGGCTGTGGGTTTGTCATGGATGGCTCTTATTACTTTGAAGTATGTTCCTTCAATGCCTAGTTTATTGGCAGTTTTTAATATGGAGAGAAGTTGAATTTTATTAAAAGCCTTTTCTGCATCTATTGAGATGATCATGTAATTTTTGTATTTAGTTCTGTTTATGTGATGACTCACATTTATTGACTTGCATATGTGGAACCAACCTTGCATCCCAGGGATGGAGCTTTCTTGATCGTGGTGGATTAGCTTTTTGTTGTGCTTCTGGATTCAGTTTGCTAGTATTTTGTTGAGGGTTTTTGCATTGATGTTCATCAAGGAGATTGGCCTGAAGTTTTCTTTTTTTGTTGTGTGTCTGCCAGCTTTTGTTGTCAGGGGATGCTGGCTTCATAGGATGAGTTAGGGAGGAGTCCCTCCTCCCCGTTTTTGTTGTTGTTGTTGTTTGTTTGTTTTCATTTTTCTTTTTTTTTTTAATAGTTTCAGTAGAAATGGTACCAGGTCTTCTTTATACACCTGGTAGAATTCAGCTGTGAATCCATCTGGTCCTGGGTTTTTTCTGGTTGGTAGGCTTTTTATTACTGATTCAATTTCAGAACTCATTATTGGTCTGTTCAGGGATTCAGTTTCACCCTGGTTCAGTCTTGGGAGGTTGTATATTTCCAGAGTTTATACATTTATTCTAGATTTTCCAGTTTGTGGTCACAGTGGTGGCTGATGGTTCTTTTGTATTTCTGTGGTGTCGGTAGTAACATACCCTTTGTCATTTCTAATTGTGTTCATTTGGATCTTCTTTTTTCTTTTTTTGTCTAGCAACTGTTCTACCTATCCTATTAATTTTTTCAAAGAAACAAATTCTGGATTCGTTCGTATTTTGTATGGGTTTTCCTGGCTCAATTTCCTTCAGTTCAGCTCTGATTTTTGTTATTTCTTGTCTTTTGCTAGCTTTGGGGTTACTTTTGTGTTGCTTTTCTAGTACTTTTAGTTGTAATGTCAGGTTGTTAATTTGAGAGTTTTCCCACTTTTTGATTATTTCGTTATTTACCTGAAAGTCTTTCAGGAGCAGGTTGTTTAATTTCCATGTACTTGTATGGTTTTGAGTGATTATCTTACTGTTGATTTCTGTTTTTATTGTGCTGTGGTCCAGGAGTGGGGTTGGTTGATTTTGGTTCTTTGCATTTGCGAAGGATTGTTTTATGTCCAAATGTGTGATCCATTTTAGAGTATGTGTCATGTGGCGATGAGAAAAATGTATATTCGGTGTTTTGGGGTAGAGAGTTCTGTAGATGTCTGTTATGTCCGTTTGGTCAAGAGTCCAGTTCAAGTTCTGAATATCATTTTTAGTTTTTTGCCTTGATGATCTGTCTAATACTGTCAGTGAGTTGTTGTGTGGGAATCTACACCTCTTCATAGGTCTCTAAGAACTTGTTTTATGAATCTGGGTGCTTGTTTTATGAATGTTGGGTGCATATATATTTAGAGAGTTAGGTCTTCTTGTGGAATTGAACCCTTTGTCATTTACATAATGGTAAGCATAACATGTGGTCTTCATTGTCTTTCTTGATCATTATTGGTTTAAAATCTGTTTTGTCTGAAATTGGAGTAGCAACCTCTGCTTTTTTCTGTTTTCTATTTATTTTCTTGGTAGATTTTTCTCCATCCCTTTACTTTGAGCCCATGGGTATCACTGCATGTGAGATGGATCACTTGAAGACAGCATACATTTGAGTCTTGCTTCTTTATCTAGCTTGCCATTCTGTGCCTTTTAATTGGGGCATTTCGTCCACTTACATTCATAGTTAGGATCAAATCTGTACATATCAATAATGTCATTGTGTTGTTAGCTGGTTATGCAGATTTGTTTGTGTGGTTGCTTTATAGTGTCACTCATCTGTGTACTGTTTTTGGAATGGCTGGTAACAGTCTTTCCTTACCATATTGAGGGACCTCTTATAAGGCAGGTCTGGTAGTAATGAATTCTCTTAGCATTTGCTTGTCTAAAAAGGATCTTATTTCTCCTTCACTTGTGAAGCTTAGTTTGCCTGGATATGAAATGCTTAGATGGACATTTTTTTCTTTAAGAATGCTGAATATAGGGCCCCAATGTCTTCTGGTTTGTAGGGTTTCTGCTGAAAGGTCTGCTATTAGCCTGAAGAGATTTCCCTTGTAGGTGACCTGCCCCTTACCTCTAGCTGCCTTTAACATTTTTTTCTCTCATTTCAACCTTGAAAAATCTGATGATTATGTCTTAGGAATGGTCTTCTTGTGTAATATCTTGCAGGGGGTCTCTGCATTTATTGAATTTGAATGTTGGCCTCTCTAGTGAGATTGGGAAAGTTTTCATAGACAATATCCTCAAATATGTTTTCAAGGTTGCTTGCTTTCTTCCTGTCTCTTTCCATTCTGTCTGTGTCCAAAAGGAAATGCAATTTTGATTAATTCAGTGATTTGTTTAAACAGAAGTCAGTTAAGAGAGTGTCCTCTGTAGTTCAAATCAGAATATGTTCTTCAAGTAAACGAAGGCAAATTCAGTGAAAAGTTATTCTACATCTGACAGATGTTATCAGAAAATAGCTACATAGGAATGAAATTGCATTTGTAAGTTAAGATACCTATAGACCAGCAATGTTTCTGTTTATAGGGTGTCATGGATTTATGATACCAAGCTGTTTTTAGCTTATCTGTGTAGGAATTCTGCCTGTTCTAGGAAGATTGACATGTTTTCTTAAATGTAATATTTCTTGATACTCCCTAATACAAGTTCTCCACTCCTGTCTGATCAGGCTCTTTCTTCTCCCATGAGTGTCTAATCTCAGTAAAAGTGTACAAGATTTATTTGAAGAAATAAAAAACATCTTTATAAATTCTTTCTTGGTTTTTTTGTTGCTGTTGTTTTGTTTTGTTTTGTTTGGTTTTGTTTTTTGACATAGTCTTGCTCTGTTGCCCAGGCTGGAATGCAGCGATGTGATCTTGGTTCACTGCAACCTCCGCCTCCTGGGTTCAAGTGATTTTCTTGCCTCAGCCTCGCAAGTAGCTGGGACTACAGGCATGCACCACCACGCCAGGCTAATTTTGTATTTTTAGTAGAGACGGGGTTTCTCCATGTTGGTTAGGCTGGTCTCGAACTCCCGACCTCAGGTGATCTGCCTGCCTCAGCCTCCCAAAGTGCTGAGATTACAGGCGTGAGCCACCACGCTTGGCCCTTGCTTTTCTAGATTATGTAGAAATGATGGAATTGAAAGGACCAGAAAGAGTATCCAGTTCACAGGAGGTTCTTCAAGGTTTTCCAAATGTTGGCTACAACATTTAAATATTTTAAATATATTAAATATTTTAAGACTGTAATAAAAACAACATGCACACTCAGATGTGTTGTACCAAAGTGTAACACATTAGGGATCACAAAATAAAATGAAACTATGCCACTAGTTTATATTTTTATGGACTACTGATTAAAGCTTCCCTACTAATTTTTATGTTGGTATTTGAACTTCCTATGAATATATGTTTTTATTTATTTTTTATTTTTATTTTTTATATTTTCACTCTGTCACCCAGTTTGGAGTGCAGTGGCACGATCTCGGCTCACTGCAACCTCCACCTCCCTGGCTCAAGCGATTCTCCTGCCTCAGCCTCCCAAGTAGCTGGGACTACAGGCACGTGCACCGCGCCTGGCTAATTTTTTGTATTTTTAGTAGAGATGGGGTTTCACCATATTAGCCAGGATGGTCTCGATCTCCTGACCTCATTATCCACCCGCCTCAGCCTCCCAAAGTGCTGGGATTACAGGCATGAGCCACCACGCCCAGCCCATATGTTTTTATTTTTAAGTTTATAGCTGGCCTTTTTAAATCTTGGGTGCAATATTACATACCCAAATCAAATTATACAAGCAAGACCACTGCTGCAGCATATGTATGCCTTGGATTTGGGTCATAATCCCAAAAGCCACAATCCTGAAGCCATAATCCCAAATACTGAAATTCTGAAACATCAAATTCCCTAATGTCTAAAATCTTGAAAGTTACTATCTCAAAAGATCAAAATCTCAAAAATATTATTCTGGAAAAAATAATTTTAAAAATTCTTTAAAGACTTTTATTTACACTTTGAAAAGAGGATCTATTTGATAAACAAAAAATATGTCACAACACTTCACAGGCCACTTTACACAATGAAATAGGAAATAATAACATACATATCTTTGCAAGCAGAAACAGGCATACTAAAGACAGTCACATAGGTGAAACAGTTATGAGCAGATGAACCATATTCATGAAGAAATAGGCCAAAAAGTGAAATATATAAACACATATTACTATGGTTGGTAATTGTTTGCACCCAGCTTTATGACTGCAATCATCTGAAATACCATGACAGACAACCTAAGTCTTTTGATGAGATTAATCAAAAGCCTTAATAGGTCACCACCACATATGCCCAAAGAATCAAGATCATGAGAATTTTGGTTTTTATCTTTTAGAAATGCAGATATACAAAAAGGACCTGTCTTTATTTACTGAGGAAGTTTCAACATTTTATGTACACCCACAATGTTTTCACACAAAGTCAACTTGTGATAATGTACTTTCGTGGAGTCAAATTTGCAATAAATGCATAAAATGAATTAGAACTCTCTAAAAGTCTTACATATTTTGTACATCCAGTATTGGAAATGATGCAAAGACGAAATACATAGTGTATCATATTGATGCTATATGTGAAGCTACGGAAGTCATACACAACTGAGAATTTGGCAGGGGAGATTTTTTGTATTTTTCATCTGCCTTTTCACTTCTGTGATCTTCAAAATACTCACTGCACTTGTATTTGGAGAGTCGTAGTGGTCTACACATTTTGTAAGTAAATGCTGTCACTTGAAACTCTGGTTACTGCTCAGACATTTCAATTAAGCAATTTTCTGCTTTCACACACCAATAATAATTAGCTTTATACTTTGTATCTGTCATTATTAAGTAGCCTTGTACACTTACCTGATCATAGCCCTTTTGCAACAGAACAATTTCACAGATCTCTTCCACAGTGTTGTGAGGAATACAGTAAGAAGGAAGGATATTTGGCTTCTTGATACCAAATCTATATTAGACAGAGTTTTCCAGAGAGAGAGAACCAAGAGAATATGTATATAGATATATGAGAGGAGATTTATTAGGGGACTTGGCTAATGCTATTATGATGGGTGAAAAGTCTCATTGCAGGCCATCTGCAAGCTGGAGATCCTGGGATGCCACTGGTGTAAGTCCTGGAGTCCAAAGCCCACCAACATGTAGTTCTGATGTCCAAAGCAGCAAAAGAAATGTGTGTCCAAGTTCTCGAAGAGACCTGTTTGCCTTTTGTATTACTTCTCTCTAGGTCCCCAGCAGATTGGATGGTGCCTGCCAACGCTGAGAGAAGATCTTTCCCACCTAGTTCACTCAGACTCACACTCCTGGAAACACCATCACAGATACACTAAAAATAATGTTTTACTAGGTATTACTTAACCTAGTCAAGTTAACACCTAAACTTAAGCCCACCAGTCCACCTCTTATCAACCTGGCACCCAAACACATCCCCTTAAACCACACTTAATTTCCAAATAAAGACAAGAACAAAGTAATAGTTCCACCTAACATGATCCAACTATCTGACGTACAAGTGAAAATCACTAATCCCTTCCTCAGAAGTTGACTTTCAGGATTTCAGCATTTGAAATTTTAAGTTTTTGGGATTCTGATTTTCAAGATTTTAGACTTTAAGGATTTTGATTTTCTGGGATTTCAGCATTCAGGATTAGGGTGTTGAGGATTGTATCTTTTGGGGTTATGATTGGGACTAGTATGCCACATTAAGTATAAACAGATGTAGGGACATCTTTCTGCCATGTGTACTTTAGCACTTTAAAGTAGTTTGCAATGATAAGTTAATATGATAATACTATATTAAAGAAAGTTTTCTTGCTTAATTTAAGTTTTGGGTGGTTCTGGTCCATTTTTTATATTCGTGACCAGAAATATGAATAATGATTATAGTCCCTCAGTTTTGAAAACAAGATATTCTATACTCCTCATTCAAGCTGCTGGACCATTTTAATTGCAGAAATCTTAATATTGCCAAATTATTTTTTTAAAAACTGTTACCATTTGTAATAGTGTATTTGTGGTAACCAGAATTGTATCAATATTGTAAAGCCAAACAAAATACAGAAATGACATTGTTGATGAGGATAATTTAAAATTGCAATTGTCACCTATGTTCATTCTCTCTCTTTTTTTTTTTTTTTTTTTAGAGATGCAGTTTAGCCCTGTCGCCCAACTGAAGTGCAGTGGTATGATCATAGTTTATTGCAACCTCAAACTCCTGAGCTCAAGCATTCCTTCTGCCTCAGTCTCCCAGGTAGCTGGGACTACAGGCATGCACCACCATGCCCAATTAATTTGTAAAAATTTTTTGTAGAAACAGGTTCTGCTATGTTGCCAGGCTGGTCTCAAGCTCCTAGCCTCAAGCAGTCCTCCCACCTTGGCCTCCCAAAGTGCTAAGATTACAGGAGTGAGCCACCGCACCTGGCGCCTATTCTTAATAATGAATTTAAATAAGTAGTATCATAATTTGATCTTACGAATTTTTACTAATGAATCTTTTCTGTTTTATTTAATGGCAGTTCCATTTACATTTCATTCAACAATGGAGACTACTGATAAAATAATTTGAAAACTAGTCTAATCTATTATTTTTACAAATTAAGAAATTAAAGATCAGTTTAAATGTGTCTTGCTCAAAGTTATAAAACTAGAAAATTGCAGATACCAAACTTTCTAATCCTTAGTTCACTGTTTTTCTGATTTGTTACTTCATCTCTGTGTTCCTGTAATACATCTGGTTCAACAAGTCATTTTCTGTGTGCCAGGCACTTTTCTAGGCACTGGTGATATCCCCTGAATGTGGAATTGTGCTGAAAATAAAATAAGAAAAGTAGATTCTATTCGGCCTCCACTCAGTTTTGATTGAATACATGCCTGCAGTTAGCATCTGTGTGTGTATTTACCACTGGGTGATTTTAATATATTATTAAGAAGAACTTTTCTATCTATGGTTATATTTTAGGAGAGTAAAAAAAGCAAGTTTTTTAGTATTTTGAAAGGAGAGAAAAATGAGTAATTAAACTTAAAGCACATTGTTTGCATACTATGTACCTGACAATTTGTTTGGAAACCAGGAACACAAAGATAAATAAGATAAGGGATGTGTGTATATTAAAACGGAGTTTGGCAAGTGCCGTAACATACATGTAACACATGTAGGATGAAAGAGGAATAAACAGGTAACTCTAGGCAGGATAACAAAAGGTTACTTTAAAGAAAATGGGGAGAAGTTTTTTTTCTATGCCCAGAGAGCAACATATGCGAAGGCTTAGAGTTGTAAACACATTGTTAAGGCATTTCCAAGAAAGTTTAGTGCAACAGAATACAATGGTATCTTGGAAGGAGCTGTGAGTAGGCATTTTTAGACATTGTTAGATGATTGAGAATGGAATTAATGACATGTGAGGACTTCTTCTTTTATGCCCTTGGTATTGGTCATGCCTCTTTCTATTTCCTGCTTCATCCCTAGCTCTATTCCTAAGTGTTATTTTAATTTTTTTTTATTTATTATACTTTAAGTTCTAGGGTACATGTGCACAATGTGCAGGTTTGTTACATATGTATACATGTGCCATGTTGGTGTGCTGCACCCATTAACTCGTCATTTAACATTAGGTATATCTCCTAATGCTGTCCCTCCCCCTACCCCCGACACCACCACAGGCCCCAGTGTGTGATGTTCCCCTTACTGTGTCCATGCGTTCTCATTGTTCAATTCCCACCTATGAGTGAGAACATGCGGTGTTTGGTTTTTTGTCCTTGCGATAGTTTGCTGAGAATGATGGTTTCCAGCTTCATCCATGTCCCTACAAAGGACATGAACTCATCATTTTTTATGGCTGCATAGTATTCCATGGTGTATATGTGCCACATTTTCTTAATCCAGTCTATCATTGTTGGACATTTGGGTTTGTTCCAAGTCTTTGCTATTGTGAATAGTGCCACAGTAAACATACATGTGCATGTGTCTTTATAGCAGCATGACTTATAATCCTTTGGGTATATACCCAGTAATGGGATTGCTGGGTCAAATGGTATTTCTAGTTCTAGATCCCTGAGGAATCGCCACACCGACTTCCACAATGGTTGAACTAGTTTACAGTCCCACCAACAGTGTAAAAGTGTTCCTATTTCTCCACATCCTCTCCAGCACCTGTTGTTTCCTGACTTTTTAATGATCGCCATTCTAACTGGTGTGAGATGGTATCTCATTGTGGTTTTGATTTGCATTTCTCTGTTGGCCAGTGATGATGAGTATTTTTTCATGTGTCTTTTGGCTGCATAAATGTCTTCTTTTGAGAAGTGTCTGTTCATATCCTTTGCCCACTTGTTAATAGTGTTGTTTGTTTTTTTCTTGTAAATTTGTTTGAGTTCATTGTAGATTGTGGATATTAGCCCTTTGTCAGATGAGTAGATTGCAAAAATTTTCTCCTATTCTGTAGGTTGCCTGTTCACTCTGATGGTAGTTTCTTTGCTGTGCAGAAGCTCTTTAGTTTACTTAGATCCCATTTGTCAATTTTGGCTTTTGTTGCCATTGCTTTTGGTGTTTTAGACCTGAAGTCCTAAGTGTTATTTTAAATCAGAGACTGTATTTTGTACTTCCTTATCTTATGGCGACTAGCTCAGTGCTGAGGGCTTGGTATATGCCTACTGATTAATAGTGTTCATCATTCACTCATCAAATATTTTTGGTTCCAGTATGTGCAAGGCCTGTACTTTGTGCTATGGGGGAAAAAGTGACACAAAGCCAACCTTCAAGGAGCTAGTGAGCCCAAAACAAAAATTAGCAGGGATTTTTGTGTGTTATGATGACTGCTATATCCCATGTGCTCACAGAGCTTACATTCTTGTCAGAGGAGACAGACAATAATAAGATAAATTGTAAAAAATAGACTATGTTAGATAGTAATAAATACTAAGGAGAAATAAAAGTAGAAAAAGGATATATTAATTACCAGAGAAAGAAAGATAAGGTAAATTTACATAATTTCTCATCCCAGTTTCCACAACTCTAGAACAGAAAAAATAAAAGTATATGCCTTATATGATTGTGATAAGGATTAAATGAGCTTGGATATCCATATATAAAAGATGGAAACTAGACCCCTATCTCTTGCAATATACAAAAATCAAATCAAAATGGATCAAAGACTCAGATATCTAAGACCTCAAACTATGAAACTACTACAAGAAAACATTGGCAAAACTCTGCAGGACATTGGAGTGGGCAAAAATTTCTTGAGTAACACAAGCACAGGAAACAAAAGCAAAAATGGACAAATAGGACCACATCAAGTTGAAAAGCTTCTGTACAACCAAGAAAACAATCAACAAAGTGAAGAGACAACCCATGGAATGGGAGAAAATATTTACAAACTACCTATCTGACAGGGATCAATAACCAGAATATACAAGGAGCTCAAACAGCTCTATAGGAAAAAAATCTAATAGTCTGATTTAATAATGGACAAAAGATCTGAACAGACATTTCTCAGAAGAAGTCATATAAGTGGCAAACAGGCATATGAAAAGGTGCTCAACATCACTGATCATCAGAGAAATGCAAACAAAACTACAGTGAGATACTGTCTCACCCCAGTTAGAATGGCTTTTATCCAAAAGTCAGGCAATGAATGCTGGTGATGATATGGAGAAAAGGGAACCTTTGTACACTGTTGTACACTGGAAATGTAAATTGGGAATGTAAAGAGAGAACAGTTTGGAGGTTCCTCACAAAACTAAAAATGGAGCTACCATATGATCCAGCAATCTCACTCCTAGGTAGATACCCAAAAGAATGGAAATCTGTATCAGATATCTGCACTCTCATGTTTATTGCAGCACCATTCACAATAGCCAAGATTTGGAAGCAACCTATGTGTCCATCAACAGATGAATGGATAAAGAAAATGTAGTATATATACACAATGGAGTACTATTCAGCCAAAAGAAGAATGAGATCCTATCATTTGCAACAGCATGATTGGAATTGGAGGTCATTATGTGAAATGAAATAAGCCAGGTGCACAAAGACAAACTTCACATGTTCTCACTTATTTGTGGGAGCTAAAAACTAAAATAATTGAACTCATAGAAATAGAAAGTAGAAGGATGGTTATGTTACCAGAGGCTGGGAAGGGTAGTGGGGGTTTTTGGGGAGAGGTGGGGATGGCTAATGAGTACAAAAAATAGAAAGAATGAATAAGACGGAGTATTTGCTAGCACAACAAGGTGGCTATTGTCAAAAATAATTTAATTGTACATTTTAAAATAACTGAAAGTATAATTGGATTGTTCGTAACACAAAGGATAAATGCTTGACATGATGGATACCCCATTTATCCTAATGTGATTATTATGCATTGCATGCCTATATGAAAATATCTCATGTAACTCATACATATATATACCTACTGTGTACCCACAAAAATTAAAAATTAAAAAATTTAAAGGATTAAATGAGCTAATTTGTGTATACATAAAGTGTTCAGTGCAGTTCCTGGAAGTTGATAAGTGGAAATATTATTTATTCATTTGGCTAAAATAACTTTAGCATCATAGCCATCTTCTTCTCATAAGTTAGAGACTTCTTTTGTTAAAGGACATACTTTTCAGTGGTTTTAAACTGCTTTATCTAAGGCTAATACTTTCTCGCCCGTGTGTTGCTCCTTTTGGCTTCTGCTTCCACTGCACTCACATCTATTCCTTTCTTATTAAAGCAAATCATCACTCTTTGATAATACTTTGTCAAGAAAACAGCATTTGCTTATCTAGATGTCTGGTCATCATTTTCTACTTCAGCCATCAGGCAGGTATCCACATCTTCTTTGGAAAATATTTATTACTTCATCACTTATCACATCTCAAGGTTAAAAAGTCTGACAAAATGAGACCCCTATGTTTGTTTACCACCTAAAAATGAGTACGATATTAGAAATGTTATTAACAGACAGAAATATAAAATCTTCAATATTAATCTTTCAGAAATGAGATCATTTGCAAAGATTAGGCGAAGTTTCAGGTCTCCCACTAACCTTTTCTTTGCCCATCTAAGCTCCATGCAGCCCTAGATGTCTCCTGCCCACCACACCTACCAATTCTTGAAAACTAGATTAACTCTCTCTTCAAGCTTAATTAGCACGCCATACTTAGCCCTATCATAACAAGTATCATTCAGTGTTATGCCCACCTCCCCACCCCTCTGCTCCCCAGACAGTAAGCTCCTTAAGGTGAGGACTACGTTCTCTTCATGTTTGGATTCCCAGTATCCATCACAGTGCCTCACATAGAGTTGATGTCCAATACTTGCACCATTAATAATAATACCTGGAGTACATTTATTATATCAGGATTATATAATATAAATGCCACTTGACCTTGTTTCCACATCCCTTGCTTGCTCCTTTGTCTCTCTTGGCTGCTTTCTGAGAAATAGCACCACCCAAGCATGTTGCCACACCTTGTCCTACACATTCCCCTGTCCTGCTCTGGTTCAAAATCATTCCCTAGTTTTTCTTTTTTCTTTTCTTTTATTTTTTATTATACTTTAAGTTCTAGGATACATGTGCACAACGTGCAGGTTTGTTACATATGTATACATGTGCCATGTTGGTGTGCTGCACCCATTAACTCGTCATTTACATTAGGTGTATCTCCTAATGCTATCCCTCCCCGCTCCCCCCACCCCATGACAGGCCCCAGTGTGTGATGTTCCCCTTGCTGTGTCCAAATGTTCTCATTGTTCAGTTCTCACCTATGAGTGAGAACATGCGGTGTTTGGTTTTTTGTCCTTGCGATAGTTTGCTGAGAATGATGGTTTCCAGCTTCATCCATGTCCCTACAAAGGACATGAACTCATCAATTTTTATGGCTGCATAGTATTCCATGGTGTATATGTGCCACATTTTCTTAATCCAGTCTATCATTGTTGGACATTTGGGTTTGTTCCAAGTCTTTGCTATTGTGAATAGTGCCTCAATAAACATATGTGTAAATGTATCTTTATAGCAGCATGATTTATACTCCTTTGGGTATATACCCAGTAATGGGATTGCTGGGTCAAATGGTATTTCTAGTTCTAGATCCTTGAGGAATCGCCACACCGACTTCCACAATGGTTGAACTAGTTTACAGTCCCACCAACAGTGTAAAAGTGTTCCTATTTCTCCACATCCTCTCCAGCACCTGTTGTTTTCTGACTTTAATGGTCGCCATTCTAACTGGTGTGAGATGGTATCTCACTGTGGTTTTGATTTGCATTTCTCTAATGGCCGGTGATGATGAGCATTTTTTCATGTGTCTGTTGGCTGCATAAATGTGTTCTTTTGAGAAGCGTCTGTTCATATCCTTCGCCCACGATGGGGTTGTTTGTTTTTTTTTCTTGTAAATTTGTTTGAGTTCATTGTAGATTCTGGATATTAGCCCTTTGTCAGATGAGTAGGTTGCAAAAATTTTCTCCCATTCTGTAGGTTGCCTGTTCACTCTGATGGTAGTTTCTTTTGCTGTGCACAAGCTCTTTAGTTTAATTAGATCCCATTTGTCTATTTTGGCTTTTGTTGCCATTGCTTTCGGTGTTTTAGACATGAAGCCCTTGCCCACGCCTATGTCCTGAATGGTATTGCCTAGGTTTTCTTCTAGGGTTTTTATGGTTTTAGGTCTAACATGTAAGTCTTTAATCCATCTTGAATTAATTTTTGTATGAGGTGTAAGGAAAACTGGCTAGCCATATGTAGAAATCATTCCCTAGTTTTTCTAATAATGATGTAGTTAGAGGAAGGTGATATCCAAAAACAAACAAACAAACAAACAGAACAATAGTCTGGATATGAAGGGAAGACCTCAATGGTGAGAGGACCCTGTGGAGTAACTGTGGTCCAGGATAGCTCTTCCAGGTTAAAAACTTTTCTTATTCTCAAGAGTGATGAGCCCGTGGGATCTAACACAGACCATCTATATTTACAAGAAATTAATTTACATACCAGATTATTTATCTGTGTGTGTGTGTGTGTGTGTGTGTGTGTAAAACTGAAATACTTGAGCTTGCTATCCGAGTAAGTAACTTAATTATATCAGAGCACCTATGAAATCCATCAAATAATCAGAAGGTTATCCAATGGTGGCCATGGAGGTAGAACAAAATAAGTTAGAGTGTTTCAAGGATTATTTTACCCAGGCTGAGGAAGAGCCTTGTCACACAGAATATGGTAATATCTCCCTGATGACTAGGAGAAAGTAAACAGGTTATAAGATCTCAAGTATACCTTTGAAAGACTTGATGAATTTATTTGCTAACAGAAAACAATCTTTTTAATCCAGAAAAATTTCAGTGGCATTTTATATATCCTAAAATGAGTAATTGTACAATTAGATTCCATAATTATTTGATTTCCAAGATGAGTTCCTGAGACAATGACAATGTGATATTGCCAATGATGGTGGAAAGAGAGAAAGAAAGAAAGAAAAAGAAAGAAACAAAGAAAGAAAGAAAGGATAGGAAGGAGAAAGAAAGAAAGAAAAAGAAAGAGAGAGAGAGAAAGAAAGAAGGAAAGAAAGGAAGAAAGGAAGAAGGAAAGAAAGAAAGAAAGAAAGAAAGAAAGAAAGAAAGAAAGAAAGAAAGAAAGAAAGGGAAAGGAGGGAGGGAGGAAGGAAGGAAGGAAGGAAAGAAAGTAGAGGATTGAAATTGGATGGTTCTCTGTACCCTTTACCTACTCTAAGTCAAGAATCACCAGTCTCAATTTCCTTAGGAAAGTTACCTGTGTGCTTATGGTTTTAGCTGGCTTACTGGCCCTCCTGCACACACTGGTAATGCATAATGATCTACTAAGAATTCATCATTTATCCTTTTGAAGAAACTATGAAATGTAGGATAAATGGTTATTTAGCAAAATAAGTTATACCTCTTGTCAAGGGCTATAGTGAAACCTTCAGCCTTATCTCAAGGTACTTTCTATTCCAGAAGTTGGAAACCCACATGCCTATAGAGGCCAGGCTGATGGGAATGAAGCAGGAAGCTATTGCAGTGAACTGGAGCGCCAAATCCTTTCTGGAGGAGCAGCCACTGCTCCATTCCAGATAATTGTTGCAAGGCAGGAATGTTGGCCTAGTGTTACCATATTGTCCAGTTTCTCAGGTAAAGCAGGAAATAGAATTGTTATGTGAAATCTTTTGATTTAAATATTGTCAATTAATTTACTTATATTATTATTCTTAAACCATGTGCAAGCCAAACACTTCTGTAGGTAGGGTTTGGCCCAGAGTCCTCCTGTGTATGGCTGGTCTTACATTTTGCTTATCTGTTTGTTAAATTAGAGACTTTTACAGTTTTTGCTTTTCTTCAGTACATCCTCTAAAACACTCTATGCCTCATTTGGTTATACTGAAACTCCCTCCCTCTCCAACCTGAGTACTTTGTGCCTAAGATTTCTGTGGCTGCTACATTTTCTCTGCCATCCTCATCATTCCAATGAGCAGTCAGTCAAGTACTGAATGGAGTCTCCTTGAGATACTTTTCATATGACGCCATTAAACAACCATGGGTTTTACTACTTGTTTCATTCCTGATATGTGAGCTACATAAACACAGTAAAAGATCACTTATTTCATGGGGCTTAGAGATTATATGCTCTTTGGGCTCCCTTTTCTAAAAACTGCACAGAAATAATCTTCCTCCTCTTGTTTCTTGAAAGACCTTACCCGATACTTTATTAGACTGTAGTTATCTTGAACATTTAATTATATTTGCTGGAGAGATTGACTGGACTTGAGTGTTCCTAGATACATATTCAGACACAGTGTATTTGGGTGGGTTTCTTCAGTGGGTAAGGAGTTGTCTTATTTTTCCTTTTAGTAACCTGATTTTCAAGGTTACTAGGGTACTAGCAGAGTATTACTTTACCTCTGTTTGGTATTGATTTATTTATATTTGTTTATATACTTTATATAAAGTATAAATTACTTTACCTCTGTTTGGTATTGATTAATCCAAGTAGGAACTTGGCAGCCATTGCTAAATGAATTGAAGAGTGCTAAGTATTTTTATAGTAAAAGTGTATATAAATATTAGTGTATATATAAATACACCATTTGGTGTATTGCAAACCCCCAAATGGACATAATTTGCATTATTTTATTCTCATCCTACAGGTTTGGGAATAAACAAAATTGATATACATCATTTTTCAACAAAGATTTGACGTTCATATATCAAGCTGCATCCTGAGTAGACAAAACAGTAGTAATGCACAGATAAGATGTGAAAATTACCCCCCAAACCTTGTTGGTGTACTCTTAAATTGGTTATGTAAATGCAGCCAAGTTTTTTTTAATCAGTATTCTTTATGAGAAATCACCATATTACAGAAAAGCAAAAAATAACAGCTGTGCTAACAGCTAACATACAAGAATAAATCATGAATAATTTTTCCTTCAGAATTATAGTGAGTTTATCGTTTTGTTCATAGATGTTCTGGTATAACTCGTTGCTATTCTTTAAAACAATTCCCTACATTTCTTGAGTACATTCCTAGGTGGGTTTGCAGAAAATATAAAAAGTAAATTTTTTTAAAGATATGTATTTGAGAGCTGGTAATTGTTCACTTTTTTGGCTTTAAAGAAAGGAAGTGTTGCATAGTATTTTCCACACATGCATATAGACCTTCACTTCCCACCTCCTTATGTATTTTCAAAGGCACAAAGTGAAGCTTTAACCTGAACTTCTCTGCCTCAACTGCTTTTTCTTTTGCAATCTTGTAGGATGTCAAGGGTGAAGAGAAAGCTCAGTTCGTAATAATTTCTGTGAAGCAAAAGAACTGGATATTATATGGGAGAATTACAAGGGGAACCTAATTTAAAGACTTGGAAAGTTAAGTAAAGATTAGGATGATGAGGGAAGACTTCTCTGAGAAAGTGACATTTAAACTGAGATGAATGGGAGCTATTCAGTGAAGAACAAGAGGGTGAGATGGGAGACAATATTCCAAGCAGAAAAGTGGGCATGACACCCAGAGGCATTTTAGAACCAATCTAAAGGATAGCCTTAATTTTTATTTGCAGTATGTAGATCATAATAGGTTAATGCAGTATTCTTTCCGACTCTCCATATCTTTTTCTCCAGTTGAATAAAACAGAAAGAGAAATAATAGCATATTACTGGGCATGAAGCTTTCCAATAAAAAGCTTCCCTAATACTTCTAAGGATTAGGGAAACATTAATTAGCTCTTCTACAGATATAACACTTAATTTTTTGAAGATAGTATTTTCCGTGATTATAGAGCTAATATATGTTTATTATAGAAAAATTTGAAAATCCAAAAAGGCAATGAGAAAGTATGTTTTTATACTACCAGAGAACATATAGAGTATAATGGTGTTCTATTCCTATGTCTATATAAATAGTAGCATTTTTGTAAATTAAGATTATAATTATATGTATAATTTTATAGTATGTTTTTTCACCTAACAAAATCATGGTCCTTTCCCTAGTGCTATTAAAATTTCTGTAATATGACTTTAATAGCTATATATGACTAATAACAATTTGGGTACTTACTATGTGCTAGGCACATCTACATTAACTAACTTTTTTCCCAGAACAATCCTATATGGTTATAATCTCCATTTTATAAGAAATTTTAAAACTTGTGCAAGGTCACAAGCTAATAAAGGGTGGAGCCAGGGTTCAAACCCAGTCAGCTTCTAGCTTCTGCTGTTAACCAGTAATGCTATGTAGCCTCTAAATACTATGATTAATTTAAGTTAAACCCTATTTTAGGCTTTTTAATTGTTTTTAGTATGGTTTTGGCTATTTGAAATAATATTTTTGATTCTGTGAGTTGGCAGTTAAGTCTGGGCCCAGCTCTAGCAGCTCATCCCTGTTCCACATAGTGCTGGCTATATTTACTTACAAGTCTAGGGCCTCAGCTGGACTGGCTGGACAGCGAGACTTCTCTCTTTACATGGTCTCTCATCCTCGATGGTGCTAGCTCAGATTGTTCACATGATGATGGCATTCCAAGAAACAAGAGCGAAAGTTATAAGGCCTTTTGAGTTTTAGGTGCAAAACTTGAACAGTATCATATGCATCAAATTCCACTGGTCAAAGCAAATCACAAGGCCTGCCAAGATTCAGCATATGGAGTGATAAATTCATCTCCTGATGGAAGGAACTGCAATTTTGTGGCAGCCTACCACACTTAGCATTTAGTTCAATGAAGACTTCTATGTGACTAGAGTGTATAAGTTGCTGAATTTTTGTAGCAAAATATGGCCTGGAATAAATAAACTTATTGACCAAAGATGGGCACAGACAAGCATGGCTGCTACTTTGACTCTGAGGACTGGCCTCACTCTCAGGAGCCTGTCTCTCTGTACCTTGAGAGCTGATGAAAAATATAACTTTCCTACATCATTATGATCCCTCATTCTCAGGTTGTGAACTTTTACACTTTTCTGCAGTGAACGGTCAAGGACATCTGAAGCTAGAGAATATCTCTCTAATGAGTGGCAGGGGCAGGAGAGATTTGCCTTTTTAAGGTATCCCTGTACAACTACATAAAACAAAAGTAAATGTGCTAGGGGTAGTTAGAGTGATTAAGTGGAGCCTGGCAGAGTTATTGGATCGCTTACAAAGGGTGTATCTGAGAGGTATATTTTGGAAGAAGTGACTGCACAGTGAAGATAAGCAATGAAAATAATAACTAAACCAAAAATGGGGCTAGTGTATTGCACAGTTTAAAAAATATGAAAAAAGATATAACTGCAAGATAAGTGTGCTCATAAAGAAAAATGCATGTCTTGAGTAAATAGGTCAAAGGTGAAACAGATGGGGGGAGGTTGAATGAGGGATTGACTAGGTACTGTGAAGGAGCTGTTTGAATAATTGATATGAGGGTGAAAGATAATTAGAAAGGGGAAATGTCATTTAGGGTTACTCTAACAAGCATAATTCAGCCAATAATGATGGAAAGATTATGAATATGTTCATTTATTATCCAATAAAATGATAATTATGTTGTAGCCACTCAGACTTCCCTCTCCACAATAGTAATGCTATTATTTTTAATCCAATCATGTCTGTTGTTACATGTATATATTGTTTTGGAATATAAACATAAAGGCGGGTTTTATGTAGGACTTGTTCTTAATTGGAGAATATGAGGTGTTCACTTTTGCAAATATAGGAATAGAGTGGACTTCTTAATTATCTTTAAATATTCCATAAGCTAAGTTTATAATCATAATATTAAAAGTATAAGCCATGATTTACATATATCAAATATCTATGTTTTACCTAATGTACATAGTCTCAGCTTGATAAATCAATAATTAATTGGGTGTTGATTCTGTCCCACTGTGTCTCCCAGTATTCCCATCCACTGAGCACAAGATCATTGTGTGATGTCATTATAAACATTTTAATAGAATTTACTCATAATATCACATGACTCAAAAACCAATTCATTATTTTTATCATTAATCATTTAATTATTCAGAAGAATTTGACATTTGATGTTATTCAAAAAGATTTATGAAGAATAGCTATTTACTTATTTTCATGATGTTACTTCATGTTGTTTTGAGTATAACTTTAAAAATACACATTTAAGCCAAGCACGGTGGCTCGCACTTGTAATCCTAGCACTTTGGAAGGCCAAGGCAAGAGGATCATTTGAGCTCAGGAGTTCAAGACCAGCCTGGGCAACAAAAGGAGACTCCCATCTCCACAAAAAATAAATCAAAAAATTATCCAGGCCTGGTTTGGACACCTGTGATCGCAGCTATACAGGAGGCTGAGGCAGGAGGATAGCTTGAGCCCGGGAAGTCAAAGCTGCAGTGAGCCGTGATTGTGCCATTGCCCTACAGCCTGGGCAATGGAGTGAGACCTTGTCTCCAAAAAATTAAAGTAAAATAAAATACCCATTTAACACTTCATAAAGTAGTGAGTTTATTATTAGGTTGACAATAATCTCATTAAAGCAAAATGAGAAAAAAAAAAGGTCTATTTCATTAATTAGCATCCTGTTGAAATATGTTTAATTTTTATATTGCTACACTTGTTTATTTTAGGGATTCCTTTATTAATCCAATTAAAATGTGTCTATAAACCACTTAGTAAATAAAACCGTGATTAACTTTATAAATAAAATTTAAAGTTAGCATATCAGTTTTCTTGGAAGCCCTGTCACACTTTTTGAACACAGAAATTATCACTCAGAGATTGTGAGATCATCAGGGAAAAATCTAGAGCAAAAGGCTCTTTTGCTATTTTATCAACATGCATAGTCATTGGCTTCTTTTAAAAACCTCTTTCATTTTAGACATGTGTTGCTAAAATTTTATAAGCCCACATGGTAAAAAATCAGAATGTAAAATTATATTGACTAATTAGAATATGCACAGTCTTTCAGAAGTACTTAAGCACCTACTGTATGCTAGGGATGATACCAGGAACTGGGAATATGACAAGGTCCTGCTCTTAGAGTGTTTACATTCCAATGGGGAGAGCTAGTCAATAAACACACAAACAAATGATAAACAGTAATAATCATCATCAGATAATGAAAGTATCAGTGAATTAAAGTGTGAGAGAGTACCCCTAGAGTTTACATTACAGTCATTTTGACGAGATGATGTCTAATTTGAATGATGAATGGTCAGAAGAAGCCAATGTAAAGAAGAAAATCAAGTTGCTAAAATTCAATCCACCAAAAGCCATTTCCAGAGACTAATTTGCATTTTTAAAGGAATCAGGAAACTGAAAACATTGGTGGAATTGTGGCAGGTATCTCCCTCAGAACATACACACAGGCACACACACACACATGCACACAACTTTGCATCTCATTATTATTGCTACTGTTTGTGAAATAAATATAAATTAAGTCCTAAGTATAAGATCTATTGTAGATCCTGAGTCTTAGTAAGATGGAGGTACCTTCATATCACAAAATCTTTAATTTTTGACCTATGCTTATTGGGCTTAAATGAAGCCATATAAACAAGGTGGGTCTTTGGGGAGGTGAGGCAAGATGCTGTGAAATAGGTACTTCTAAAAGCATAGTAATATTAAAGTGTTAAATTTGGAAAACAGCAGAAGCTTTAGTTTTTATAATATTATAATTATAAAATTATAAAAGTAAACCTGACTACATCTTGGATGAGTCTATATAGAAGGTGAAGTTATCAGAATCATGGAGGCAAGTAGAATCAATTTTAATATTTAGCAAAAGAAGGCACGCATCAGTTTCAAAAGTTTAAGAAACATGGCCTGAAATGCTTTCCTAGTTCTACCCTCCTGGCACTTTAAGAAATGTATGAAGGACCCTAGAATTATATAATTCTATGTTAGCAAATAATTTTAAATGAGTTATCAAGATGGGCATAGATTTATGTACAGGAATATTTTTATCAGATTTATTTGTCATTGTGAAAATTTGGGAGAAAAATCTATGTCCACCAAAGGAAAATAAGTAAAGAAATTATATATACATTTATCACAAAATTATATCCAACAATTAAAGATCATGTTTTGGAAAAGTGTTTAATGTCATAGTAAAATGCCCAGGAAGAAAAAAAGTGGTAATGATTCAATATTTAAAAGACACACATTTACACATAGAAAATATTTGGAATCAGTGCAACTGCTTCAGAGAACAATTTGGCAATATCTGTAGAGTTGAAAATGTGCAGATCCATTAACATGATTGATATACCAATAGATGAATAGTTGTATAATCATATGATAGAATACAATTTCAAGCTTAAAAATTCATGAATTGGAATCCTATATCTGCAACAGAGATAGATCTAGGTACCTCAATAGAGATGGCTCTCAAAACATGTTGAATTTTAGAAAAGCAAGTTGCAGAATTATATGTAGTATATACCAGTATTTATATAAAATTTCAAAATACATATAACAGTAAAATATTGTTTATGTATACATATATAGGAAATAAACATATTAAAACATAACCCAGAAGGATACAGACGAGAATCGTAATACTGGTTGCCTCTGGGGTGGAAGGGAGGGGATTGGGCTGAAAAGGAAAATGGGGTGAGGGTGAGGGATAGTATTTAACTTCATCTGTAATGTTTTCATCTTATTTTTTTAAATAAGCAAAAATGACAAAATGTTTACATTGTAAAATTAGAGTAGTGGATGTTGTTGTTTATTAAACTCATTTTTAATGTAAGCTTTTAAAACTTTCTAAAAACAAATGATTGAAAAAAAGCATATCAATGGTTCCATAGACATTTAGGATTTTTTTGTTTCTGTGAAGAATGTCATTGGTGTTTGATACAGATTGCATTGAATCTGTAGATTGCTTAGGGTAGCATTGTCATTTTAACAATATCAATTTTTCTAATCTGTGAGCATGGAATAGCTTTCCATTTGTTTGTATCCTCGCCTATTTCTTTAATCAGAGTTTCATAGTGTTTTTGTATTTTCAGTGGTTATTATTCAGCAGTGAGATTACAGTTCAGTTTTTATTTTCATCTTCAAACTTCTCTGTATTTTCCAAATTCACAAGATGAGTGTTGCGAAAAAAATTGCCACTTAACAGATAAATGATAACTATATTGGATTTTTGCTATGAGGGCTTCCTAAGACCCTTACAATTGTGCTGCCTCTGGAAGGCTGAAGTAGCAGCAAAAAAGGGATGATCCTCCCATACTCCATCCCCAAACCCTGGACAAAAGAAATTAGAGGGCTGGCTGCCTGCAAGATGTAAAGCTGTAAAACCAGCCTTTTCTTGGGAAGAGAGGCAGACGGATTAGGGTGTCAGTCTTGATCAGGCATCAAACTTCGAACAGGCATCAGAACAAGCACCTAGAGGTTTACTAAAAAATAGATTGTCCCTAGAGTTTCTGATTCACTAAGTCTGAGATTGGGCCTGTGAATCTGCATTTTTGACAAGTTCCCAGGTGTTACTGGTAATAGTGATGTTTGTCCCAGAACCATGTTAGAGAACTCCTGGTTTAAGCAAAACCCAGCCATCAGATATTGGTATTTTTGATTACTGAAATGTGAGGGAAGCATTTGGCAGGAATCACTACAATGTTATTATCTGGCAGATCCACAAATTACTTAATGGAGTGAGCCAGCCAGTCTCAGGGAAGTTGGAGCCACATTTAAGAGCAGGCAGAAAAAAAAAAAAGGTATCAAATAGAAAGCTGAAAAGTAGGGAAAATGGGAATGGGCCCAGTGTAATGATGAGACCACTGAAGAGATTTCTTTGGAAAAGCAAGGTAATAAAACAGGCATGAAAAGGGACTGTAAAAAAAACAAGTTTGGTCATCAGAGTCTGTTGCTATTTGACAAAACTAGAGGTCCAGGATGACACAAAGTTCATACCACTTTCACAAGCGCTAGAAATTCCATGAGGCCACAAACTCCTTGTGAACAGGGATTGACCCGTCCTAACTTCCTCATCCCTCCCGTCCTCTTTCCTTTTTGTTCTTCCACATTGAATAGCTCATTAGTGCCAAATATTACACTGGGCTTTGGATAAATAGTACTTTGCTGTCGTAGTTCAGGCTGCTATAACCAAACACTGTAAACTGGATGGCTTATAAACAACATAAACTTTTTTATCATAATTCTGGAGGCTGGGAGATCCAAGATAAAGGCACTGGCAGATCCAGTGTCTGGTAAGGGACTACTTTCTGGTGCATGTGGTCTTTTCACTGCAAACTCACATGTTGGAAGAGATCTCTTTATGGCCTAATGCCATTCATGATGGCTCTGCCCCCATGACCTAATCATCTCCCAAAGGCTCTATCTCCTAATACCATCACCTTGGGGGTTAGGATTTCAACCTACGGATTTGGGGGGGACACAGACATTCAGACCACAGTACTTACCATCTTTGTACTCCCAGCACCTAGCATAGTACCTAGCACATATAGTAGCTGCTCACTAACTGTTGAATGAAATATGAATAAACACAGACATGAACAGCAGGAGTCATGGTCAAAGGTATAGTGAGTGGAAGATGTTATGCCTGTAGATGGGCCATTTCTGTGAGAAGTATAACACAGTGGACTGGGGCCAGTGGTGCAAATTTCCAGCTTGAGACCCCATTGGAATTGCTACTACTTGGTACTTTTTATAGTCTGAAATTTTTCCCAGTAAATTTTTGATATTTTCCCCATTGCCTGCCAGTGTTTGCCACGTCCATACCCACAGTTCCCTGTTTTCAGTTGTGAGTAAATGCTTCATTACAACACCCTTAACCTGTCTCAGAGCCAAGGCTGCAAATAAGGCATATACCTGAATATACGATGGCCTTTACTGCAAGGTGGTCTCCTGCTTTCCTAATGAGAGATCCAAAAAAAGGTTTCGGGCCAACTTAACTACACAGACTTTTAGGAATGTAGTTAAGTAGTTATGTGTCTATTTACACTGTTTAATTTGTTACTTGATTAAGTTATGCATGCATCTTTGAAATACGTGTTGTCTAAAATAATACATTAGCTTCTTCACTTATGTGTTTTAAAATGATTTCAATTTAATACTTTCATAAGAATCTTAAGTCATTTAACACAGTTTTTCAGAGTATATCATCTTCACTTCCATTTAAATTGTTTGAAATATAGTATTTTTTGAATCTGTGGACAATGCTGCCACTGAAATATTTATCACAAACCACAAGTCCCATTCATTCAACACTAGGATAATTGTTTTTTACGCATTCTTTAGTGTAGTTTCATGAATCCCACAATGTAACTATATACAGTATATTAAATTGGTCATAAAAAGGCTTCTTTACAAAAACAAATAATACTAACAAATGTGAAGTTGCATTCCCCACAAGATTGGATACTAAATCTTCTAAAAATTTACTTGCCATGATTTTTTATTTAATAGCTCAATCAAGATAACTTTTATAAGCATTCCACACTATCATTGATTATGGCTGTTTCAAGCTAGTATGTCCTCCTCAAATAGCACCTCATAACTGAATAAGGGAATTAAAAGAGCACCCCATAATATAAGGAATTTTGTAAATTCTTGACTATAAAGCAACTTCCACTCATATTCAGTAATATGGGAGGGAAACCACCTCTTATATTTGGAAAAGTACTATAAATTTATTTCCTTCTAACTTTTTATTTTAAAAAAATAAACATTTTCTTCTCTAGACCAAAACTGTATAATGATTAGAAAAGAAAACTGAATCAAAGGGTTATATAATATTAAGGACTTATTAAAATATGGTTGGATTAACACACAACTGTGTAGTTTACGGTCATTAAGAAGTGATGGATATATTTTTATGTCAAGTTAGAAGGAGGCCTTATGTGTACGTTTGTATGTTTGAGTGTATGTGTATATGTAATGCCATAATTACGGGTCTGTCTCTAGTAATTAGAAAGTTGGATATGCCGAAGAGCAAGTAGATTAGTTTAATTGGAGTAAGTGGACTAAGTTGGAAGAAGGAAACAACTTGAATTTGACGTATGATTTTGATAGCAAAGGACATCAATGTGATTGGGTACACTTCGTAGTTTATTCTATTTTAAAACTGTAAAGCTTCTCAGTTTTCAACATTAAATATACAAGTTCACATATTTACATATGTTTCAGGCTACATTATTGGAATTTTGAAGTCATGAAAACATCAGATGAACCAACCTGCAACACCTTGGATTCAGATTGGAAGATAAAGAGAAAGTTTAAAGAATGTGGCCTATAAAGGCGGGTACCTGGAAATATTAACCGACTCACACTGTAAAAATGAGACCAGTTTCTAAACAATAGAGATTGTCTTAGTACAACATCAAGGTTCAAGACAAATGTTGAACTAAAAACTTTACACTCCCCACCCCCACTTCAGACAGGTACCAGCATTGGTGAATTATGATTTTCCTTAGTCAGAAGCACTCATTTTTACCCATGTAGACCATCCTTAGGAATTAAATATTGGTTATTTAATGTAGATTATAATGGGAAGCTGATTTTTTTCACAATGGCATATTTCAAGGACTTGGTTCCAAACTGAGCTGAAGCTTCCCAATGCGTTTTGTACAGTCTGGGAAAAACTGTGCTGCACTGGCCCACTTTTGAAGGCCATCATGCTCTGTAATATAAGGATATCATCTTATTGCTGATATCTTTGGAGAGTCCCTAGCAGACACAGAAAATGAATGGAGGCAAAGAGTGTGACGGAGGGGACAAGGAAGGAGGTCTTCCAGCTATACAAGTTCCTGTGGGTTGGCAGCGTCGTGTGGATCAAAATGGAGTGCTTTATGTCAGGTAAGTTCTTATTATTACCTGTGGTACCTGCAAAGTTGTACTCCAAAGACTAAGGAGAGAACCAAGCATGGTGACTGATGGCACCTCATATAAATGTGAAAAAGTGACCTTTGTGCTAGAAACATATGAGAATTTTTATTGCCTTAGATTTCCAGAGAGAATTTTTTGCATTACTTGTTTATATAAGGTGTCATTCTGCTTATCTCTGTAACAAGAATAAAGAAAAATAAGAAGATTTCTAAAAGAAACATGCAATCATCATTACCACATTCACAGGAGAATGTAAAATACTGGGAATATCACTTGACCTGATATCACTTGACAGAATTACTCTGTCCTTCAGAGTGTGTCAGCTGGCTTTTTTGATAAAATTGAGTTTTTATCCATAGAAAGTTTCAATTATTAGACTTCTTAATGCCTCATGTTAACTAAAAATACATTTCTTTTTTTCTGCATAGTCTTTAATCTATTTCCTTGCGTGTAATAGTAAAAGTGAAAAAGTCATGGAGAAGGCTCTGCATCTTACAAGTAAATAGTCATACAAATAAAATGCCTACTCTTTTCAATGTCAATGCTATACATCTGTTGTAGAACAAGTTGAATGGAATGACTAAACTGTTAAGAAGAAGTTTTAGTCTTACTCATTAAATAGTTGACATCTAAGTTCCCTACTTCATAGTTTTTCTGTAAGTGTCTGAAAGAAGATACCATAAATCTTTCTTGTGATGTAATGAAAAATTTTAGAAACAACTTAAAACTTTTTAAAAGGTATCACATTCCATTATTAGATTGATGCATTTACTTTCAGTGTGGCTATTTATATCCCAGCTTCAACAGAATTTGCCAGTCCAGCAAGAATGTATTCATAGAAATGAGATATTTTTGGTTATGTAAACACAGACTATTTTATGGCATAATAACTCAGAAAGTCAGTTCAGATTCTGTCCTGAGTTTGTTTGCTTGTTGTGTGTAAGGCGTTTCTGGAGGTAAATCTAATTACCAATTAAAAGCATTTTGTTGCATAAATTTTACTTCTATAATATTAAAGATGTGATCCATATTTATTGGGGTGAAGGGATAAGAAAGCAGAGAATATGAAGCTCATCCCATGGTAGATGAGATGAACAAGCACACATGAGATAACTTCTTCAGAGTTTCTATTGCCAGTGCTGTTAACAAAGTACCAGAAATACTTTGTTATAAATATAATATAGCAAGTTATCTGTGTTATATGTTTATACTTATGGTTGTTCTAGTTTATAAAGAGCAAATGTATATTCAGCATAGAACAAAAGACTCTAAAATCTGGATAATTTTTTTTTCACTTCCTTTTTGTTCCTATGAAAGATAGATGAGCTTTTTCAACTTCTGCGAGCAAAAACCAAAGTAAATCTGGGAGTCAAAAACCAAGTTAAAGTCTAAGAAACTGTCAGGTATCTTGTTCATGATTTTCTAAGTCTGACTAGACTTTATACCATCTGATATCCTTGTTAGTATGGGTTCTCCAACTTCAAATCTGTATACTGATAATTATTTTGGAAACAAGCTTTCCTAGATTAGGTAAAACACTCTCAAATTAAATTAACCAGCATAGATTTAATTTGTTTGTATATAACTAAATTACTACTTGAACATGTATAGCTCCTTCTATAGCTCCCTGCTCAATGTGCAGTTTACTCATAATTTTTAGATTGGTCTCCAGCTGCTCCTGCCTCAGGGTGGCATTGAGGCTACACATTAAATTTTCCACCTACTTCCAATCTTCTAAGCTTTATCTATGCTGTAAGTTTTTAAACTTTTTTACATTAATTATTACTCTGAGAAATTAATTAAAGAGATACAACTGAAGGAAAGAAGCCAACTGACTTTTTGAGAGGAAATGTTTTTAAAGCATCTGGAGTACTTTAATAGAATTAAGGAATTCATGTCTTCAGGTTTAATTTTACAATTAAATTCCTCTAGGATTCCGTCCATATACTTTCTTCTAAGTTAAAATGTTGGGCAGTTCCTTTTCACCAAATTCATGAATGCTTCACATGAAAAATCAACAAGACATTATACTTTTTTTCTTGTTGTTTTTGAGACAAAGTCTCACTCCGTCGCCCAGGCTGGAGTGTAGTGGCGCATCTTGGCTCACTGCAACCTCTGCCTCTTGGGTTCAAACATTTCTCATGCCTCAGCCTCCCGAGTAGCTGGAATTACAAGCACACACTACCATGCCCAGCTAATGTTTGTATTTTTAGTAGAGACGGGGTTTCACCATGTTGGCCAGGCTGGTCTCAAATTCCTGACCTCAAGTGATCCGCCTGCCTCGGCCTCCCAAAGTGCTGGGTTTACAGGCGTGAGCCACTGCACTCAGCCTGACTTAGTTTATTGAAATCACCAGACCTCCAAAGACATCTTGTTGCCCTTCCCTGCAGTGGTTGAACTCGTCACTAAAATGAGAATTCTCTGCATATCACCTGAAAAAAAAATAGCCTAAGTAAATGAGTAATTTGACAAAGTTGAGGATTTTTGTTTAGATTTTCTACATGCTGAAATTACTTTCATAAGTGTCCATAAATAAAATATGAATTGCATTTTAAAGCTAGTTCACTAATAGATTTTTAAAAAATACTACTTGTGTTTTTGTAGATAGAACAATCTGTGTCCAGTATTGTAATGTTTTGTATATGAAATGGAGATTATTGTTTCTGGATGAACTTGGTCAGAGGGCTTAAGTGAAGGTTTTGGTAAATAGTCATAACTAAAAGATATTCTCAAGTGAAAAGTATATAATTTCAAAGCATAATATGTATTTAAGTTCAAACATTGACATGTTAATGTAAAGTCCTAAAATGCAGATTGTCCATCTCACATAAAATAACTCCCATTGTAAATAAAAATCAGAGACATCTCTTGTCATCTGAATTACTACTTAATCTGTATTGATGAATATTCACATATCTTACTGACTTTTGTGATCTGAAACTTCGTAACATTGAAGTACCTACACGATTATTAGCCCGAAGACCTGCGAGGCACATTTCTGCTGCCTAAAACCCTATTTCCTCATAAGTTTCCTTTCTTTTGTCAACTCTGCTTAATTCCTCTCTCTCTCTCTGTACAGTTTGACTCTTCAGTGTATCTTCGGATATAACTGATCTATTATATCTTTAAAGAAACACATGGGTAAGGGGGAGATAAAAGAAACCTGTTTTTACATAGGGACAACTTGGTTCTAGATTCCAAGATAAACAGGGACTTGCTCACTCCAACTTTTGTGGACTTGCCAACTTTCTGGTTCGAACTTCAATATGTTTCTAAATTTCTGTTTTTCCTCAAAGAGCTTTCAAAGTAGATATTCTAGTTTAAAATGAGAGTCATTGCTTTTATGTAGTTTTCTTGTTCTTTGTTCCTTTCTTGCCTGCTTCTGTCCTTTCTTAAGAATAGCATTTTTACCACCTTTAGTCTACTCTTGGTTTTCAGAATACTTTTATTTAATTTTCTATGAAGATCTGTATTTTTCTGAGAAATATTTTGGTTCAAAAGAAAACACAATATTGTTAAAGGCTATAATTTAGTAGCTAACATAATATTGACAAAGAAAATGCTTTTCCCTAGTGGGAAAATATCCCATAAAGGACAGTAAGACTATAAATTATGCCTTTTTTCATATAATATGTGTAGTCAAAATTATTTCCTGATGTTTTTTTAAACTATTTTTACAGTCCCAGTGGGTCTTTGTTATCTTGCTTGGAGCAGGTTAAAACATACCTGCTTACTGATGGAACATGCAAGTGTGGCTTGGAATGTCCTCTTATTCTTCCCAAGGTAACCATTTCACAATAGATCTACAGCAGTGTTTTATTTTTTAGGTATTTTGTATATTTGTTTTTCTCATTTGGAATTTTATTTTTTATTACTTCTCCAATCATACATTTTAATTCTTTATCTAATTCTCATATTTTGCATGTGTTTTGGAATGCTTAAAAATTGTGGAAAATAATTCATGTCTAAGAGTCATTTTCAAAGGTGTCAAATCTATATTCATATTAAATTTCATTAAAACCACCTTTCTACCTTTTCATTAGAGCTGTATCTAATATTGCTCGGCATTTAATAGTGCAATATTTTCTCTCATTACTGTAACTGCTCAAATCTGCAATGTTATTGTTAGCACTGGTATTGATAAATCTGCCACAGATATTCTCAAAATCACAAAACTGAACCCTCCTAGCCAAAATATGAAACTGTTTTACTCATTTGCAAGGTAAAAAGTAAAATCATGTAAAATGGTAAAATATTATTTGCTATAGAAATAGGTCATTATTTTGTGAATGTCTATTATAATGCCAATTTTAAAAGTAAAGGTTAGACAATTTTTACTTTTCATTTGTGTGTCACCGCATTCCAAAAAAAGATTAACATAATAAATAAATTTAAAACAAAACAAGTAATAGATTTTCAAAATCAGTGACAAGATAATATTAACGTAATAATAAAATGAAGCCAAGGAAAAAGTTAATATGTAGAAATATCATAGCTTTTTGTTTTGTCTTTTTTAAGTGTACTTCATCTGTTTTTACACTGTTAGAACATCAGGAGGTATCTAAAATTGAGAACATTATCAGATATTATACCTTTTCATATATTTATCTTGGCTGTCTTAGAATTAGGATAGTATTCATTATTTACTTTGCCACTAAAAGCTTGAGTTCAGCAGAAGTACTTACTAAGTTATATAAAGTTGCCTTTCTTAAAAACTTGAGAAAGTTTTATTCAGATTTATGGCTTAATCTATGCACAACTTTTTTTTTAAACAAAGGGATCTTTTTATTAAATGTTTTTACAGACATATTCTAAACAAAGGCTGTGCTTTTTCCAGGTATTTAATTTTGATCCTGGAGCTGCTGTGAAACAGAGAACCGCAGAAGATGTTAAGGCAGATGAAGATGTCACAAAGCTATGCATACATAAAAGAAAAATTATTGCAGTGGCCACACTTCATAAAAGCATGGAAGCCCCACATCCTTCTCTGGTGCTCACCAGTCCCGGAGGAGGAACAAGTATGTAATATGGTGAAAGGTTCAGGAATTCTCCTCTCCCTAGAGAAGGAGTTGCTAGAAATCATTTTGCCTAGCATTTTCTCATTCTACTTTTCAGGCACGCACAATGCTTTTAAAATTCTGTATGTCCTGTAATTTTATTACAAATAGCAAACTAGTTCTGAAAAAATATAGTGAGGTTATTTTCCAAAATTTCTTACCCAGAGCATTCAGTTTAACAGGCAGAATAAACACTAATTAGTACATACAAATACTCTGCAAGTGTGTAAAGCTGAGCTAACAAAAGTTCCCTTGGTTTTTAGGAAATAAATGTAGCCTTTTTCCTGGGGGTGGATTGGAATGTGTGGTATCAAGTCCCCAAAAGCAGTGTTATTCTTTTAGTTATTTGTCGAACACCTACTAAACAGAAATCACCTTGCTGAAAACTTTTTATATCTCCACCACCACACACACGCATGCATGGGGGCTTTCTTTTTTAAATATTTCAAAGCTGCAGAAAAGTTGCAAGAATAGTTCATGGAGTATCCTTCATCTAAATTTACCAATTAACATTTTGTTGCAGAAGTTGCAGTTATTGTGACAATTCAACCCTAAATATTTCAGAGTACAAGGGCACACTCTTACATAAACACGATCTAAGGCTCACATTCAGGAAATTTAACACTGACATAATATTATTATCTAACATGCAATCTGTATTCAGATTTCTCCAATTGTCCTAACAGTGTCTCTTATAGTTTCACAGAAATTCAGTCTTGACCAGGTGCAGTGGCTCATACCTGTAATCTCAGCACTTTGGGAGGCTGAAGTGGGAGGATCGCTTGAGGCTAGGAGTTTGAGACGAGCTTAGACAATACAGCAAGACCTGTCTCTAAAATAATTTAAAAAAAAAAAAAAAACTAGCCAGGCATGGTGGTGGCTCATACCTTTAGTCTTAGCTACTTAGAAGGCTGAGGTGGGAGATCTCTTGAACCCAGAAGTTGGAGGCTGCAGTGAGCCATGATCACACCACTGTGCTCCAACCTGAGTGATAGAGCAAAACTCTGTCTTGATTAAAAAAAAAAAAGAAGTCAGTCTTTTTAAAGATTCACATTGCAATCAAAGATTGTACACTGCATTTAGTTGTTACATATCTTTATATCAATTAAGTCTTTTTCAATTTTTCATGACATTGAAATTTTTGAAGAGTCTAGGCCAACTTTGCACGATGTTCCTCAGTTTGGATTTTCCTCATATTTATGTTCAGGCTAAACACATTTTGCTAGGAATACTGCATAGATGATGTTAGCTCCTCATCATTAGACACATAATGTCAGTTTATCCCATTTTGATAACATTGTTTGATTGCTTAGTTAAAATTATGTCCATTTGATTTTCCCATTATTGAAGTACCCTTTTCCCTTTATGATTAATGTGTACTCTGTGGAATTATACTTTGGGACTGAGGAACTTCTTTTTGTAAGGGATAGAATATGAATGCTCTCTAAAATATTATAATCTAATGTTTGAATATTAATTCAGAATAAAATATGGCTAAACACCAAAGCATTTGTTTATGAGGGATTATTGATACTTTCCCATGGAACTCTGAAAAATAGGGATGATGAGTATACCTGTAGTGATCAGAGAAAGCTTTATGGCAGAACTGAGATTTGGACCAGTCTTAGAAAATAGTAGGATTTAGACATATAAGAGGGATAGGAAAAACCTTCTCCATAATGAGTGTCGCATAATAAGGGATGTTGTAGAAACTGACTTGAATAGAAGATTAGACCGATGTAGGTAAATTGGGGCCAAATTACTGATTGCTTTGGATACAAAGAAGAACAGTTGCCATGTCATGCAGGTAATTAAAGATTCACACTTAGAATTCATGTGAAGAGGTATAACTATGTTTTCATTGTTGCATATTACCGTGGACATATTCTTACCTGTGCTTGCTCTCACATCACATAATATCATATAGATTTACCAGTTTCTACAGAGTCTGCTTATTGCCTTTCTAAAGACCCTGGCAGAATCTAGATCTCACTTCTTTGTCATACCTATACATACAAGTTTAATTATTGAAATTAAAGGTAAATATATAACTAGCACAGGTAGTAATAGGTACACCTCCATTCCTTTTTAAAATGATACTCTTTATGGGATTGATTACTTTTCCTAGCTTCAGACATAGCATTTATTTTAGTTTCCTAATTTTAAACTATATTATCATAAGGTTGAGATTTGAATAATTAAAAGTTCAGAAGACTGACTTAGTAGTTTTTCACCTCCCATTATTTAAATACATAAGCATCTGTTTCTGTTTATTCTTTTGGAAGGTACTGTTTATTCTTTTGAAAGCACTTGATGGGTGCCTAGCATTTCCACTTGCCAACTCTATAACAAAACATCAGCCTGACTTTTGTTTATTTTGTATTTCAGTTACTTTTAAAATGGTAACTATTTTCCCCCAAGTTTGGAAGAAATTTTTTCTGAACCACAGTTATTATCTAAATTCTGTTAGTTGAATATAAAAATTCCAGTGTCTGTATTTTTAATCACTGAACTGTAGATAATTATATAAATACATTGATACCCAAGAAAAAATGCAAGTAGGTTGTTTTGTCACTAAAGAGAACATGGTCAGTCATAGGATAATGCTAATGACGTTAATGTTCTCACTATTTGCCAAGCACAGTGCCCAAAATATTAACGTTTTTCATTTTGTTCCTTTAATTACAAACTTTAAAAATCTCTTTTTAACAAGAAAATAAGCTTCAGTTGAGTTTATCTACTGCAATTCTCTCATATCATTGGATCTCAACTTTTCATATATTATATCCAGAAATCATTCTATCAAAGAACCTCTACCATGATAAAATCAGAAATTCCACATTTTCCAAGAAAAACAAATGTTCACAGCATTCTCTTACTAATTGAATGTGCTCTATGTAGATTTATTTGGACCCCAGGTTGAGATCCACTATCTCAGTAATTGTTATGATATGATTTGACCTGTATAGTGTCTAGCAGATAGGAAAAATATATTTAATCTTAAATGTGTAATTATCCAGTTAAGTAAGCATACCTATTATTGCAAATGAATGTAACTCTACTTGCTAATGTAAGTCTCAAAATAGGTATGGCAGGATGTATAGTTTGAATGGTGCCATTCTCATCTCCTATGCCTGTAACAGTCTCACTGGCATTTTCTCATGGAGCCCAGCTAGAGTTCAGCTTCCTTTCCAACACAGCTTTCTAAGCAGCTACCACCAATTGGTGGGAATTGGCATATGAAACAAATTTTACTTGCCATTTTCATTTTAAAAGGCATAACTTTATAAAATAGATATCGTAAGGGGCTAAAAAAGCGAAACCTAGAATTCTGATGTGATAGAATGAAAATTCTGTATGATGAATCTGCTTGCTTTTGTTGCCTGTATTCTGTCTGATCTCCAGAAAAACTGAAGGGATTCCAAACAGCCAGAGAAGGAGAAATGCACTCATGTAAAAAGAGAATATGCAATTGGAGCCCAGTACTGAAGGTTTTAGCACTTCAACTAAATTTTACATAAGAAACCTATCCTAATAAAAGAATTGAAGTCTGTGGCCATACCACCCTGAATACACCCAATTGTCTAATGAAAGAATTGCAGTCTTTTACCTAAGTTGGTAAAAGGGTGTGGCTGTTTTTACAATAATGACTAATTAAGGGCAAAGAAATTACAGTGTTAGAAACATGATGTGAAACTAAGCATGGGTTAGTTTGCAATATCACTGCATTTATTCTTCTTATTACTCCCATTATAAAAGATTTGGAATCCCATTAGACAGAAATCAAGTCTTACTCTCATAGTGAAAATGTTGGGATAAGGAAATATTACGGTATCTGTTCTGAGAAGGTTGCAGTAAGATAACAAACATTTTGTTATAAGGGTGAACATTTTGTGGTGAAAATGGCAATTCATTTAAATCACCCAAGAAAATATTATGCCACACAAACCACAATTTTCTATTGTAACTGCATTCTTAAAAATTCTAAATCCAACAAAATAGTAATATCACCATTTCCATCTGGACTGCCAGTCTTGATTTTGTATATTCTAAATATTATTAGAATGGCTAATGTCATTATGTATTGCTTTAGATGCCCATGCTTTCTCAACAGATAAAGAGTAAATAAGCATAATGAGCAGTTACTGAGAACCTTTGGTCAACAAAGGGAAAATAATGTACATTTTTTAAATCAAATTTAAAATAGTATTAATATATAGAACTATTTTTAATTGCATAGAATCACAGCTTTTATTTACAGATTCCTATTTCCAGATGCCCATCCTCCCTCTCCCTTCCTGATTTCCTCCATTCCTTCCCTCCCTCCCACCACAAAAGAGTTGAGACTGTTAACAGAATTCTTTTTTTCTCTTTCACATCAGATGCAACTCCAGTAGTACCTTCTCGGGCAGCAACTCCAAGATCAGTAAGAAATAAGTCTCATGAAGGAATTACAAATTCTGTAATGCCTGAATGTAAGAATCCTTTCAAGTTAATGATTGGATCATCAAATGCCATGGGAAGGCTATATGTACAAGAACTGCCTGGAAGCCAACAACAAGAACTCCACCCTGTCTACCCCCGACAGAGATTGGGCAGCAGTGAACATGGACAGAAATCTCCATTCCGTGGCAGCCATGGAGGCCTGCCCAGCCCAGCGTCATCAGGTTCCCAGATATATGGAGATGGTTCAATCTCTCCAAGGACTGACCCACTTGGAAGTCCTGATGTTTTCACAAGAAGTAATCCTGGTTTTCATGGAGCTCCCAATTCTAGTCCTATTCACCTGAATAGGACTCCTCTTTCTCCACCTTCAGTAATGCTACATGGTTCTCCTGTACAGTCATCCTGTGCAATGGCTGGAAGGACTAATATACCTCTTTCCCCAACCTTGACTACAAAGAGTCCAGTAATGAAAAAACCAATGTGTAATTTTTCAACTAATATGGAAATACCACGAGCAATGTTCCACCACAAACCACCCCAAGGCCCACCTCCCCCTCCTCCACCTTCTTGTGCTCTTCAGAAAAAGCCATTAACATCTGAGAAAGATCCACTTGGCATTCTTGACCCTATTCCTAGTAAACCAGTGAATCAGAACCCTGTTATCATTAATCCAACCAGTTTCCATTCAAATGTCCACTCTCAGGTACCTATGATGAATGTAAGCATGCCTCCTGCTGTTGTTCCTTTGCCAAGTAATCTCCCATTGCCAACTGTAAAACCTGGTCACATGAATCATGGGAGTCATGTACAAAGAGTTCAGCATTCAGCTTCAACCTCCCTGTCCCCTTCTCCAGTGACATCCCCCGTGCACATGATGGGGACTGGAATTGGAAGGATTGAGGCATCGCCCCAAAGATCACGCTCATCTTCCACATCATCAGATCATGGAAATTTCATGATGCCACCTGTAGGACCCCAGGCCACTTCTAGTGGTATTAAGGTTCCACCCAGGTCACCAAGGTCAACAATAGGGTCCCCAAGGCCATCAATGCCATCAAGCCCTTCTACCAAGTCCGATGGACATCATCAGTACAAGGATATCCCTAACCCATTAATTGCTGGAATAAGTAATGTACTAAATACCCCAAGCAGTGCAGCTTTTCCTACTGCATCTGCCGGAAGTAGTTCTGTAAAGAGTCAGCCTGGTTTGCTGGGAATGCCTTTAAATCAGATCTTGAACCAGCACAATGCTGCCTCCTTTCCAGCAAGTAGTTTACTCTCAGCAGCAGCCAAAGCACAGCTAGCAAATCAAAACAAACTTGCTGGTAACAACAGTAGCAGCAGTAGCAATTCTGGAGCTGTTGCCGGCAGTGGCAACACTGAAGGACATAGCACTTTAAACACCATGTTCCCTCCTACTGCCAACATGCTTCTCCCAACAGGTGAAGGGCAAAGTGGTCGAGCAGCACTAAGAGATAAGCTGATGTCTCAGCAAAAAGACGCATTGCGGAAAAGAAAACAACCACCTACGACAGTGTTGAGTTTGCTCAGACAGTCTCAAATGGATAGTTCTGCAGTTCCTAAACCTGGACCTGACTTGCTAAGGAAGCAGGGTCAGGGTTCATTTCCCATCAGTTCAATGTCTCAGTTACTACAGTCTATGAGTTGTCAAAGCTCTCACTTGAGTAGCAATAGTACCCCGGGTTGTGGGGCCTCAAATACTGCTTTGCCTTGCTCTGCTAACCAGCTGCATTTTACAGATCCCAGTATGAACTCTAGTGTTCTTCAGAACATACCTTTAAGAGGGGAAGCCGTGCACTGCCACAATGCAAACACTAACTTTGTTCACAGTAACAGTCCAGTCCCCAACCACCATCTTGCAGGTTTAATAAATCAGATTCAGGCTAGCGGGAACTGTGGGATGCTCAGTCAGTCGGGCATGGCTTTAGGAAATTCCTTACATCCCAATCCACCTCAGTCAAGAATTTCAACGTCCTCCACTCCAGTGATACCAAACAGCATTGTTAGCAGCTATAATCAAACAAGTTCTGAAGCAGGTATGGTTTTATTAGAAAAAAGTACCCAAAGGTACTAAACTTTTCTACTTTTTTAAAAAATTTGTACCAAAATATTTATTATGATAAGAAATGATCCTTTCCCCATTGTGAAATTCTCTTCATTTCTTTAGTATTTATAATTTTATTTACAGAATGCTAGGGATTTGTCTATTGGGAAGATTAACAGCTAAGAGGATTTCATGTGTTTCCATTATTTGTTGTCAATCTGTGTCATTTTGAATATTGTTCGACTTTCACTTGGTTTTATAACCATTGGACTCCAAACTGCAAAATAAGCCATACGAGGCAGGGTTTCCTGGTTTGTGAGACATGTCCTTGGTCTATGCCAATATAAAAGCCATCTCCCTAGCTTTTGTTTGTATTCAGGTAAATGAAGTTTATCTTGGAAAAATCCAAAAAGGCAAAAATAAATGGATTTTTTTTCTTGCTGCTGAACAGAAGTAGGTGAATGGATAGGAAAAGGTAACTAGAAGTTGTACGAAGTAGAAGGCTGTCTTCTAATGTGTTTTCTTATCCTAGTTTGCTATCCTTATTATTTGTTTGAGAAAACTCAAAAATGGATATTGGCTACTCCCTTTTAAAAAAAAAGCTAATAATTTAAGCTTTCTAATAAAAAAAAGGCTTGAAAACCTGATTTCCAGAATTTTTAATCTTGAAATTGTTTTTTGAGTTTCTTGTAGAACTAAACCATTTTTATCATTGACATTAAGGTTTTGAACCCAAATCTATTGTATCTCTTCAGCCACCATTAAGGAAACAAATTTATTTAAAAGTAGGCATATTAGAAAAAGACCTGTATTTTGTGCAATAGAGTCCTCAGAAATTGTTATAAAAACTGTACAGAAGCACCTAAGAGGTAAATGTGTTGAGGCATCAGAAAATTTGACTATGAAAACATTATTCAACACTAATGATTTATGAGAAATGACAAGGAGGAAATAAAAGATGGTTGTAAAGACATTATTGTTCACTATGAAAACAGTGTGCTATGAAAACCAGATTGCTACTGGGAATGAGAAAACTGCTGAGGTTTTTAATAATAAGCTAGTGTGTAGGTATAATACCGTCATGCTGGAGAAGCATTCTAACCCACATGTCTTTGTTGCTGATAGTAAAAGCGTTTTCCTTCCTAGTGTTGCCATTTACACCTGCCATCCTTCACATCTTGTGTTATGTGTTATGTTTTGATGTCACTATTTAATGAAGAACTATTCAATGATCTCTTATGTTAAATATATATATGGTTTAGAAGATATTTGAAATTATTAGTGCCTTCTTGATATTCTTAGTTTAAAGAATCTCATAAAACTTTATGTTTTATGTGTCTAACAGTATACTTATCCCATAGGGGGCTTCCAGCTTTTCACTCACTCATCATATTTCTTTTTAGATAACTCGACACAAATGAAAATTTTATTTTATCTATTTAGCAGAAAAGTCACACAAAGTTCATAACTATTTAAAAGTACACCATATTTATTGAGCATACCTTAAATAATTTTGATGGGACATTTTTAGTCTCATTGCATTATACAGTTTTGATATCCCCTACCTCAGTTTACTTCATTTCAGGTCTGAGTTCATGTGCAAAGTGTATGTATTTCATTGATGTATTTCAATTCATCTATAATGGAAAAGACCAACATTTACTTATATTCTTGTTTCTTCTGATGGTCAAGTTTAGACTTATTTAATACTGTTTTGGTCATTTATTTTTTTTGTTTCATGTATCTTTGTAATACATCTGACCTGTACTGTTACTGCTGGGGGTGTCAAAGCATATAGGTTAAAAATTTATTAGTGTCAGAAAAGTGTGAGCATATAAATAGCTAAAAAGGATAAGGATACATGTCTAGAAATGATATGAATATGACCAACTAGTGTAAACTAACAGGAAGTATGTGCTTAATAAAAATCTAAGTAGAATTTTTAAAGTATTAAACCTAATAAAATTAAATACTAATTAACGTGCATAGGTCTGATGTGCAGCTGGTTATGAAAACGGATTGATTCACTAATGAACATAACTCTTTCGATGAGCTAAATATTGAAGCAGTCTCTAATGCCATGTTTCTTTTTGCCATGTAGTGAACTGTGTCAACTCAATGTACCATCACTGTAATTGCCTAGCCTAAATATCTGTTTACACTGACATTTATTCATTCATCAAATAACCGTTGAGCCTTAAAGGTAGGCATTCAGAATGAGACAGTAAATGATAGTCACAGCTTTTCCTCTAGGAGTGTTACTGAGTATTTCTATGATACCAGAAAGACATTAGAAGAAAACCACATTTTATTCTTAAAATGTTGCTATAGCTATCTATCGTCAAGTACCTTTTATGTACCAGGTGATTTCCCTATATTATTTCTAATCTGTGCAGTTTTCTAAAGTATAAAGTATTATTGTTCAATTTTACAGATCAGGAGCCTGAGGCTAAAAAAACTTAAGTAACTGTTCCGTATCATACATAACTGAATCAGGATTTGAACTGAGGTTCATCTGATTCTAAAATCCATTTTCCTCCCAGCTGCATAAATTCTTCATCTGAAACATTTAGTGCTCAAAAGTATTGTGTTCCCTTTCAAAATCTTTTAAAATGTTCAATAGATAATAAATTAAATCACATTAATGCATGTTAAAAGCCACATTTGTTAACTATTGATATACTTCAGATGAAAGTCAGTTATTTTTGCCAATATTATAGCAAATAATGACTAGAATTTTTACGTCAGTGCAGAAGAAGAAATACCCAAAATGTCAAGAAAACTGCCCCTTATTAGTGAATCACATTTGGTGACCTTTCTTTTAATTAATTATCACCTCACTCAAATTAGAATGGGTTTCCTAGTAGGTGACGTGTCAGTAGGCCTTTAAAAGAGATGTAGATGCTAGTCATGTCATTCCAAGCATGGTAGCACAGTGAGGATGAAAAAAACCAACAGGTAACATGGTCCAACTGTACTCTGTGGTTACAGAGCTTAGATACAACTCAGGTGACCTCTTGCTCAATCCAGTGCCTTTTTCCACTCTTCTAAGTAAAAGTTCAAAAATATTACATTAAGACATTAACAAGATAAGAAATAACTTTCTCTGAAAAATGCTTAGTTCCATTGGTAATCTATTTTTAAATCTTCTTTTAAGGAGAGTCTTCCTATGCAAAACAATCCAAATATTGATTTTTAGGCCTATATGTGAATTCTATGGGAGGCATTTAAAACATACAACTTAAGCATGGGAATTGAAGGCAAAGATAGTAGCAAAATCAGATAAAAGATATTAAATACTTTGAAGAATTTCTAAAGCTTATGAATATACAAGGCTTTATTAATTCTACTTTGTGTTTTCAAGTTGCCTTTCCACTAAAGCTTCAAAATACTTTGCATTTTAAAGTTTACAGTTTTCCACTGGCTTTTTCAATATCAAATTACAGATAAAGTTTAATATTTCCATGTAACAGATTTAGAAACTGACCAGTAGGATACTTGGTGACATTCCTCAAGTTGTAAAGCAAATCTCTGTTGGATCTGGCAGCCAAATCCCAAAGTTCCCAATTCTCAGTCCAAACACTCAAACTGCCAAATGCAGGTATGTTCTGGAAATCCATCAGTAGTAGACATTTAAAGCAACTTTCCATTTTTAAAGAGAGATGCATTTCAGCATGTGAGTAGCTATAGCACATGTCCTATAATATTATGACTTAAGGAAGACTCCAAAATCAAGTGCCCTTGCCTGGCAAACTTCAAAATGCCCAGGCCTCTTTAATCCTCTGACTACTGCACACCTGCTTACCAGATAACAAAAACACATGCCAGTAACCCAAGCCTCTGCAGAGGACTTAGCCCTGTTAGTATCCACACAATGACCCATCCATTCCTTTGCCCTGCAGTTTTTCACGATTTTCAAAGAAGGAAAAAGATTTAGATTATTCTGCCAACATGCTTATTAGCAACCCTACCTTCTTCCAATATGATAAAGTCACTAAGTCATTCAACACAACATAACTTTTTTCACTTTAAAATGACTTTTATGTTCTCTTATTTTTTCCTAAAAAAAAACCAAAACATTTAATCAGCTCTTTTAAACACATGAAAATTTAATCCTCTGAGGGGACACGGTATGGGTTTGTGCCAGAAGAGAAAATAATTCAAACATTTATTTGCCTTAACTCTTAAAGATATACATGACAAGAATATAAATAAGCCTACAAATAAATAAATGTTCTTGAGTATTTATATACTTATATTTTTTTAACTGCAAAAGAAAGTTTTCTTTCAGCACAAAATACATTTGATTGAAACTCAGGACAGCCATTAATATGGTAGGTATAAGACAATGGAATAGTGAGACCACAAAAGAACACTTTGGGTAAAAGACTACAAAGTAATGAGTTTGGTTTTTATGTCCTGTTTGTTCATTTGTTCTTGGAACATAGCAGTAAAGAAAATAAAGGGAGTTGTCATCCCTGTTTTTTCTAGATGAAGCTACAGGGGCAGAAAGATTAAGGGATAAAAATGCTCAAGGGTGGATTATACTATAAAGTATCCTTCTCAGGAGATGAGAGATTTGTATAGAAATAATTCAGTGTTATATAGATTAATGTAGACTGAAGAAAGAGGAAGAGCCTCCTTGAAGGCTGTGACTGAATAAATATGAGTTGCTAGTGAAAGTATTTTCACTCAAATTTTTAAATGCTTCGATTTTATCCCCCAATCAGATGCACAAAGTTTGTAGTTTAAAAATTGTCCTCTGCACTTGTTTTTTAACCAAACAACAGAACTATACTAAATTCTGGATTGTGTGATTAAAAATCTATGTCTATTATTTTAGTAAATTTTTGCAAAATGAGCCATTTATTCTTTGCTGTAAGACATTCTTAATATAGTCAATGTCTTGTTGTTTAAGAAGGTCTCCTAATATCAGGGTTTCACCACTTATTTTGTTTACTTATTCCAGGTTTAACGTTTCCTTGTATTAAAAAAAAAAGGAGTTAAAATATGTTCAGCTGTAGACGTTGAGTCTATGTAATCAAAGGTGATAACAGAACTCAGAGTGGTGATATGTTTGCTGATTCAGTGATCTATTTTGTACCTTTCAAGAAATAAATTGTCCCAGTGTGCAAATTGGGAGAATTTTATTCCATTACAACACATTGAGCTCACTTATAAAGCCACTAGAAATCCTTCAGTTCTCTAGAAGATGCCTAAGCTACTATTTACTAAAATCAAGTGGTCCAAAAAACATTTACACAGTTGCAAAACGTACCCAGATTCTATGGAGTAATGTTAATTCTACAATGTTTGAGTCATAAAAATAATGCTAAAAAATATTCCTATGATGTCATCAAAATGGATTTCATTTTTTCATGCATGTAGTACTAAATAATTCAAATCATAAATAAAATTCTTACCTTCTAGGAACTTCTATCAAACAACATTAATGCCAGCCAAGCCAAGAGTAAAGTAAAAATTATTTCTAAGCCTTATACTACTTGCAAATTCAAAGTAACAACTCACCTTTTTACAGATTAAAAGTGGAGCTAGACAACAGAAGTCTGAAGGAGTTGCTGAGGTATTCCTGGGGTTGGAGTTAGTCCAGGGAAGTCCGTATTATCTATCCAAGACCCATGGGCACAGGTATAAGAGAGAGTATTCATCACAGATATACTAGAGCAGGGCTCCTGTGCTGCATAACTCCACAGGGACCCCTTTCTCAATGTAGCCTGATAAATATGCTCCCAGAGCACAGCTCCATAGACCATCTCCTACAGAGTTGAGCAACTGAGAGGCCTGATCCTAAAGCAGTATTTTTCAGCTTTTTAAAATTCTTCCCACAATAGGAAATTAACTTGCATTACAGTCCATTAGACATACATTTATAATGTGTAACAAAAAGTTTCATGAAACAAATACTTATTACATGTAATAACTTCTGATTTTTTATCCCATTCTATTTTATCTTATTCTATTTGGTATTTTTTAATAACAGCCATGACTCACTGAAATGATTTTAATCACTCACAAAACAGATCATGACCTAGCACTCACATATATAAGCTAACAGAAAGAGCTTCCACAAAATACTACCCTAGCTGTGCATTGTCCTTTACATTTCCTTTTCAATTTCATTTATCAAAAATATACTAGTTGGGGCATACTAAATTGATGTTGCACCCCACTAATAGATCTCAATAATGTTTCAGAATATCCATGAGGTAATTAATTCAGCAAATATTTATTGAGCACCTAGGATGTGCTAGGCACTGTTTTAGCACTGCAGATAAAACGGTATAGTAGAAGAATACAAAGCTAAGCATATTCATAATCTAGAAACTTAGCCTGCTCTGCTCATTAAACAAAATGAGATAAGACTTCCAATTGGAATATTGATGAAGTGTTTTAACTGTTAGGTACTGTAGTGCATATTCAGAGAACAGAAATTATACCAGCAAGAGACTTATACTCTTTTCTCTACATTTGTTTTCTCACAAATATTAAGAAAAATGTGATCAAAGAGGAATTTTTTAAAAAAAACCCTATTACTTGAGTAAACTGAAAAATCCCAAGCATTTTAAAGTTAATTCCAACAGTTTTCAGAGTAACTATATGTGTTAAGAAAGGAAACAAAACATTATGGGGAGGGGGGAAGAAAAAAAAACAAACTCTTTTTCTGACTCCATCACCACCACGAGACTGAAAAGACTGATCCCCTTGATAGTCATAACTACACAGACATCATATTCCAAGATTCAAGCTGCATCCCTTCTACTGCTCTTTTCTCCTCCCCATCCTCTTGGCCCTGTTGAGTGTGGAGAGCATTTCCTCAGATACTGCCATAGCTCCCTTTCCCATCTTCTCTACCTTCTCCTAAGTCCTTTGGTTTAGGGCCCCTTCCTCCCTCCCTTGAATAGAACAAAGTAGCCTCTAGTCCCTAAGATTTCGTTTCTATTGCTGCTAAAAGAATGTTAATTTATATCAGAATCCAGAGCACAAAGATAGAGATTTGATATGTTTTTGTAAATACACATTACCATTCCCTCTTACTAAAACTTGAGAAAATAAAGTCTCGTAGAAAGATCTAGTATTCTCATAAAAGTTATCTTTCAATTTATTATTGTTATCATTAAAAATCGGTCCTTTAAATATAGAGGAGAAAATTTACTATTTCAATGGGATTGAAAAGTGAATTATATTTATTAGACTCACTAAGCCATGATATTTTCTCTTATCTACATGCATCCATTTTTATTAAGGATTACCATTGTCCCTGTTTGCAATGCAAGTACACTTACCAAAGCAAATGATAAAGGTCAGATGGTGAAGGCATACACATTCTATATGACTTATTTCTTAGGTTCTTGAATTTTATAGATAAAAATCAGTGTTTGGACATATTAATTTAGAAAAGGTTTCTTAGCATAAAGTAGTATTTGTTCAAAATTAGAGCTAAACAAAATGGTATAAGGAGGTTTTAAAAATACTTCATTGGTCTCTTTGATATGAGCTTTATATCCTATCTTGTACACATCCAAAGACGTGTATAACAATATTATTAATATTTAAGAGACAGCCATATAAGAGTTTAGCACAATACAAACAATGACCAGGAAGAAGAGAAACGAATCAAAAGAGGTAGACATTAACTTTGTTTTGAAAAGTAGTTTTAAAAATGAGACAGATAAAACATGTCAAGGATTAAATTAATATTAGGAAAATATCCTTTAAAATTTACTCGTGCTGTCATGTACACACATATGCATATACATATATCATGAATTATAAATGTGTGCAGAATACTGTTTACATACAGAAATTTGTCTGGAGCAGGCACAGTGGCTCACGCCTGAAATCCCAGCACTTTGGGAGGCTGAGGCAGGTGGATCACAAGGTCAGGAGTTCGAGACCAGCCTGGACAATACGGTGAAACCCTGTCTGTACTAAAAATACAAAAGTTAGCCGGGCGTGCCTCAGGAGGCTGAGGCAGGAGAATCACTTGAACCCAGGAGGCGGAGGTTGCAGTGAGCCAAGATCACATCACTGCACTCCAGCCTGGGCAACAGAGTGAGACTCCATCTCAAAAAGAAAAGAAAAGAAACCTGTCCTACTGGGCAAGCTACCACTGTCATTTCCTCATTGGACTAGACTGTCTTAATCTCTGGGTGTCAAAGCATGAGATCTCGCACCAAAGTTTGTTTAGGTGGCCTTCCAGTCTTCTCTCCTACTCTTGAAAAGCAACAGAGACAATGAGAAAAAGAAAGTATGCCAGTTCATGGTGCTGCTGGCCAGTGTGAAATAATCATTTTTTCCCAGTAAAGGACTTCTCCAGCTTACTAACTTGTTCCAGGATCCCAGCTGCCTTTTGGTTATTTAACTGGTAAACACGTAATGAATAATTTGCTTCTTAAAAATCTCAGCGACTGTCCTTTTTATTCAATTAAGCACAAAATATCTTGGCTGCAAAAACAAAACAAAACAAAAAAACAGCTTTAACAAAACATTTTTCCCCACGGTTTAACAGACCATAGGGTTTTTGTGCAGAACTATGAAATACGTTCACCAGAGAGTGCCTATTCAAGATTAAGTGGTTCAGAAATAAGCAATTTCCAAATTTTCCTCCATCTATAAAATTTCATACAAATTCAGGGTCCTCTTTGAATGACTGTAAGCATGAATGAGTAACTTTAAGAACTCAGAGTAATTTGGGATAGACCTCTCCCTCTGTGGGGTGATTTCAACTTCTCGAAATATCTGGAAGCCTTCTTAGGTAATTTGTCATCCTGCACCCATCTCCTTTCCAATGTCCCTTATCTCCTGGCATTGGACTAATACACTGGAGAGTTCATTTTCACTTTCTCCACAAACGGGTGGTATTCTTTCCCTTTGTCCACAAACACACCAACACATAGCATCAAACTACCTACTTCTAAACGTTGAGTGCAAGTTTTATGATTTTACAATCTTTTTAATACTAACAAATATTTTTTGAATACCGATCATGTGTCAGAGACTGTATTAGGTCTTGGAAATACAGTGATAAATAAGAAATGATTTTTGTCTTTAATGGTTTAGAAAGATGATTTCAAATGTCTTCACTGCTTATCTAAGGCAGCAGGTTCAACCATGGGTAGGAGGAGCCGGAAGCATAGGGAAACCTCACAATATTTTCAGTCATATTTCTTTGTTTTGGGGAAGCACAGGACTCTTCATTACCTTCCATCTACTTTATTATGTCTTTGTTGTTTTTTTTTTTTTTATCATCTTGCTTCTGCATAGAGGCCCTTTATATTTCCTTTTCATCTCTCAAATTCCAGACCAAATATTATACCACTTGACTAGTTTTCCCTGACATGTTCAGTTTTATAGTGGTCTCCTTATTATACACCTGTTATACCTCTTAGCATATTGCCTTATAGTTATACTAGCAATATAAGAAATGAGCTTTACATTTTTCTAGTTCATAATAAACTCTGAATAAATATATATTTGAGAGAAGAAAAAGACAGAGAGATTTCTGTGTTTCTTTCTTTACCTAAACTCTTAGTTCCTTTAGGAAAGAACAAGGGTTTTTTTAAAATTTTTATTTTCATGGTTCTATTCTATTGTCCAGCAGAGTACACCTGTTTGTTGTATAGATTTGTTGAAAATTAAAGAAAAATTTAAAAAACTATACCTTCATCTTTGTACTACATTTAAGAAGCTTGTGTTATTCACCACTTTCTTGATGGTAAAGCAAAAATACACCCAGAGTATCTATACTTCGCTTCTTCTAATTCTTCAATAATATTTAGATATTTAGAGCTTTTATGTTATCCCAAAATGGCTACTTCCTTGAATCATAAATGTGGATACTTGTCTGTTGCAAAATAAAGATTAAAATTATAATAATCTCTAAGGAAAGCCTTCATCTACAAAGCCTTGCCATGTACACTCTAGAGCATTTTGAAAATGTGTTCTCCCTTTGGTTAGAGAAATTGTGATCTCTACATCTAAATATGTCATTATTATTTAGCAGAGAGAAAAACTTGCCACAGATAGTGCCACAAGTAGTGATTACCAGTAAATAAGACTTTTTATTTAAACTCTTAAAAATATTTGTAAAGGTTTAATAAAAGTTTTAAAAAAATTAAAAAGATGGTGTCCAAATGGAAATAATCCATACTATCTATGGAAATAGCAGCAAGATTTAAGAAGCAGTTAAATGTTTAAGGTTTTGATTATTTTGTAACAAATCTGAATTAGTATTTAAAGAATTGTATACTATATGCCTACTTCAGTATTTGGTATGTTTTCTTACCCTACTCTTGGTGAATGTGGTCATTATTTCATAAATATTTATATATTTTCAAAGAGGAGTTTTTAAGATCTCATTCTTTAAAACACTGAAAACTTAAAAAAAAATAAAGGCAGACCAAGACAGCCAGGAAAAATGACAAATCCTTGCTATAGGGATGTTCTGTAAAGTGTGTTGGATGTGCAGATTTGTACTTACTACTATTAGCACAGCACCACTACTATGACTACTAATGTCAATAATGATGATAACTCCTTTTATTTTTATAGACTTTTCCATATTTCAGAACTTTTGCTTCCCTTTTTTTGATTCTCAAAATAATCATGCCAATTACGAAATTTTTTCTAAGGAAAAAGTTCAAAGGTAGCAAATATCACATGTAGAAAGATATTTATCCCTGTATTATCTATAATGATGAGAAATCAAAATATGAATACCAGGCTTTATCAGAGTGGTTCAATAAATATAGTAAATACATACACTACACAGTTAAAATATAAATACGAAGTCTATTTATCAGAAAGGAAAAATCCTTGTGTTATTCTATTAGGTGAAAACAAGAAGAATATAAAATTATATTCATATTACTGTTACAACTATGGAAACATTTCTGTGTATTTGGATGAAGCCTCAATGGTGACATGATAAAATGTAAAGTTTTTTAGGATAGCATGGCATAGCATAGCCCAAAATGTTTGAGTTATTTTAGATTTTCAGTGACACTGGTGTTGTTCATTATGCCATATATGTGTTTAGTATTTTTAAATAAAACTAAAAATGTGTATTCTTAAAATAATAAAATATTTGTCAAATGCATGTATTACATAAAACAATGGATTTACAACAGGGAAAGACTATTTACAAAAAAGTGATTATAGGTTCCTTTTCAATAGATGTGGTTTTCACCCTATCTACCTCACCCCTTGTGCATCTGGATCACCAGGGGTGATTTCAAAGAATACTACTGCGCAGGCTGTACCCCGAGAGATGAGTTTTCAGCGGGTCTGGGTTAGGGCCCAGGTATTGGTTTGTTTTTGTTTTTTTAATTTCTCCAGATAATTCTGTTGTGCAGCTTGGGTTGAACATCACAAAAACAGTTATAAATAAGTGAAATTTTATCTTTTCAGATATTAAATTCCCAGAATTTTCATCCCTAGTGTAAGGCTTTTAAGAATAAGAATGCTATGTAAGACTGGTCTAATTTAAAAAATCATAAGTACAAAGTATCTTTACGCAATCAGAATGGTAAAGATTCTTAACTATTGTTTTTATTCATTGTCAAAAATAATGATAAATAGAGTATTGGTGAGAGAAATGAGCACTGTCTTCCACTGCTTATAGGAATGTAAAAACTTCACAGGAGGGTAGTTTGACAATATGTATTCAAAGCTTCTAAAATATGTAAACCCTTTTGTCCCTGGAATTTCACTTTTAAGAATTTATCCTTAGAAAATAATTAGGTGAACTGGCAAAGAAGTGTTAATAAGAATAATTGTCATAGCGTTGCTTACAATAGTAAAAGATTGGAAATAATAAAAAAACTCATGACTGTGGATTGATTAAAGTACAGTATATCATACATGATACTAATAAAATGGTTCTGTAGCTATATATAAGCTAACATGGAATGATAATCACAATATATTGATAAATAAAAAAGCTACAAAATAACATTATAGCATGATTCTATTTTTAAAAAATATATGTAACATATATATGCATATGTGTATATATATATGCATGCCTGCATATGTATAGACATGCAGGTAGAAAAAGCCCAGAAAGCTATAAACTAAAATGTTAATAGTTAATCTTCACAGGTACTTTTTATTTTCTGCCTTATATTTTTATGTGCATTCTACTTTTGTGGGTTTCTTTTCACTAAAAGGAAGTAGTAGTTTTATAAATAAAGACAAATAACTTTTTTAATGAAAAAAATTTTTAAAATAAAACTACTGCTTTTATCTACCCAATTGAATGAAGAACGTGGATTCTCCCATCTTCCCCTTTCACTTGTCTGCCTGTGAAAAACAAGCTATTTGATAGTCAGCAACAGCTATTTCTTTTTTTAAAACCCCCACCTCTCCTGCCACCACAACTCACCAGCTATTTCTCAATAAAACGTCTTCAATATATTTATTTTCAAAAGCATACATTCTAAACTTAAGTCCCATTAACAGATGTCAAGTGATCTGATTACAATTAATCTAGTTACAATCAATGAAGGTGCCATGGAACAAATAAATTTAAATTTATGTTAATGCATTTTTATGCCTAGTCTCACATAACATTCATGATTAATAACTGGGTTTTGTGTTTTTTTTTTTTTCATTTTAGGCGGTTCAGGACCATCATCCTCCATAGCCATAGCGGGCACCAACCACCCTGCCATCACAAAGACAACATCTGTTCTTCAAGATGGCGTCATAGTCACCACTGCAGCTGGAAACCCACTGCAGAGTCAGCTACCCATTGGGAGTGATTTTCCTTTTGTTGGCCAGGAGCACGCACTTCATTTTCCATCCAACAGCACTTCAAACAACCATCTTCCACACCCCTTGAACCCCAGCCTCCTCAGTTCTCTACCTATCTCTTTGCCAGTGAATCAACAGCATCTCCTAAACCAGAATCTATTAAATATCCTCCAGCCTTCAGCAGGAGAAGGCAAGTCTGAGATCAACCTCCACCCTTTAGGTTTTCTCAACCCGAATGTAAACGCTGCTTTAGCTTTTCTCTCCAGTGACATGGATGGGCAGGTATTGCAGCCTGTTCACTTTCAGCTCTTAGCAGCCTTGCTTCAGAACCAAGCCCAAGCAGCTGCCATGCTTCCCCTGCCATCTTTCAATCTGACCATCTCAGATCTTTTGCAACAGCAAAATACCCCTTTACCCTCATTAACACAGATGACAGCCCCACCAGACCATTTGCCAAGCAATCAGTCAGACAACAGCCGAGCTGAGACCCTTTTAACCAGCCCCCTGGGGAACCCTTTACCAAGCTTTGCAGGCAGTGACACTACTTTTAACCCCCTGTTCCTCCCAGCTGTCAATGGGGCCTCAGGATTAATGACCTTGAATCCCCAGCTGTTGGGAGGTGTCCTGAACTCGGCATCGGCCAACACCGCTAATCATCCAGAGGTTTCCATAGCAACCTCCTCCCAGGCAACCACTACCACAACCACTACATCATCAGCAGTGGCAGCACTGACTGTCTCAACACTTGGTGGGACAGCAGTGGTGTCAATGGCAGAAACATTGCTGAATATATCTAATAATGCTGGGAATACACCTGGTCCAGCTAAACTCAACAGTAACTCTGTGGTGCCACAGCTACTTAACCCTCTACTGGGGACAGGTCTACTTGGTAAGTTAAATTTTTTCACAAATTTTTTACAAAAGAAACGTTTTTCTAATTCTATTTTCTCCTTTTTAAAAACTCCATTTTGTCACACTATTTTTAAAAATGTTTTTGTTATGTCACAGCTTGCTTAAGGAACTAAATATAACAACACCCACACACAACCATAGTTATACAAACATGAGTGACTTTTTCCTCTTTCCCCTATTCTAGCAATACTAAATATCATTTTAATCTGCTTTCTCTTCTAATTCTGATGCCACCTAAACCTAACCTACCCATCACCTCTTAAACCAAGTAGAGTCTCATTTTTCAAATAATAAAGCACAGGTACATCTTAAAAATCACTTTTATTTGAATTTTAGTTGGTGTGGCATCACAGGGTTAGTATGAGCAGCTGCACTGTGGATGGAAACAGATTGAGAAAGTGTTTTCCAGGTGAACCCTAAATAAACAAAACTAAATGCTTGTCTAGCAAAACAAGAAACAAGATGTAAAAACACGCAAAGCTAAAGTTTTCCCAAGTTCAAGGGAACAGACAGCCCCTCTAGCTGCTACTAGATTTCCTCAGTCAGTATTAATTTTTTGACTTTTGTGGCTTAAAAATACAGTTTTTCATCTGTATTATCCTATCACAAAATAGTTCGAAAATAATGCCAGGTATATTTAACTGATGGATATAGGTAACTATAATATAAAGTGTGGGGATGGTGTCCATAAAGTCTAGAAACAGGGAAATGTACATCATGATGTCAATGGCATCTTCAAGGTGTAAAAAATTTGTTTATTATTTATGTGTTTTTGATTTTATGAATGCCTTTATAATATAGTATAATTAGTTCTATTTGGCATTGAAATCTTTGTAGTTAAATAAACTACGAAGCATTACAGATTTACATGTTTCAAGTTACAAGACAATTTCTATGACATTCTCCTCAAGAAAATGTCAGAGTAATTTCAAAATAATTTTGAATTTTGAATATAAATTTAATTATTAATCCTACTGATTATATAATATTTATTTTGAATGATTATGACAATGAATTCTTTTGTGTTGTTAGCTTTCTTTTCCATGTTAATTTTAGGTGACCAACCTTCTACTGCAAAACAAAATGCACGTTTCTAAACCAAATCGATGATTTGATTTGGTATCTATTGATGATTATGGCTTGAGAACTAAATTTTGTAAACAAGGCCTGATCAGGCTCACTTATTTTAATTATCTGGTCAGATACTTACAATTGCTAAAACATTATAGGACTAATTTCAACCTTTAATTTTAGGTGCTCTAAAATAGATCTAAAATCTAAAAATAGATGAAGGAATCATATGACACTGCAGCTCAATATATAAGGACTGCCTAATGAATAGAGCAAAGACTAAGTAGTCTTTCCATGATGTAAAATTAAAAAACTAATTATACAAGATAAAACTAAATAATAAAGCTACTCTTTCCTTACCACTTAGTAAGACTTTGAGAAGTAAAAAAGAAAAGCATTACCCAAGTAAGCATAGCACTTAGTTTCTGTTTCAGGAATTCTCGGGTACAAAGAGAGGCATCGAATCTCCGAAGAATCACATTTATTTATATTTTATGTTTTTCAAACTGTAGGTGATATGTCATCAATAAACAATACTTTGAGTAACCATCAACTGACTCATCTACAGTCGCTGTTAAACAACAATCAGATGTTTCCTCCAAATCAGCAACAGCAGCAACTTCTCCAGGGGTACCAGAATCTCCAGGCGTTCCAAGGACAGTCCACAATTCCTTGCCCAGCTAACAATAACCCCATGGCTTGTCTGTTTCAGAACTTTCAGGTACTCTCCTCTGCTGTGTCATTTTAGAAGAAAACAATGTCTGAGTTTGTTTAAATACTTAATTTGGGGGAAAGGGTGAAAAAAGTAGGTTACGTGCCCTTTCACCTCTATTTACTGTTATTTCTCAGTCATGAGTATTGTTAAACATTCCAGTCTTTTGTGTGAAGGTTTTCTTTTTTTAATTTTGTCTGAAGTATCTCAGCAGTTCTTTTGGAGCTGTTAGTAAAAACTGATCGTGTGACCCTCATAAGCCCTTTTGTCATTTATCATTGTTCTCATGACTGAGACTCACCTCCCTTGCATGCCCACCTGTCCACCCTCTCCAGCCTCAGCTCTCACCACTCTTCCCCTGGCTTCAGCCACATGGTATTTCTTTAGTTCCACAAAGTGAATAAATTCCTGCTAGGTTAAGGAGGTAGGTGGAAAGGGTAACACTAAATCCACATAGGGAGAAAATATGGGCTTTTTAAAAATAATCTTGGGGTAGAGAAGGCTCTTTCAGCATGACAGAAAACCAAGGCAGTCAAAAGGAAAAGTAACAAATTTGAATAGATAAAAATTTAAAATCTCTGTATGATCAAGCATATTCTAAACAAAGCTAAAGACAAATGACAACCTGGCAGAAAATATTTTCCTAATACATATTAAATAATTAACACCTACAACATAAAAAGAGCTCCTACAAATCAGGAAGAAAAAGGACAATTGATTAGAAAAAAATTAGCAATAGATATGAACAGACAATTCACAGAAATTGAAAGATAAAGTATTAAAAAACATGAAAATAACAATCAGAGTTACATAAATTATCACACTAATGTGTCCATCAGATTGATGATACCCACTGCTGACAAGGGTGCAGGGAAATAGATTCACTCAGATTACTGTTGGTCTGATTATATGCTGATACAGTCCTTTTGGAGGGTAATTTGATAGCATATCAGATTTTTTAAATATCTTTTGACCAGAAGCTCAGCTTCTGTGTATTAATATCTCATTTTAGAGAAATCTTCAAATGTGAACAAACAAGCACATATCAAAATGTTCAGTGCAATATAATTTGAGGTGTCAAAAATTATGAACCACTCCATCAGTAGGGAAATAGTTAAGTATATTATGGTACAGTATATCCATCTACCTGGTGGTTTAGAAAATTAGGTAGACTTACATAATCTGATATGGAAAGATCTGTAAGACTGCAAGACTCCAGTGCTATAGTATTGCAGAACAGTACTTTTAAATCTGGAAGCTGTAAATATAATCATACGCTAAAGGAAAGACCCAGAAAAGGGGAACATCTTTATGTTCAAGGGATAATAAATAAGGCAGGATTCCTGAGGAGGGGGTGTGGGATCCAGAATCTAGGACCATCCCATTTAGGTTGAAAGAAAGAAGGAGGGGAGCAAGGAAGGGAGGTAAGAATGATGCACTCCAGTGCTGGTTAGTTCTAAGAAAGGAAATAGGACTGGAGTTTAGGGTAAGAAACTGAGTTTCAGCGAGAAGTAATGATGAAGAAAACTTGTATCTTTATGATAATATATATATCTTCCATAGTAAAATAATTTAGAAAGGAAGAGGAAGTGCTCAACCGTGTCACTGAGAAAAAAGGTAAGATAAAGCCTGAAGAGAATCCATTAGATTTAGCAATTAGGACATCATCAGTGACTTAGTGGAATGCAGTTTTGCTGGAGTGGTGAGAGCAGGAGCCAGATGGCAAAATGGAGGAACAGTGAATAGGAGGTTAGGAATTAAAGAGTATAGATTAAAGAAGTAGATTTTAGCTGTTCTTGACACACACACACACACTACTATATGAGATGATAGGCTAATTTGTTTCACTCTAGTAACAACTTTACCATCTGTATACGTATTCCATAACATCATGGTGTTAACTTCAAATACACACAACAAAATTTATTTCTGAAAAAAACTTAACTTTGAAGAATGTAAGAGAAATAGGGCAGTGCCCCAGCAGGGGGTCGGGGGTAGGATGAATGCAAACTTTAAAATATGTAAGCCATGAACATAGTCATGTGCTATAGGAAAGACCCAGAAAAGTGGAAGAGATTGAACATAAAGAAGGGAAGGTATAATAAATAAGACAGGATCCTTGAGGAAGGGGCTTGGGATTCAGAACATAAGTGGAGGGCACACCCTCAGAGAGCAGAAGGGACCCCTCATGTGGGAAGCAGGACAGAATTTAGGACGGGTATAGTTGCAGAGAAGTCTGCTGCCAGGGGGCAGGGAGTATCAGAGTATAAGAAATTGTGAGAATTCTTGCCTGATGGGCTTTATTTTCTCATTACGTAAGATCATCTACTAAGAATAGTCTCGGAGATGGTGAAGAAGTTGGTGAATATTTGAATAGTTGTGGAAATGATTGATAACTAACTAGAAGATCTAGGATTGATGGGCAGCAATAAGCCCTCAACTGAGGTTGGAAGCTACAAATTCCTATAGACAAATATCAGCATCCTCACTGTAGATGTAGATAAGGCAGGCAGTTGAATTGATCCAAGATTGGGATTTTGCCTGGTAAATGTAGACAGGGTGATAATAGCAAGAGAGAGGCTGATGTGTCGACAGATCCCAGGTTCTGGATTAGCAGGGAAGGATGTAAAGAAAGAGAGAGATCATTGTGGAAAAAAATCTGAAAGTTCAAAGTATCAAGGGTCTAGAGCAGTAATTCTTAGATGGTGCGGGGGTGGGGGGTGGGGGGTAAAATTAGAATTACCTTGGGCACTTTTTCAAACTGCCCTCATCCTTCCTATACTGGAATTCTGATATGCTCCCCTGGTAAGTATGCTCTCCTTCCACCACTTTCCAATTGAGAATCACTTCTGCAAACAGCCATTGTCACTATTGACAGCATGGGGATGTGGCCTGAAAAGGTTGAGGAGCAGGTATTACTACCCCATCTGAAAACTAGTGTCATGTTATTATTAAGAAAGGAGTTTATATGTTTTTTTAAAATTTTATATTGTATTTCACTTAGTTAAGTGGAAACATCAGTGAGTTAGAAATCATTTTCAAAATCTTTCTCCTTTGCTAATTTGATTACCTGTGACTTGACTCTTTTTGAATCCTAAATTGCAAAGACCTGTAATGACACTAAATAAATGGAGTCATCCCAACCTGAGTACGTTTTCTGTCCAGCCACTTCAAGTTTAATTTTTCTAGAGAATGTTTCGCAGTGATGATTTTTAAAAATCTGTTGAATGATTTTAATCAAAGAAACAGCATGCAAATATAATCAAGACATAAGCTTTCCTATACAAAGTGACTTTTTATTTCATTTTTTGAGTCTTGTTCTTTATATTTCCTTCCTTGTTAATATTTGTTTGTCTTTTGGTAAATTTTAAAATTATAGTCTTTCTCTTTGAGGCCTCAAAATTATTTCCCTTTCTCTCACTGCTTCCTGTCTATTTCTTCAAGGTGAGAATGCAGGAAGATGCAGCTCTCCTAAACAAAAGAATAAGCACTCAGCCTGGGCTCACAGCACTTCCTGAGAATCCAAACACTACACTTCCACCTTTTCAAGATACACCTTGTGAGTTGCAACCGAGGATTGACCCATCTCTTGGTCAACAGGTGAAGGATGGCCTCGTTGTGGGTGGCCCAGGTGATGCTTCCGTAGATGCCATTTACAAAGCAGTTGTCGATGCAGCCAGCAAAGGAATGCAGGTTGTCATCACCACTGCAGTCAACAGTACAACTCAGATCAGCCCCATTCCAGCTCTGAGTGCCATGAGTGCCTTCACTGCCTCAATTGGTGACCCATTAAATCTCTCCAGTGCTGTCAGTGCGGTCATTCATGGACGGAACATGGGAGGTGTTGATCATGATGGTAGGCTGAGGAATTCAAGAGGGGCTCGGCTGCCCAAGAATCTAGACCATGGGAAAAATGTGAACGAAGGAGATGGGTTTGAATATTTCAAGTCAGCAAGTTGCCACACATCCAAAAAACAGTGGGACGGGGAGCAAAGCCCCAGAGGGGAGCGAAACAGGTGGAAGTACGAGGAATTTTTAGATCATCCAGGCCATATCCACAGTAGTCCTTGTCATGAAAGGCCCAACAATGTCTCTACACTGCCATTTCTGCCTGGGGAACAGCACCCAATACTGTTACCACCAAGAAACTGTCCAGGGGATAAAATTCTAGAGGAAAATTTCAGGTATAATAACTACAAAAGAACTATGATGAGTTTTAAGGAGAGACTAGAGAACACTGTGGAAAGATGTGCACACATAAATGGGAATAGACCTCGACAGAGTCGGGGATTTGGAGAGCTGCTAAGCACTGCAAAGCAAGACCTGGTCCTAGAGGAGCAGTCTCCAAGTTCCTCAAATAGTTTGGAAAATTCTCTGGTCAAAGACTACATCCATTACAATGGAGACTTTAATGCCAAAAGCGTTAATGGGTGTGTGCCTAGCCCTTCAGATGCTAAAAGCATTAGTAGTGAAGATGACCTAAGGAACCCAGACTCCCCCTCTTCAAATGAATTGATACATTATAGACCAAGGACGTTCAATGTTGGCGACTTGGTCTGGGGCCAAATCAAAGGACTGACTTCCTGGCCTGGAAAATTAGTAAGAGAAGACGACGTTCACAATTCATGTCAACAAAGCCCCGAGGAAGGGAAGGTATACCAATCTTTATCCATTGTCAAATACTAACCTTTGTTCAGATATCAATTATTGCTTTTTGTTATCATCACTTTGGATTCTTTGGATTTGAAATTAGGATTCTTCATGACTCATTGAGGTCTCACAAGCTTCTGGAGCATAAAATGAAGAGGGGATGGTTATAGTCAACAAAATGTCGTATCAACAAGGGGTGAGTTGTAAAGCATTTATAGATCACACTAGGGCTCAGGGTGGCTGTAAGCCAGGAACCAGATTTCCAGAATTTAGTCAACTCTGCCTTCCCTCTCTACAGTTACCTAGTTCTTCATTTCATACACAGAGGAGGAAGGCAAGTGTCAATGACTGGGGAAAAAAATCTGGTAGCCTTTGGAGGTCCAGGAGTGTGGCAGGGGTAAGGACCCCCCAGGCAATGGTTGCGCCAGGGGACGGCATCTCCTCCATGTGCTTACATGTGGCACACACAGCTGGGAAGGGGGTACAGTCTGGGTGGAGTTGCAGCCATTTCTGGAAGCAGCAGGTAAAGTCTGAGTTCAGAATGATGTCTCCTTTCAGGAAAAGTTCTGGGCCTTTAAAACATATGGAAATGTTTAACCTCATAGTCTGGTTCTACTTAACACAATTAGATCACATAAATTAAATGAAAGCTTCTCCATGAAACTACCGTTCAATTTAAAAGAAATTAGTAGGGGTCTTCTGGGCCTTTTTTTTTTTTTTTTTCGGCCTTTACAATAATGGTGGAATTGGCTCACTAGGCAAGAAATATGCAGAGTGTTTAAAGTAGATAGAAAAATTTATATCTGACCAGGAGGAGATAATTATGCACATTCCCCCATATGATTAAAAACGTATAATTTTTCATCTTCTTAGGTAATAAAAATTACTCTTACAGGTATATGTTATTCTCGTAAAGAGTGTATTGTATAAAGCAATTTCAACTGTGCTCAAACTTTCACTGGCACTTAGGTTTAATGACAGGAAACCAAAAGCATTTTTGCCAGCACAATAAAGGGATTGTCTTTCTCCAAATGACTAGGAGGTCCTAAAACCTTGCTCATAATGCCTAATATATACTTGTCAGGATACACTCTGGCCATAATGTTTGTACATTTGATAAGAAAATGAATTCCATACCCCTATTCACAAAATATTTTATTCTCTATACTCTCTGAGTTCAGACAAACATTCTTTAGGTTGAAAAACCTAAATATTTTTGACAGTTTATTCAAGAAATAATTAGAAACAGAAAAAGTGGGCTTTTATGATATAAATGGAACTGCTACAAATACAAGATGTAGACATTGAACTGTTTTACAATGTCTGTGCAAACGAACTAAGTCTTTTTTATGTGCCATTTTACCAAAAGCTTAACTAAAAAAAAAGATTATGGCCTCCCTTCCCTGGAAGCATTCTCCCTGTCCTAAATGCCTTGTCTAAATATCTTTTTATGCCCTTAGGAGAATAAAGGCATGTACTTTTAACACATTTCACATTAAACAATGGTCTAGATCTTCTGATTAATCTGTGCTCGAAAACTCCTGAGACTGAGGTATTCACTGATGTTAGGGGAGATGTACTTTAAAAAAAAAAAACGAAGAGAAAAATATTTTTCTTCACTTAAATAAGCAAAGTAGTATGTAGTATTCATTCCACTATAAAGTAATATTTTTAAAATCCAGATTCTTCTTCCTTAATTTTGGCAATAGATGAATTATAATAGGAAACATAAAACTGTTGCTGTAAATTCATATATTCCTCCTCTCACTGGCTGACCTTGTCATTTTGGATTCTCAAGTAAAAACCTTTATATCAAGATATACTATATACTAAAAGTATTTTTAGTAATTCAGAGAATTTAATTTAAAGCACACATTTAGAGGTGAAAAACTGAAAACATGTAATAAAATATTAATGATAATACATGAAACATTTATCTATCATTTAAAAAGCAAGGTATAACAGCCTTAGAAGTGCTAAGGACTCAGCATTTTTAAAAACCTGTTCCTTTCAGGACCTACCACACTTTTGCACATAAGTAAACTAAGTACTACTTCATAAACATTCTTTTTTCCTCTATACAACACAAAACAAGACTTCCTAATACCTTATTTAGTGATGCTCCGTGAGTCAAAGTTCTCATTTTACAACACCAGAAAAGGTAAAAATTCAAACAGAGGTCTGTCTGACTTCAAGCCAAGTGTCTGATATATTAATGGCCCTAGTTCAGGAAGAAAAAGTAAAACTATGTTCAATATCTGTATAAGACAAAACGTGATGTATTTCAGAGAGATATCTAGTAGAACACTTTTTAAAATTTGTTACTCATTCAGGTGAACCAATTTTGATGTAATTTTATTTATGTAGAACTCCTTAATGCCCAAGAATGTTGGATAAAGCCTTACACACTAATAACTGGACTTCTGCTTCTAGAAAGGTAAGCATTGCCTTAGTTTACCTTCTGTACACTATGGCAATGCCTGACATTTTTAGAAAGTCTAAAGCAGAAAGGCAGAGACTAGGTCCAAATCTGTTTATTATAGTAAAACTTTTCTCATTCCGCCTTGCTAATGTGCAATGTGGGATCATTTTCCATAGTGTTTATCTTTGTAGCGTCTAGGAAGAAAAAAATTGCCAAACAATTTTCCTACATTATCACTTTAAACTTTCTTAGCTTCTCAGCTTTCATACTATTTCTATGTCCACCAAAGAATCCAAGATTCTGTCAGATCCCACCAGATAAAAATCTACGTTAACACAAGTTTTAGAATAGATTTATTACCCCTGACTCCACCCTACAACATATCATTTATTATTTTCAGTTACAGGCTTTGTTCTCAGCAAGCCACTCCAAATTCTTTATGGAAGCAGGCAAAATAGAAAATAAAGATAATTAATTGACAGGATAGAAGATTACTATTTCAAAACAAGCTGGGTGCCTCTCCTATTTTTAGGTTGCGTGAATGGTCTCTGGTCTAAGGAAGTCAATGCTGTGTGATCAGAGCACTGATAATTGCCAAGGGCTGAGACCTCCCCATTGTCAATACATTAATATTTTAGCAGACACTGTTGGTCATAATAGTAACTGACTTGGTCAGCTTATGATCTTAGAAAGGCCTTTTTGGTCTTTGGTGGGATAGTAAATGTAGCAGATTATTGATATGCATTAGTCATGTTCTGTAGTTTCTGAGATGATTTCCTAAAAGGTATGGTTTTTAGACATCGAATACTGTATAAACACAGTCTGCAGAGAACTAGAAAAAAAGCAGGGTGTAGCATAAAGAGGCATGGGTTTTGGGCACTCTGATGTGAGCCTAATCTTAGCTCTGCCAGTTACCTAAGTGGTCATAGTAGGTATATTAATCTCCTAGAAGCTGCAGGCTACTCACCCCTTTCAAGTGAGAATATTAATTTCTATTCAAAGAGATGCCTTAAGAATTCAGTGAAATACTGTAGATTATTATCTAGCACATCAAAGAGGTTCAGTAAACATTAACCTCCTATCCTCTGCCCTTTATGTTAGACAGTCTTATTAATTTAGATTCCACCATTATGGAATTGTGGTAATTTGACCTTAGTTATTGTTTACCTCTGCATTGTCCATGTATAAAGGATTTATTAACCAGGTTGAGAGTAAAGGATTATAAGGATTACAGTCAATGAATGAAATAGTTCATAACTATGTTTACAGCACATGTACAAATTGGCATATCTGATTATAAGCTAGTGTTAGCTGTTAATTTCAAGCAGGAGTTCCACTTGAAAGCGTTTTAAAGCACTCAGTTTGTTGAGTGAACTTGAAAGTTCCTCTTTCCTCAATGTTTCTAAAAAAAAACAACTCAGACTTTCTTCCTCTACCTTCCCACATAACTCTCTTTCACACGTAAAACAATATTAATTAGTGGAGATTTTTAACAGCCTGTGAAAAGTTGGGATGAATTGCCTGTATGTATTACTTTCCTAAGATTGAAGCTATGTGACAGCATTGGAGGACATTATGTGCCTTGTATTATACCACTCAGGAAGTGCTATCTCCTTCCTAATGTGTTTTTTCCCTTGGTTAACAATTTGTAATAAAGTACATTCTGGGCCGGGCGCGGTGGCTCACGCCTGTAATCCCAGCACTTTGGGAGGCCGAGGCGGGCAGATCACGAGGTCAGGAGATCCAGACCATCCTGGCTGACACGGTGAAACCCCGTCTCTACTAAAAAATACAAAAGAATTAGCCGGGGGTGGTGGCGGGTGCCTGTAGTCCCAGCTACTGCGGAGGCTGAGGCAGGAAAATGCCGTGAACCCGGGAGGTGGAGCTCGCAGTTAGCCGAGATCGCGCCACTGCACTCCAGCCTGGGCGACAGAGCGAGGCTCTGTCTCAAATAAAAAAAATAAAATAAATAAAAAAAATTGAAGTACACTCTGGGAGATAGTTATACTTGTTCTAAATAACTGGTGCAAGTTTCTTTCTGAACCATGAACCCTTTACTGTTCGTGGCTCAGTGACCAGGAATAAGACCTCAGTGCTGTGCTCCAGTGCATAGCCAGAACCAGACAGATTCACTTCCAGATCTTGGCGTAATGTTAGGGAATTCTTGGGAAGAAAATGGCTACCTCTGACATTACACCTCTATGCCTTAATTTGCAAACATTTTTAAGCCTATGCAACAATGGAGGAAATGGTTATCTTTATGTACCTATTTCAATAACTATTTAAATTTAAAGAAAATGCTCTTGTTTTCTAAAATATATTTTATAATTGTCATCTGTCATCTTTAATTTTATGTTAACTAGCTTAAAAGGGTTGCCTCTCAAGCAGTAATAATCAAAAACTAAAATTTTTATTTTTTTCTGCATAGATCATTTTTACTTTTTGAGCATCCTCCCATTGGTCTTCATATATCATTGCTCTTACATTTAATGTATATTCTGACCCAAGCCAAATTTAAGAAATAATTTATTACTAGACTGGCACCAAAAGGTTTCTTTTCAAAGAAATGACTGTTCTTGGACAGATACAGAGACACCTGATTACCAAAAAAAGGTCTACATCTCTGTTCTACACTACCTGGTTAAATGAAGACATTATTTTCAAAGCATAAGTGGGTAGGGTGTTCCCTCTTCAAAACTGCTCTTTGACTTTTTTCCATACAGTTATTTCTGGCAAGTAGAGATAAAAACAGCTCTCTGAATAGTCGTTCAAAACCAACAAAACTTATCTTTATTAAAACTCATAACCAAATCTATTGGGGGGCAATACATTTTCTGTATGTCAGTTCAGCATCACACACACATGTGTTTTGACAGCATGGAGCATAACCAGAGACAACTTACCTTGCATTCTGGGGGTGTGTAACTTAAGAAGTTGAGCCCCAGGAACTAACTTTGGGAGGTGCGTCCTCCTGTGATGTTCAGACATTTTACTTTGAAGAATGTTCTTTCTGTGTTTATCAGTGTTAGCTGTTTGTATTCTTTGGTACTATAATTCTCTGTTGAGAATGTTCTTGGTGTATTCACTTTGCCTTATACATTTTCTTAACCGCTGTTGGAAATGAATCCTTTTCTCTCTACCATAGCATCCACAATACTTGGGTTGCATTTTGGTTGGTGGTGTGACAGAGGCAATCAATGCCCTGTCAGCACCAGAATCTCCTTGAAAGGGAGCAAAATAGTTTTTCAAAAGTAATAAGAAAGATAAAATCCAGGCCAATAAAGTCAATTCCTGATCAGAATTTGAAAGATAATAAAAATGAAGAACTAGCAAAGACCAAAAATGTGAATATAAAGAAAAAAACTAAGCTGAGTAAAAGAACTGTAAACTTTACTATAGTGAACTGTGAAATATTGTGAACTTTTTTCCTGAGCCAGATTAAAGAGGACTAGGAGGCCTATCTTCATTCGCATAGGTAACTGAGCCCAACACAGACTACATGAGCTTGTTCATATAATTTCAGATAGGAAGCAGGAAATAGATTCTCAGGTCTGAGGCAACTACTTGCTTCTGTTACATGAACTTTTAAACATTGTTTCCTTAGAAATTACAAGTTTATCTGAAACATTTAATTCTATCTATGTGTTGTGGATTGATATGCAAATTGTAGTCACATTTAGAATGGATTTACCCCCGTCCTGTAATGTACTTCCCCAGTGCTTAAAAACACTGCTATCCAAAGTGAAGAAGAAAGGAAGCACCGAAAAAGGCCTCAGATAATGCCACTAAATTGTGATAAAGAGAATTTGGTTAGTTCATTTGAAAAAAATTGGGATTCATTTAAAGGAATGATTAGTACTCTGCCATGAGAACTATTGTACTATTGTTGGAAAACAATTAGGTTCATCCTGTCACAGGTGAATCAACTTTTTACTCTAAATTATTTATCATTTAATATTAATTCCCAGTCTTTAAAAAATATTGAAATATTGCACTTAAGTTAGCAGAAATTTTTTCAGTTTGAAGATGTTATTTTAAAAACATATATATTATTTTTAATATTTACTATTTAATAAATGTTTGATAATGAACCTAATAAATGCCTCATATTTGCTTTCTACTTCAGAGCTATATTTCCCAGACTTCAGCTAAAGCTGCATATTACATATATTATTATTTACTTAAATTTTTTCTTTAAATTTATCACTTAATTGATTCATTCAATAAATATTTATTAGGCACAAATGTACTAGGCACTATTCAAGCCACTTTTTAGATTTAAACAACTTAAGTTTTATCCTAGGATATTGTATATGTAAAATCATAATATTACTTGTATTTTTCTAATGTAAACTTATATGAATAATATAACTATTAAAAATATGCAAAGGAGGCCAGGCACAGTGGCTCACACCTATGATCCCAGTGCTTTGGGAGTCTGGGGTCAGAGGATCACTTGAGGCCAGGAGTTCAAGACTAGCATGGGCAACATAATGAAACCCTATCTCTACAAAAAATTGTTAAAAATTAGCGAGCATGATGCTGTGCACCTGTGGTCCCAGCTACTTGGGAGGCTAAGGTAGGATGATCACTTGAGCCCATGAGGTCAAGGCTGCAGTGAGCATGCCAGGCATGGTGGTGCACCCCTATAATTCTAGCTACTTGGAAGACTGAGGTGGGAGGATCACTTGAGTTCTGGAATTCAAGGTTACAATGAGCTATGATCACACCACTGCACTCCAGCCTGGGTGACAGAGTGGAGACCTTGTCTCTAAAAAAAAAAAAAAAAACTAAAAAAGAATATTTAAAGGTTTGTCCATGTTTTACCTAAATAATTTTACATACCACCAGTGGCCCTTTGACTGCTTTGGTGTTCATAAAGCACCTTCATGTTCGTGGTCATTTTAGATCCTTTCAGTGACCCACAAAGATGTGCAGAATTATCCCCATTTTACAGATGGGAGAACTGAAGCTCAGAGAAGTGGCATCCCAAAGAATACAAATCACAGGTAGTTAAGCCAGGTCGCAACCCTGGTCTTCTATTCTATATGTAGCACTCCTTACATTATGCCATTCCCCAACAACAGGACTTTGTAGAAATGGAATGGGGAAGTAAAGACTGAAAAGGTGAGCTTGAGGTCAACTCTGTTATAAGATCGATGATGTGGCTAGTGCTCCATTATTCTTTGACGTTTGCACAACAGCTCTGCTTCAGCAATAAGGAGCACCAAAGAATTCACACAGAGAGGTGTTATCAAGATTAAAGCCTGCAGAAAATTTTAACATCATCTCCGGTTAACCAGCTCTATTTAAAAGTGATCTAGGATCATTGATCCAGGTTCTTCGTTTTTGTTTGTTTGGTTTTTGTTTTGTTTTTGAGATGGAGTCTCTCGGCTCACTGCAACCTCCAGCCTCCCATGTTCAAACAATTCTCCTGCCTCAGCCTCCTGAGTAGCTGGGATTACAGATGCCTGCCACCATGCCCAGCTATTTTTTGTATTTTTAGTAAAGACAGAGTTTTACCATGTTGGCCAGGCTGGTCTGGAACTCCTGACCTCATGATCCACCCGCCTCGACCTCCCAAAGTGCTGGGATTACAGGCGTGAGCCACCATCCCCAGTCAGATCCAGGTTCTTCAAATATGTATTATACCTCTCTTTCGAGGGTTGGTTTGGCTCTCTGAAAGGTTATGTCTTCTTTTGTCAGACTTTAAGTTTCTTCTGAGATACATGAGGTCCCACTGTGCTGACACCAAATCAAAAACTTAGTTAAATTATCAAATGTGTAATATGGGCCTTCTGAACAAAATAAGCAAATAAGCAACCAGAGATTCAGCCTTGTTCAGAAAAACTCTTAATCATCTACCACATAGTAATGTCTGGCTTTATGAATATGTTTCTATCCGCACTGAACAAACTATAAAACTATTTATGTTGAAGAATTATTATATCCAAACAATTTGAATGAAAGAAGAGTTTTTAATAGTCAAAAAGTATTGGTAGGGCACGGTGGCTCATGCCTTTAATCCTAGCACTTTTGGAGGCTACGGCAAGCAGATCGCTTGAGCCCAGGAGTTTGAGATCAGCTTGGGCAATATAATGAGAACCCTGTTTCTACAAAAAAATAAAAAATAAAAAAATTAGCTGGGCATTGTGGCACACAGCTGTGGTCCCAGCTACTAAGGAGACTGAGGTGGGAAGATTACTTGAAGCCCAGGAGGTCGAGGCTGCAGTGAGCCAAGGTCACGCCACTGCATTCTAGCCTGGCCAACAGAGCAAGACCCTGTTAAAAAAAATTAACATTTAACATATGTGTATATTTATACATGAATAAGTAAACTATGAATACATATAAATTCCAGGTAGCTTTATGATTCTTAAATGACATGAGTAAAGAGTTACACCATGATGGCCAGTACTATTAGCATCATTGCTATCAGCATGAAACTGTGTGGGTAGATGATGAGTAAAGATAAATGATAAAGCCCTCTCCTAAATTCTCACTAAGATAGAGTTAAATAATTCATGAAACTCCTGGCTTGTGATCGTACAAGAATACAAGATTATAATTATAGATAAAAGTATTATCTTAAATTAGTTGCTCCTTTAGTGTAAGTTTTATAAAAATATTTGTGTGTGTTTAACCTTTTTAATGTTACATTTATGTATTTGATTTCCTGGTCCTTTTTAAAATTTACAAGTTAGCTAAGTAATTTACAAGGGAGTGTTCATTAAACATGATTTCTATTTAACTAGAAATTGAATTTATTTTGTTGTTCTCTGATACCATTTTGGGCGGGGGTATCTTTAAAGTTTCTTGAATATTTTTCAAATGTATGAATATTTCCCCAGAAAAAACACACACTCTTCATATATATTTCACAACACAGTAAAGTGCTAAAATCCTGAAACAAACTAAACTTTCTTCTGAATATGTATGATCTTGTTATAGCAGAAATGCACAGTGATATATATCTTACTTACATTTAGTTTCAGGACTATATTTGCTTTCTTTTTCGAGGTCATTTAATCCTTTATAAATAATATAGTTCATTATAAGAGTATGTTAGAGGCTTAGAGGCAGATTTAAATGAAGAAACCATGGCAGAGTATTAGTTCAGAAAAAATATCCCTGGAAAATTATTCAAGCATAAAAAAATTGAATATAAATTTGGGCAAGTTGTCATCTAAATTTTGTAGAAATATAATTTTAAATAGTTTGACCTAAATTTTTGAGTGTGCCTGTGTGTGTGTATTTTATATATGTGTGTGTAATTTTATATATATAAATGCTATATATATATAAAATGACTACATTTCAATGTATATTGGAGTTGGTATGGTGGAGAGAAGTTGAGCACTTTGGAGTCAGACCTGAGTTTCAGTTCTGGTCACGTTATTTAAATGCACCGAGTCCCATCTGTAATAACATAAAAGTAATACTAGTTTGCAGTAGTATCATATTAAATGATAAAACAGTGCCTTTTACATAATAAATGCACAAGAAATGTTTTTACTGTCCCTTAGTCCATAATTAATTAAAAATAAAAATTGAAGACTTAAAAAAATAGTTCGACCTAACTTTGTTTTTTAAATTAAGACCAATGGGGTAAGTTTTAATTGCTGTGTCTTGCTTTGTTTCACTGTGACTCTGATTCTGTGACCTGATCAACCCCTTCTGAGGTCCCTCGCTACACCAGTTTAAGTCTAATAGAAGTTTATGTTATATAGCACAGCTCCTTTCCTGCTGCCAAGAAGCTTATTTAAATATAAGTGGAATCATTTATTGATTACAAAAATGAAATATGCAAAGCATCTTTCATATCCCCTTCATGTGAGTGAATACAAGATGGAGGCTCATTTCTAACATGAAATATGAAAGTGCTTCCAGGCATCTTTTTTTTTAAACAACACATGGATACATTTAGCTCACTTTAGCTTTTCCAGTGGTCCCAGTAACCCAATAGGACACTTTTCTTTATGTGAAGTGTTATTGGAACAAAGTTGTCTCTTGTGCTGGCACACAGTGAGTTGGGTATGTATGAGCTTGTGTGTATAAGACATTTGTTTGGGCAAAATACAAAAACATGAAAAGGAAAACAAACATTTCCATATTTGACTGTTTTTCTCATTGAATATTAGAAATGCTTGTTTTCAGACTTAATAATGAAAACTTCTTGTTAATCATAACTGTGTTCTAGATTTGAAGGGGTCATAGAGAAGTTATTTCTAAAGGACATTCATGAGTCAATGTTGGGGACACAAAGACAAAAGTTGATAATCATTTCCTTGCTTATTAGTGTTTATTTTCTTACCCATGAGGCATTTTGTTTAACTCTGTATTTTTATGTAACAGTGGATTGGAGGGGAGTAGCAGGGGTTGGAGGAGAAATGGGAGTAAAGTGGCTGGCTTTTGCCCCAACTGAATAGCTGAGTTACTTGCCTTGAAACTATGCTTACATACCAAACAACACTATTTTTACTTAGATTGTGTGTGTGTGTGTTTACAGAATAAAAATAGCCATGTTTTTCTAAAAGTGCTTTTATTCCCAAGTCACATACAAGTTTTCCTAATTATTGTTTTTATTGTGGGGAGGTGGCTTCAAGAACCATGATAGAGATTCTCAGGAGTGTGCAGCAAAGGTTGCACCCTCCACACACACACATATCCCCCCACCACACTTGGTGGCTGACCTCTGTTGACATAGCTGACCACACACAGACTGGCAGTGATAAAGCAAGACAAGACAAAGGACACACCCACAAGGCATAGCAACACCCTCTTCTCACGTTTTATGGCCTCTGCAGAGCCAAATGTGTACTAGGTCATGATCATTACTGTATGCTAGGATAAGTGTTCAACAAGACTTGTCACATTTTAATTTTCACAGCAGTTCTAGCAGGAAGGTAGGTATTATTGTCCTCATTTTACAGAGGAGACTGAGGCTCAGAAAATGTGTTTTACTCCTACTAGGAAGTGAAAAGTAGGATTCAAACTTTGATCTGTTGGCCCAAGGCCCACCCACTTCACTAACTACCTCTCTTGTCTTCCCCTGATACTTATATCACAGTAGTCTGATACTACAGATTTGCAGTTGCTAAGAAAGTGAACCAGGATCTCTGATTTTTATGATTTTGTGAATTGAAGGTTGTTTAAATTCCAGATTTTATTCCCAAAATATTATTTTCAAAATGTTGACAATTTTAAAGCCAAACAGCTTTTCACTTCCACTGATGCTGCAGCCTGGAGCCACAGAATCAACCTCTAATGATTGAGTGAGGACAGAAGATTTGACAAGGTAGTGAAGGTTAAGGCTCCCCTCCCCGCCAGTGCAGCACCTGCTTGTACGGCAGGAAAGTAAAAACCGTGTTTAACAATTACAGGTCTGGGTAATGTGGTTTGGTCTTCATACCTTCACTCAGGTGGAGCCCGAGAAGTTGAAGACACTAACAGAAGGTTTGGAAGCCTACAGCCGTGTCCGGAAAAGGAACAGAAAGTAAGCACTTTTCCAAAATTTTACTTTGTTTTTCCAGGATATAATTTACTGTTTTTCCATCAAAGGGACAATGAAATCTCACTGATTCTGTCCACGCTGTGGCCTGCCTAAGTGAAGTTTGTTACCACCAAAGAGGACCATTATAGACAAGCCAAATTAGTGATTATGGAAAATATCCTCTTAACATTTTATGTTTACACTATGTGTAATATTTGCCTCTTCATCTGTTCTTTCTTCATTCCCTGCATCTTCATTCCTCTCATTTAGTGGAAAATAAAATATAATTAATATTCTCAACATATAGCAATTAAATAGGCTCTGGAAGTGTAGTGAATCAATCCATTTGCAATTCAAATACTTTGGGGAGTAAATACCCCTCGTTGTACACATGTAAATAATTTTGGCAGATTACTAGTCAAAGTGATGCTAAATAAAGATTTTTTTTGTTGCATCAGGGATGTGGACTTAAAAGTAAGTTTTCTTTGGAATTACAACAAGAAGTTGAATTTCAGGCCAGTATTATTCAAGTTTTTCTAAATCTTTATTTTCTGAGTAAATGTAGTACGGACAAGCAGATAATATTAGAAACATAGTTTTTACTGTGATACAATGTATGTTTATGTATCATAACTATTATTTCATATTAAGGTAGAAAACTACAAATGTGCTTCTCTATATGTACATAGCTATTTAAACATATGTAATTGATATGCCTGTTCAGTTGCCATACTAATTTCTGCATTATCAAGCAACCAAAAATTATATATTAGTTAATTTTTATTCATTTGCAAAATGATCCTCACATTTCCCCCCAAATATTGACACATAGGCTTAATGTGTATATGTATTGTCGTCTTTCTAAAAATACCATTTTAACTTCTGTTTGTACATCAAGACTTACAAAGTGGAGATCAGAATGATTCGTAGTGTATCTTGCATAGAAGGCTTATATAATGATATCAGTAATATCTATTAAAAAGCATTCTCTTTCACTTTATGGTGTTTCCCATAATTCTGGCCAGAGGCATAATTTTAGAAGTCAACAAATCTTAGGAAGACTCTTCACCTCAATAAAAGGTATCTGAAAAGATGACAGCTGCAAGGGGCAAACTCCTATGTCTCTATGTCCCGGACTCCTTTAAAAGGTAGCAAATTGGTACTGGCTGTGTGAAAGGCCAAGTTAATTGCCGGATAACATCCCTCTAGACCTGATAAGGAAAACAGGGATCAAGGTCCCTTCTACTCTTACTGAAGCACACTTGCTATGCAGAGCTTAGCAACAAGATAAGGCCACTAAAATTAATACAAGGTCTGGATAAAAGAAGGAAAATTGCAAATTACCTACACCACAAATTTGCAGTGGGCCAGTTGCTGTAAACTATTCAACAGTACCCATTTCTTTGGTGTAAAGGAGCCCTGAAAATGTTTCCTACAGTGAAACATGCCAGTTACTTGGATTATGTACAAAATAAAGTTAATAACAGAAATAAAATAACTCCTCCAAATATTCAAATACACTGCCTTGAAATGAGCTGTATTTTCCCCATGTATTTGCTATTAAGCAATTTCTGAAAGGTAATGAAAAACAAACTACAATTTTAAAAATGTTTCTTCAAAGCCAATTTCCTATTTGTAGTAAATTAATGTGAGAGCTATCTAAAGGAATTCTCCTCATGATAACCATAAACTTAAAGTACAGTTTGGAGAAGTAAAAGTAGAAAATACAAAACTAACATTTATAAAAAGAACTTTATTTACCATACTATTGTCTAAGCAGACAGACTTTCCTTTTCGATGCCCAGTAGAATGCTTTACATTTTGCACATGTAATTGCAAATTCATCATTTTATTCTCCCAGTCACGAGATGGGTCAAAATTACTGAGCCATTTGCAGATGCGGACACTCAGACTCAAACACTTTAAATAATTAGTTGAAAGTCCCACAACTGATAAATTATATGTTGAACCAAATCATTTTTTAATTTATGCATTTATTCCCAATTTAAGAAGACAAATTTAGCAAAAAAAATCTGTGCCAGGAACAGTGCTACAGTCCCTGAAGCTCACTGTTTAGTGAAAGAGACAGATGCAGAAACAAGTAATTCAAATGTCAAAATTGCAACAACAGCAATATATATACTATATTTTTGGGTCACAGGGAAAAGGCAGGTAAAGGAAGGGTTCCTAGAGGAGAAGATATGTGGGCCAAGCCTTAAACACTACATAGGCATCAGCCACACAAAGGAAACAAAGACGAAGATGGGGTGGGATAGTGTTTAGATGAGAGCAGCAGTTGGATTTGGGGGACTGTAAAGTATCGGATGGGAAGATATAAGAGGTATAAGCGGGAACCAGATCATGAAGGGCCTAGTAAGGACCAATAGGATGTTTTATTGTTTTGGAAGTGCCTAAAGGGGGCAGGTGGTCAGATTTTTCACCTTAGGTATGGCCGTGTACAAGGACAATTTTAAGGCAACAATATTGAAGATGAAGAGATTGTTCAGGAGCCATGGCAGAATACAAGGGAGAACGAGGACCCAAACCAGGAGCTGGTGGAGTTGGGGATGAGGATGGAAAAGAAGGAATGTGGTCAAGAAATACTTAGGAGGTAAAATAGACAGAACATGGGGTGATTGATCAGAATGTAAAGGAAAGGGAACAAAATCAAGGACAGCTCTCAGGTTTTCAGCTTGGGAGACTTGGTAGGTTGTAGAAACACTGACTGAAGTGGAGGTTACAGGGGGAAGCTGTTCAGTACAGTTTGGGGTGCCTGTAGGATAGGCTGGACATACGTGTCTGAAACTGGGGAGAAGTGGTATTTGACAGTATACAAATGACTGCAGTCACACAAAGATACTTTGACCAATTTGAAGAATAGTAGGCTAAGGATTGAACATGCAATAGAATGAAGAAGATGGGAAGAATGGTCAGTGAGGAGGAGGAGAATCAGGGAAAGTAGACAGAGTCTCAGAAGTCAAAGACTGATAAAATGATCAACAGAGGTGCAGTAAGACAAGAACTGAAAAATCCCCATCAGATTGGGCAATTTGAAGGTCACTGGTAAACTTCAGTGAGAACAGTTTCCAGTAGAGTGATGGGTATACACACAAAATGGCTATTAAATAAGAATAAGGAAATAGGGAGAGGAGATGTAGATTATTTACTCTTCTTTCTACCCATAATGTGAAAAATTCCTGAAAAATAACGAAGAAAGAATTTTTAAAATGACAAAGATTTGACTACTTTTGTAGACTGAGGGGAAGAAGAAAAGAGGAAAAGGCTGAAAAAGGAAGGTGTCATTTGGAGCAAGATAATTAAGAGGTTGGTTTTTCACCTGGACTCAAGTCCTGTTTCTACCACTTCATAGCTGTGTGTTCGTAATCTCCCTGGGCCTAAATTCTTCATTTCTAAAATGGGCATAATCCTATTTTAGGATTGTTATAACATAGATAATATAGAGAGAGCCTCAGCACAGTACTTGGCACATGGCATTTAGTAAATAGCTATTTTTCTTATAAAGATACAGGTGAAAGAAAGAAAATTATCTGTTATTTTTGCCAGTTGAAACATTCTACCACCATATTAGATGTTTGGTATTTTATATAGTCATTTTAATCCTCAGTATCCTCAATCAAACTGTACAACAAATAAATATCTTTAAACATATGTTCTAATTATATCCTAGTAGTAACATATTTATTTAATACATTACTTAGGGCAATTTTGTACTTAAAAGCAGAAATAGCTTTATTAAAGAAAAATTCCACAGCTTTTACATATGTTATAGTTTTCATTTAAGCGAGGAGCAAATCTTCTGTCTATATGTACGTATACATTTCTTGGGAAACCTGATTTTTTGTGAAGCTGGAAAACAATAAAGTGATTAAGTAAATCACATTTTCACTTTAAAACCAAGGAATGATACTTACCATGTTAAATTTCCTGAGATCTGCATACATTCCCCATGGATTCAGTTTCAGAGCTCAGGGTTTTTGACTTTTAGGTCTCACCCAAATTTGTTACATACTGTATGAAGTGAGTCACTTAAACTCTGAACTGACAGTGTAGAACAACTTGCAATTTCTCATTTCCCTTCTATTTCTTGTACTACTCATAGAGGTGTACCTGGCTTTTTAAAAAATTAGTGAAGATAAAGATAATGTGTGACAGTGTAGGCAATGAAGTTGAGAAGTGGCAATTATCTCCATTAATAATTAGAAATGTGATTATATGAACATCTATTACTTAATCAAGTAGGTTTTAGAGTGTCCATTAGTAAAAATGTTTATTATTAAATGTCAGCAGGGAATAGAAAATAGTAGAAGAAACTCCACAGGGAGGCCCTCTGGACTGAAAGACTGAATTTTGACTAATTGTTCATTTCTTGAATTCATAGAGCTTTTTCTTCCTCTTTTAAGTTCATTCTTCCCTGACCTGACCAGTAGCTGGTCTGCAGATATGACATCTGGGAGAGTCTCTCTTTACCTCTCAAATCTCATGATATATACAAATAATTTCATGCCCCACATCTATGTATTTATTTTCTCTTCCAAAAGTAGTCATTTCTCCCTCTATTAACTACTAAGTTGTGTTAAAGGTGAAACATTATACTAATTTAGCTTGAATTAATGCAAGGTGTTTACAAATATTTTAAATATCTTGAAGAATGAGATGACAAAACTCATGAAATTGTTTTTTCCAACAAGTAATGCTGAATCGTTTTTGTGCTTGAATGGTAATTGTTATTGCAATTTTTCATGGTTAGGTAAAAATCTTTTACCCATGACTATCACTTTTGAAAACTATAGTCAAATATCCATTTTCTTCATTACAAAATTAGAATTAATTTCACCAATTCTTAAAAAGTCATGAAGTATCACATACAAACAGTTGTCATAATACCTATTCCATCAAATTATTGTAAGGATTAAATGAGATAATGTATATAGAGTTTTAATACAATACTTGGGCCGGGCGCGGTGGCTCACGCCTGTAATCCCAGCACTTTGGGAGGCCGAGGCGGGCAGATCACGAGGTCAGGAGATCGAGACCATCCTGGCTAACACGGTGAAACCCCGTCTCTACTAAAAATACAAAAAATTAGCCGGGCGCGGTGGCGGGTGCCTGTAGTCCCAGCTACTCGAGGGGGCTGAGACAGGAGAATGGCGTGAACCCGGGAGGCGGAGCTTGCAGTGAGCCGAGACTGCGCCACTGCACTCCAGCCTGGGCGACAGAGCAAGACTCCGTCTCAAAAAAAAAAAAAAAAAATTCTTGGCACATAGACATTTTTTAATAAATAACAGGTATTTCTTTTACTAAGATTAAATGTGAGAGAACCAAGGTTCTCTGGAGGTTTTTCATTAAAACATTGTAACTTCATTTTAAATATTTGGAACTTTATATAGTCAATTTTAAACTCCTAAGATATTTTAATCAAAATTTATAATAAATAAATGTCTTATAAAACTTGTTAATACGTCAAACTTATGTTCATACAAAAGAAATAGTGAGGATAAATTTATTTAACACATTACACACAGTGCGATATTGTCAGGCAACGTGGCAATGATAATACTGTCAGAACCCTTGCCAAGCAGCCTGCAAAAGGGGCCCCAGCCCAGCCTCAGCAAACCCTAGGTGGCCTTGCAGAGTGCTCCCAGGAGCTTGCTTGGCAGACACCTCATTAGGAAAACAACTGAGACTGACTCCATGAGATGACCAGGGCCCCTTGAAACTGGAATGGGTAGGTAAAAGGAAGACAGTACATACATAATAAAAAAACTTCTTATATACCAGTTAGAAGGAATGAATAGATTATACAAACTAGATGGTATTTAAAACAGTTATAAGGAGAAAAAAGAGAAGTATGTATATCATGACACCTTTTGTGTGTGTGTTTAAAAAAAAACACACATAAAACAATACTAGATTAAAGTATAAAAGCAGACTAAAAGTTGAGGGGGGAAGGTGAGGGAAAATGGGACCAGGATAGGTAACAGGGAACTCCAGCTTTATTTTTTTAATATAAAAGACTTAAAGGAATTTATTAACATTTCCTTCCAGCGGGGGAATATATTAGGTTTATTTTATCCTATGTACTCCTCTGCATTTTAAAATTTCTAAAAATAAATGACAAAAATATAAAAGCTAAAGACTAGCTTACAGGGCAGCAAAAGGTAGGGGTTGATGCCATATTCCCCTTATAATTTGGTTAAAACCAATACACTAATTTTTCCCTTCAGTTAAACTGACCTAAGTACGTATATATTTTTTGAAACATAGGACCATCTGGGCCACCTTTGACAAATATTTTTATTTAGCAAATACATAGAGCATCTATGGTATGTCTAGCACTATAGAACTCAGGGGTGGAAAACTCGGAGTTCTCAAAGTGTAGACAGAAACTCAATGTATGCATTGTCCAGTCCTGGTGTGTGAGGAAAAAACCTAGGGAAAGCTATGGTAAACTGAACTAAAGTTCAAAAATGTTTCAAAACACTATGCTAACCAAACTAAATACAACAGTAAGCCAAACTCTCCCACGACTGCAAATTTCCAGTCTCCATGGTAGATGCTAAGATAGGACTTAACTCATGGAAACCCATGCTAACCACCTGTTATGAAAACGTTACCTCCAGCAGCTTTTCTAGTAATTGTCATGACAGGGTAAATGAAAAGAATCACCTTAGCACTTGGAAAAAATGAGTAATTATTTATTGCATAAAGGAGGAAAAACAAGTTAACAGTCAGGATGGGCAAAGTGTACATAACCACAGAGGTGGGTAGCATGGATTTACCTGATTTTAGTTCAACAGCTTCATAGATCTAAGCTTCAAAAATGGCAGATGCACCGTGTGTGTTATTCGGGCCAAACATGTGTAATGGAATGCTAAGTGGAGAGAAAAGGTCAGAGAAGTGATAGGCACCCTGAGGCCGTCATTCTTTATCTGTTCAAATAGTTACCTCATTTTGGCTTTTGGCCCTGGGGGGCAGGCTCCGGAGCCTCAGGTGCGTCAGAGTTAAGCTGTTTCCCACCCCGGAACACGCACCGGCATTTCAGCCTTCACTTGCTCAACTCCAGAGCCAGGACGCTCCAGAGAGGACAGAGGGAGCTCCCTAGTGGCCAGAGCCTGCAGTTCAGCCCCTCCGCCCTTCCTCTGATCACACAGTCAGGCTGACTGAGAAAGAAACAAGAAGCAACACAGGGCCGGCTGGAGCCAGGGAGCATGAGGGGCGTCTCTGGGAGAGGGAACCCGTGGCCCAACTTTCTTCCCAAATCACCAGATTGTGGAAGAAGCATGTGGAAGAGGAAAAAGTCCATCTCCCCGCCCCACAATCTGTTCAACTTTTTTTAGTAGTTCTGTGACTTTAATCATTAGTATTCAGTGATAAGAATCCCAGAGTGATGTTTTGTCATCTGAATTTTCCAAACGCGAGTATAAATTGGCTTTCTCTCGTGGAATTGGTACTTTTGTTTTCTGATTAGGAAATTAAATTGAGTTTTGTTTCTTTAATTTTTTAATCTGGTGTGTTGTTTTCATTAATTCCAGAAGTGGAAAGCTAAATAACCATTTAGAAGCTGCTATTCATGAGGCCATGAGTGAACTGGACAAAATGTCTGGGACTGTAAGTTAATTTATTTTTCCATTATACTACGTTTCTTTGAAAATAAATTGTGTTACACTTTTTGGTAAAGTCTCTTGAGTATTGTCAAACAACTCACATAGCAATACTAAATTACTAGCCTAGAAAAAAAAGACAAATATTAGAAAAGATTCAAAGTCATTTAAGAAAAAGAAACCTACCACATTAACTATGTCTTTCTTCCTGAGATAAGTAATTTTGTTTTGCCACATAACGTTCGTTTAAAATATGAGCAGCAAAATATTGAAGTTCAAACCACAGCTTTCTGCACTTGACTCTGTGAATGGCCATGGCCATTACTGTTGCTTATATATGTAGTAATGCAAACTTTGTTCTGTCCATTGAACCAAAAAGACAGTGGGGTCAAGATCAAGAGTATATAGACCTCTCATATCCCATTTTTATTGAACTGTGCATATAATAGCATTGAGTGTGAGAAGTTTAATCGTTATGCTCCAGTTCACATATTGACTGATGTAAATACTTAAAATATAATTTTGGTAATCTGTTAAAAATGTGAATTGTCTAAGGCTATTTAGCATGAAAAATAATTTCTTTTATTTGACCTTATGTTACAAGGTTATCTGAATCCCAACAAACCATCCAATGACAATTGAATGATGGGATTAGTATAGGTTTTAGAGATTTTGTAATCCAACCAAACCATCATTTCGCAGATGGGTGAATTGAAGCCCTGAGACATTAAATTTCCTGATAAAATTATAGGAAAGATCTAGATTGGGGATTATAAACTCAAATGTTTTCTAGGGCCAGGCAAATTATATCAGTAAGTAAAGTGGGCCAGGTATGACAGCAGTTGGAATGGATGAGAAATGCCAGTGAAGATCCATGGGTTAGGGTAGGCTACCAATCTAGAGGCTCAGCACAGTATAAGCCATTACCCACTTGAGTCTGGTGCTGGTTGAGGAAGGGTTGCTCCACACCAGGGCACAGATTCTTTCTGTATCTAGTGACCACCTCTCTTAGGACCTCAGAGTGCTCCATTATATCCTTTGCATTTTGCCTTGAAGGTAAAAGAAAAGAGCGTGCTAAGAATACTGCCAGCATAGGTTTTATGAGCCAGACCTGGAAGCTCATTCTGTTGACTTTCCACTGACCTGACCTAATCATATGGCCTTCTTAACTCAAGTAGAATAGGAAATAGAACATAGAATGTGCCTGCCCAGGAAAAAGAGAAAATGAGTTTGGCCATCATCTCTCTAGGCTCTGCCTCGGGACATTTGGTCCTGGTGGAAATCAGGTAGTTGAGAGTAATAAGGATCAGGGCAACCTGGGAGTCATGTGCTCTCTCCAGAAGGCATTCCTTCCATGCTCCAGCAGATCTTAGACATCTGGGAAATTGTGTTCATGTTGCAAGATCTTTCCATTTTTCATATAAAACTAGAAGTCTAGAAGTAAATTTTCTCATTTTTATGGGTTGACAACTGTTTTAAAAAATATTAAAGTGCCATATGGCTAAACAAAATACCATTTCAGCCACATTTGGTCCACAGATTACTAGTTTGCAGTCTCAGTTATAAAAAGTTTCTTTCCTCAGTTATAAAAAGTTTTGGCTCTTTACTACAGAATAGTTGTTTTAAAAAATGTGTATGGAGAAGATTAGGAGGAATAGGCAGATTGAAAAACCCATAAACATTATTTAAAATTTTTAAATATTATTTTTTAAAAGCATTCTGCATTTGAGTCTGGATAGCATTGCCCTTTGCTGCTGTCTAAACATTATTTTTAAGCATGTAATTGAGCCAACTTGTAGTGGATCCGGAGAGGCGATTGTACTCATCTCTTCCTAATTCTAAGTCCTGTGACATAAGGTTGGCCAGGGTAAAAGTTTTACACCACAGAAACTGGCAAAATGCTAAAATGGACTTGTGTCGAAATGCTGATTAAGCATTTGCTACACCATTGCCTTGGGTTCATCCCTCCTCTCCTAGGTCTTGGACCTTGCTCCTTTCCACCAATAGCTACAAGACAATTTGATCACTCCCTCCTCCAAATTATACCTGCTATCTAATGCTGCTCAGCCACTGCTCAATCTGATGAACAGCACTAAATGTTGCTAGTTCCTGCATTAGCACATAAAGAAAGGTGAGTTGTATTAACTGCTCCTCCCAGACTACACAATTTCAGATCTGCCAACAGATGATAGTGGTATTCTCTTTTCCATTTTGATTCTTCTTATGAACAAACATCCTTGGGCTGAGCTATGTGTGCATGTTATTATAATTTGTGACCCTTCCTAGTCATTGTAAAATAAGTAGGGTAACAAAGTGAGGGAAAAAAAGGGGCATGTTTGGTGTGTAATTATTCATTCTTCCAGGCTGTAGTGAAATTGGTGATCTAGGGTCTCTGACAGGGAAGGCTTTATTTTTGTTTTAAATGGACAATGGGGGTAACAACTGCACATTGCATTTCCCATACTTGATTTTGTCCAGTTCATCCTTTGTTTTCCACTGTCTATTGGCACCCGCAGAGTGTTGCACTGCTTATCAGTTTCTAGCATTCTGCATTCTCTGTAGTGACTGTGGGCACACTGACATCTGGGGTCTTGGTAAACATTTGAAGTGCCTCAGGATATCAGTAATTGAAAGTGAAAGCCAGAGTCTATTCCCTACCCTGCTCCTTTGTCAGAAATTTTATGGTGTTTGTGATTTCATCCTCTGTTGTTGTTGTTTTTTTTCTACCTTTTTATTTCCAGGTACACCAAATCCCACAGGGTGACAGACAAATGAGACCCCCCAAACCCAAGAGGAGGAAGATCTCCAGATAACAGAGACTACTCCACTAATGCGCAGTGTTTATTAAAGGAACATGCACAGATGTATCTGTATATAGGTATTGATATAGCCACAGTTATATCAATATTTAGACTATGGCAGATAGCTACCACCACCACAGGGTGCTAAAAGAAACAGTGATACAAAATTTTTTTGATCAGGAAGGATAATGAATGCTGGAAAAGCCAATCAAAGTCTCTGTGTGATGAGAGTGATCAATGGTCAAGAGATTACTGAGAAACTCTTTTTCTATAATACTAAATTGTGATTATAAGAAATAGTCCAAATGTTTCTGAAGAATTTTCAATGTTGTATATAGAAAATACAGAATTTCATGGTGATATCAGAAATGTAAATATTGTACAGTATTGTCATGTACAAGCGTACCTAATGCACACTTTATCTTTTATTGTACAAAGAAATAGTGTACAAAATTCTTTGGTTTCTATGGAGTACACCTACCAGAGACTACCAGTGTAAAGTGATAAATAAAAATACAACCTAAATGCTTTTCTATGATAATGTAAAAGATGCTGTTTTTGTATTTAACAGCAGAGAAAAGGCATGATGATGTAATATCTGAATTATGACATACACTGCACACCACTGAGTGTCCATTTATATTGTCTGTTTGGAATGAACCTTGCCTGGAAGCACTGGACTCAATTTCGGGTGTCTAGGAAATTGCAACTTTGCAGATTTCTAAAGGGATGAGGGCTCACAGGTCTAAATTAAGAATTCAGAAACTGCAACCATTTGTTGCATATTTTTTTTACCTAAGTTTTAAAATAGAATAGGTTTTATAAAAAAAAATCTTAGATGGAATATTTTACTCAGCCATTTCTGTAGTTAACATTTGATAGCCACCTGTTGAAGCAGATAGCTTATACTGACTGCACCACCGCTGGTGCTCAGAATTGAGGGTTTTTTTGCAAATGATATCTGACAAGGTAAAACTTTCTATTTCCGTACATGGAGGCAAAAACCCCACTTTGCAACCATTATCAGAGGTAAGATTGATAATAATTCATTTTTTTGTAGTGGCAAATATAAATATGAATCATCAAAGCAAGTTTCATATCCATTCATCAGTATTACTTAACCCAGAAGTTAAGGTGGCTTACGGAATTATTAGCAATGGTAATTTTTTTATCAGTATTGTGTAACATATCAGATTTATTTTATTTAAAGAATTATTTATACCATTAACAGATTCTTATATATATTAATGTGGCAAAAATGTGCAGGTTAAATCTATTAACCAAATTATTTATATTATATTAAGTAAGAAAAAATGTGAAACAAATGTAGAGAGAAAATACTACATTACAAGTATACAAACCTAAAACTGTGAGCCATTGTAAAGTACAAGGTAATTAATAAGAAATGTAGCACAACATAATTTTCCGTCTTCTTCTCACAATTTTTGTGGTGGTGGTATTACCCTATCTTCCAGGCAGTTAAGCAAAGTTTAGGCTTCCAGCCTGACTTCAGTTGATGGATTGTCAAAAGAAGGGATCTATTATCCCTTTATTCTTGGAACCACCAGTCCCTGCCCCAAACCCTTAAACCCCTAGAGAGCACTGCCTCGTCCTCTAGCCTGGGGCTCACACAACAGTCTGCCACTCAGGCTGCTAGGAGATTCTCCAATAGCAGGCTCAGCACCTCAAACTGCCCACCACCTCTCCTACTGCTCCTCTCCCACCCACCACCCAAACTCCTCAGTCCTGTCATGTAGCAGAGTTCCAGTAACTCAGGAAAATGGAGACCAAGGTCATTCCTTAAGTTGGTTTCTTGGGGCCACAGCACAGAGCATGCCACCTGGGCTCACTTTTGATAGCAACAGCTCTTAGTTATTCCCCTAGGTCTCCTGTGTCTCTCTGTCCCTCTGTTCCTACTTTCAACCTACCCCCAAGCCTGATGGAATGCAACTGGCTACCCTGGGCTTCATGACCTCAAAGTAGGAACCCTTCGTTCTGGGGGTAGGTTCATTTTGTCTCTCTTGTAATGGTGGGATTGCCTGCCCAGTTCCTTCATGCAGTCACATGAAGTAATCTTTTGTGTAGTTTAGTTGACACATGTTTATAAGTTAAAAGTTGATGTGGCTAGTATGTTTAAACCATTAATGTCCATTTTTTTTGCACCAACCTGTTTTTCTACTGTTTTTTCCTACACATTTTTGTTTATTCACAGACAGACAGACATGTGTGTTTGTATGCTGGGTGTGTCTGTATGTGTGTATGTGTTGATATGTAAATTTTTTAGCCTTTGCTTTTCTGTCTTCAGGCTGAGTTTGTGTTGACCAAGCCTTCTTTTTGGTATTTTGAGCTAATTCAGTTTGTGCTTCCCTCCCATTGTATACTTTACATAAGTAGACCATGTAAAGTATGTTTGTGCCCATGATTTCACTGGTTGCTATGGCTTTGATATGGGTGCTAGGTGTAGTAGTTTCAGTCCACGTGGGTTTTTTTCATCTCTCTTAGAGTTATATGGTTTTGTGTAAGCAGTTAATGTAAATATTGTTAGCATTACAGGTCATACAGTGCTGTAACATTTTTTTAAATGTTGCACCTACTTTACAATTAAAAAATTGGTCACTCGCACTTCAATTTTGCCCATAGAGCCATTTCTTTGTCTTTGTATTGAAGCCAATTCATTTTTTTAAATGAAGGCTAGGCCTTCTATGTTACCAAAATTTTTATTCCCTAAAATAAACTTTTTAAGAAACAAATCCAAGAATGGAAACAGATGAAAAATTTTTTCTTCTTTAAAGAACATAATAGTTCCTGCTGGAAAAGGAAATCTAATTTTATTTTGTGTCCCTTAACAGTCCTAGGAAGCACAAGGAGAATAAACTAAACCTCTAAGAAGGTTTTAAAAATTATTTCAAATGAGTGAAAATTAACTGAGCAGCTTTTGTGTGATTTGTCTTGTTTGTAGCATTAAAAGCAAACCAGGGTTTTTATTTATTTAAAGGAACATTTTTGGCTTGTACTTTTCAGTGCCATTATGAATGAAAATGTTTTAAGAACATTCATCCCTTGTGATATCATGGGCCACTTTTAGTCTTTTATTTGGACCCTGACTTTGAGTTTTTGCTATGCCTGTTTTTTAAGTAAACACAGCCTTCTTATTTGAACGTAACACTGCAGAATTGCAGGAAGAGAAAAGGGCAGTTAGTTATTTCACTTTCTGTAAGTTTTAGGAAGATTCTTATATCCTACGAGGTGACTCATGTTTCATTTTAGACCATGATAGCACATTGTTGTTAACTTTGGTAATCTTCCATGCAGTTTGCAGTGTTCCCTTGCAAGTCACAAGCATATATGCATTAAGATTTTAAAATCTAAGATGCTTAAGATGTTGGTGGCATTGCTCTTTCTGAAAAGAAAGACAAAATACTAGACCTTGCTGAAAATTGGATATCTTATTTACTTTGCCCATTTATGCCCGAATGGTGTAATGCAAGACTCAAGACTTTTCAATGTAGTATATCAAATGAGTTGTGCATTGATTCATTTGGGGGACATGAACAAAAATTATCAACCAGCCAGAACTGTAATATTTAATTAGTTCATCTTTTTCTTTCATTCACTCTATCACATTTGCATTAGCCAAAGAGATAAGAACATTAGTAATTCATATGTGTAAACAACCCAGAAGTGAATATTAAATCAGTGAGCCAAAAAGCAATAAACAACTCGAGCATGGGAAATCCTGCTAACAGTGGGGAGTCTGATATAGAAAAAATATATAAAAAGCATTATCTTCAAATATGAAAGATTAATTTGTATCTACTGTAAATATGTATTACCAGCCTTATCTGCATTTATACACACTGTGTGTGTACCTCAGTGACCTTTTATAAACCGGAAAAATGGTTGATTTAATAATTTGTTATGTAAATACAAAGTTGTCTATAAATTGGAAAATTTGATGCCAGATGGCTTCATAATATACAAATGTGTTTTGTAACATCATGCCTTTATGGATTAAGTATAAATACACTGGATTGTCTATGTAGAAGTGTAGCAGTTTACATTTCACCTGCATTTCAAATGGATATTTTTGTCCAAATGGTTATACTAATAGGAAAAGAAAACAACTTGAACATTTTCAATATGAAAAACAAATATGGTTTTGATTTTACCAAAATTCCTTTCCACACCCAAGAATCTGTTCAGTTCCATGCCGAATGTTTTGCATTATGAGATTTCCTAGGAGATTAATTGATCCACGACAGGGATCTACCTAGGAAAACTCTCCAACTGAATTATTCTTTTTGAGAGACAAGCTACACATGTTTCATTCTAACATTAGGCAGGGGAAAAGCCCAGCCTCTTACTGCTTCTTAACTTATTCTTGTCTTTGTTTCCATGTGTCTTAGAAAGCACCACACAGATGAATAGGGTCTAGCTTTTGTGAGCAAAGGTGGCTACAGAGTGTTGCCTCATCCTTGGGCTATTGACTTGGGCAACCTAGGCTTCCCAGCTTAGGTACTGTTGATGTTTTGGGCCAGGTCATTTTTTGTTCTGGAGGCTGGCCCATGCATTATTGGATATTTGGCAGCATCCGTGGCCTCTACTCACTAGATGCCAGTAGAGCCTCCTCCTAAATTGTGACAATCGAAAATAACTCCAGACATTACTCCCAGGGTGAGAGATGGAGGTGGGATAGGGGAGGGAGGGCAAAATGAGATTTGAAAACCACTGCCTTGATGGAATCAGTTAGGCTTATTATGTCTGTGTGAAATATGGGCATATTTGCATGCAATAATCAACAGGAACCTGATTCCTAGAAGCAGCCAAAATCCATACCAAATGAGTGCTTCTCAGTCTGTGGATAAAGGAGTAAATACACTAATGTCAGATTTACTTTGAACACCTTTGACACTTTCGATCCTAAGACCCGGGATGATCATGTTTTGAGGACGCTCAAATAGTAGTTTAGTAGAGATACCTAAATGCTCATGGCTCAGAGTTTGCAAGAAAACTGATAGTTCTCTTTGCGTTATACAAGGAGCTTCAGGTAATGGAAGACTTCCAGATGATAGTGTAGCTGCCTCCATTAGGCCGAAATGAGGAACTGGGCTAAGGGGAGCATGTTATGTATATATTTTAACAGCTTTCTACAGCAGCCTAGTTCAGGTGTCAGTGTTTGTGCAATCCTCTTATAAGTTCTGACAGAAGCAGTTCCTTAGAGCTTGGTGGTATCATGGATATATTTATTCATTGAATACATTCTTACTGAGTGCCACTATGTGTGTGCACAGTCTGTGCGTAGCCGTGGGGATACAATGACGAATAAGACAAGCCCATTCTCTGCCCTTACAGAGCTAACGAAGGAGATGGCCAAACATGTAAGTAAAAGAAAGGATGATAAGGGATAGGGGAGCACATGTCAGGGCTACTGACTTCGTTTAATAGGGATGGGGGTTTGAACAAGGATCAGAGAAAGATGAATAGAAAATAGGCAAAGGAAGAATGTGTGGCATCAGGGAGGGTGAAGGACAGTGTGTTTGAGGCAGAGAGAATGGCACATGGAAAGGCTTGAAGGTCAGAAGAAGCAGGAGAGAAGAATGGCTGCAGAGCCGCGGAGGCCAAGGCAAGTCTTCTCAAGATTTTGCCCTTAACATGGCAGTAATGGGGAATTATTGTTGGTTTTTAAGGAGGGGGTGATAGGATCAGGTTTGTGTTTTAGAAATATTTATTCTGGCTGCAGTGTTAAGAATGGACAATTGGAGAGGGGTAAGACTGAAAAGCACACAATACATATATCTCATTTCAGCACAGCATTGCAAAAAGCACATCCTTCCTTGACAATTAAAATAACAATTCAGACCCAGCAAAATTCTTCATATAAGCAATTTCCTTCTCAGTCTTGAGGTCAATGTAAATATATATATGTAAATTCATGTTAGTAGTCATGAAGAAATGTTCTCCAGTACACTTACACTTACTGCCAACATTATTCCCTACTTCTTCTACACAAATGGGAAAGCAATAATGTTCCTACTTCGGTGATTAAAAGTCAGGAACATTTAAAATCCTAGGACGTTTTGCTAACATGGTAGGAAGCAAGGCCCGCCAAGCAGAGCGCACAGGTAAGTGCAGGTCAGGTATGGACCTTTGGTTTCTTACACGCCTCCCCCAGGACACAGGAAGCTGCAGTGGAAAACTCAGGATGCCAGAGGTACCAGGTGAGCCCTGAGGATTATGAAAGCAAAGGAAATCAGGACCACAGGTGGTCAGCGCCCAAAACAGGGCCATCTGGCTACCGGGATCTCTGCCACACAGCAGGGGAGACCACGGTGGCCTTTCATCATCCACTCCAGCCTGTGATTATGTACATGCTCTTCAGAGTATCCCCAGCCGCCCTTAGTCACCTCCTACACTCAATATAACAGTGAACTTGAGGGCTTTTTAAAGTTAATTATCTATTTTTTAAAAAACAAACAGAGGCAGTGCAATAACAGGCACCCAATCCTACGATCCTGAGGCCAGCCAATAGCCCCTTCCTCCAGCACAGGTCCCTGTACACAGAAAATGAACCCTCAACTGGGGGCAACCCATTGGAACAGTTACAGACTGCGCCCTGAAGGGTCCCCCAATCTAGATACATTCAAATCTAGACTGTGCCACTAACTAGTTGTTTGATTTTGGGCAAGTTACTTAACCTATCTATACTTAGCTTTTGACAAAAGAGTGGGTGATAACAGCACTTTCCTCGTGGGATTGATTAAAGATTGAATGAGATAATGTAGATTTGATAAAGCTCTTCATGCCTGGCACATGCCAGGCATTCAGGGAACATTTATTATTAAACTGCAGTATGAAAGTTTTAGGTTAGCAAAGGGGAAAGGTGTTGTCAAACATAAGGAGGAGATCTGTCTAGAGTGACTGTATCGACTGTATCTTCCTGGGACACCTTTTTTTTTTTTCTTGAGACAGGGTCACACTCTCTCACCCAGACTGGAGTGCAGTGGCGGAATATCAACTCACCACAACCTCTGCCTCCCAGGCTCAAGCAATTCTCCTGCCTCAGCCTCCTAAGTTGCTGGGATTACAGGCGCGTGCCACCACCCCCAGCTAATTTTTTATTTTTAGTAGAGACAGGATTTCGCCACGTTGACCAGGCTGGTCTCGAACTCCAGACCTCAAATGATCCACCTGCCTTGGCCTCTCGAAGTGCTGGGATTGCAGGCATGAGCCACCACGCCTGGCCTTCCTGGGACACCTTTACAGGTAGGAGAGGGGTTTACTTGTCTAGGAAAGTTCTGCTGAAAGGGAACAGCATTGTGGCCACCTTTTCTGGTTCTCCCCTTAGAGCCCAAGGTTTCTGGATCTACTACTGAGAGTGTTGCCTAGATGAATTCCACCGTCCATGATGCCACACACAGAAGTGGATCAGGGCAGAGTCAGAATCGTATAATTCAAGAACTTCTAACCTTCAGCCTGGGCGAAGCTGGAACCAGCTCTGTAAATAAATAGCTCAGGACTCGAAAGTATAAACAACCTAAAATCAGTCCAATCAGGGAATGCAGAGTTCAGTACAGGGAAAAGTATATTTTTAACCTGAGAGACTGAAATTTGGGGGCTTCGATCTTGGCACTGACTGGCTCTGTGATCTATGATTTGGTACAAATCACTAAAAAGATCCTGGAGCCAGACTCCCAGGATGTGGATCCGGTCATTTCAGGAGCTCTGTGACCTTAGGCAAATTCCCCCGCCTTAGTTTTACTAACCTAAAAAATTGGGATGATAAGAAACCTACCTCATAAAATTATGTGAGGATTACCTAAATGAATACAGATGAAACACTTAGAAGGGTGTCCTCTATGGTAAGTGCTATGTAAGTTAGGTTATTGTTACTACTGTTAATATTAGAGGCTGAGCCTCACTCAGTTTATGGGAGTGATGCAGCCCTCATGTATGTTAGAGAACCAGCCTTCCGTGCAGTGGTCACTTAAGAGGGTCCTGCTGTTCACATTTAACCATGTAGTTCTCTTCTTTTAATTTAAACATGGATACTCTTGAGAGGAGTAAGATTTTGAACCAATCAAGAGTCAGGAAGTTCCCAGAAGATTTGGGAGTAAGAGAGTAGGTGTAAGAGGGTGTTCATAACTATCTTAGGATTAGATGTACTCAAAAGACTACCATAAAAATGAAAAGAGATAATACATGGAAGAATGCTTTTAAAAGGGGAGAAGAAAGCACTAATATTGTAAGTGGTAGTATTTTTAAGTGCTATTAAGGATGATTATTTATTTCTTAATTGGAAGTTCATGTCTAAATTCTGTACCTAGACTTTTCCAGACTGAAGACTTGGGCATATCTTGCTAAAAGATGGGGGCAGAATGTGTTCAGCACCGGTAGAGGGGGTAGGTTTAGCTGAGCCTCTGTGAGGGTTTTAGCAGAGCCTCTGTGGGGTTTCCTGTCCTTCCAGCTCCCACTGCAGAACACTGTGTATGAGGAACACAGCCAGAAGGACTGGTGGCCTGAGGCTTTGGTCCCTGAACTGTGACCAGGTCCCCCTAGAACACAGCTTTCCCTGCCAAGTTAATCTTAAATAACTTTGGTGGTCAGGGAGATAACCTTAGGGAAAATCTCCTGTGACCTTTTACAGACTCTGTCTCCCTTTTCCAATCAAATCAGGATTATTTAGAATCGGTGGATTCCTTTGAATTCCTAAATAAGCATGGAGGTCAGGAGCTTGTGATTTCAGGCTAATTGTCACTGTTCTGGTTTATTTGGCAAAGTGGGAAGCAAACATTCACCAGAGCTGGGAGAAAAAAGCATGCAAGAATTGGAATGAAGAGATGCACTGGGCTGCTTCTGGACAAGCTGTCTGTCTAGGCAAGAGTCAGCAAAGGCAAGAAGAGACCATTTCCTTCTCCATTTCTCTTGGTTTCCTGGCTCTTCCCAAATGTCCAGGGGATCCTGAAGGGGGTGAAGGGTGGGGGTGGTAGGGGAAGTGTGTGCCTTGTGCCTTCTAAGGCAACCATGTTGGCCAAAAGAATCAAGCCATGACAATGGCCATTGTGAAGACCCCGCAGCTTTCTGAGCAGAGAACACAGCGAAAGAGCTGTGTGGTTCCTGTCTCAGAGCATAGCTTTCCTTTCTCTAAGGCAATGGTCTCCAAACTTTTCTTCAAGAATTCCTATCAGTAAAGTAAAAATAAAATTGAGGACATACTATGCATATATACATATGTGCATATGTACTTTATGTGTGCTACTGAATTAATATATCATATGTGTTATAAAACACACAAAATAGAAACTAGGTAACTGAGATGAACTGATAGGTTTATATTTTCCTCCCTCTTCCCAGTGGATTGCCTTGCATCATGGCCAGGGTGTGTGCATTCAACTTTGGCAGTCTTGGCCTGAGTGACAGAATACTGGAAGGTCCTAATAAGCTTCTCCAATGAGCATAGGCAGTGATGGAACCAAACCATCAAAATGAGCTCTTCAAAGAAGAACCCAGGTTTTCCTCTTCAGCTGCATATGATCAATTCTAATTAAATGGTAAAGGAAAGAAGAATAGAAGGAAAGAATTCTTGAAAATCTGGTAACTAACATGGAAGCTGTGCTTTATATCAGGTTATGTGAGTAATCTTGATCTGTCTACAAGCTCAAAGTTTCTATCCAAATATATTTATCTGGATCCGAGGCAGGATCACTGCCAGGCTCTGTCACCTGCTCAGGAGAGTCACCTACCCAGTATACAAGGGGATAACCACAGGGCACACCGAAGCCATTGCAGAACTTCCCAAGCTTGGGTCAGGCCTCCTGACTCTACACACGCACGTGTACTCCACCCATTCCCAGCCTCCCAGCTTTCTTGACAAGTACCCAAGGAGGATGGTTCTTGTCAACTCATTGATAAGGTCATGGTATTGTGGAGCAGGAGCTAACCTGTGTTCTATTTTCAGCTCTCTTGTTAGCTGTGTGAGCTTGGGCAAGTGCCTCACCTTCTCTGAACCTGAGTTTTTGCATCTGTTTAGGCCATGATATTACCCTGCCTACCCCACAGTGTTATCACGAAATTCACATGAACACACATATGAAGGTGCTTTGCAAACACTGTACAAGTGAAATTGTAAGGTATCCTGACTCATGTGCTAAGGCCTTTTCAAGGCACAAGGACAAATGTTTCCCAGGGATCCTATAGTTAGCCACTCTGAGGCATTTTCCCTTAGGAGCCCAGCCCTGAGGGAAACTGGCTCATGGCAGATTTTTAATCCGAACCCAGAGCTCTGGAGGCTTTATAATCCTAAAGACTAAACCAGGTGAACAACAAAAACATCCATAAAGCAATTTGGGTAAATTTCCATGCTTCCAGGTAATGCCTAGGTTTCTAAGGGGTTGCATTTGTTTGTTCAGTCATTCAAGAATTTATAGATCATCTTAACTCTGAGATAAAGTGAAAAAAAGAGCTCATGTTCCAGCAGATGAGAAAGACATGGAAACAGTCATTGCAAGACACTGACAGGAGCCACAAACCAGGTATGCATTACAATGGGCTTTGGAACACTGGGAGGCTTAAATAAATCGAGTTAAGTGACTTATGAAAGAATAGGAGTTCAGGCATGGCCAGCAGGGGCAAAAGACATTCAAGAAAGAGGAAAAGAAGTGCAGAGATCAGGAGTGGGGCTGAGGGGTAAGGAGGGGTAGAGAACAGCATGATTTTCTGGGAACTGTAAGGGATTTAATAAGTCTTGAATGTAACATAAGGAAGAAGAGGGGTAGACAGTAAGCATAGAAAGTAAGCAGAAGCCAGATCATGGTGGAAGTGGGGTGGCAGCAGGTCTCCCAAGCCAGTAGAAAGTGGAAAAGGGCAGGTGCTCTGCCCTCAAACCCACCCCATTTTCCATAGGAGGACCAGGAAGATATCTGGGAAGAAGAGACGTACCTAAAAGAAATTTTTTTCTTGAAAAGCCATTTATGCCATGTACTGGGCAACATAAACTCCCTTTGTGCCTCCAAAAATCTTTAGAGAAATTTCAAAAAAGTTATGATGTGTGTGGTATAATTGCTTTTATTGTTATAGCTAGTTTAGAGGCTGAATTTTGTATTAAGGATAGCTCAGAATCAGCTCATGCTGATAAAGAGGGAACTGACCTCTGAGTTTTTAAATCATGCCCTGTAATGAATAGTTCATGTTCCTGACAAAGTAATCAAATTCATTAACTAGCTTTAGTCCTAGTAGGAGCCCCTTTATTTCAGGAATTGACATCAAGCCTAATCTGTTCCAGGAGGAATGAATCTCCTCCATTGAGCATATGCTTACCAAGTGCCTATCACACTTACCATATACAGATATGAAGAAACCTCAGTAAGACTAAATTCTATATTGAGGGACTGTTCACCTTTTTTTGCCCACTCAGGATACCAGGCATCTAATAGGAAGGCTGGGCCCATTCAGTCCAGATTTATAACAACTCCTCAAGGAATCTGTGAAACCAACTGCAAGTACTTGTTGAGACTAAGCCAACATTCTTTGCAGTAAGAACCAGAGAAATTTTATTCTCTGTGCTTAACAACAAAGGACTTCAAGAATTGCTTCTGTCTCTCCTTCATGAGAAAAGTGGCTGGCAATCACTCTTAACCTGTCTAGTTGAAGGCATAGCTCTGGTCTGATCTAGGTCACCATTGGGCTTCCTGTGCTGTCATCTGCTGCCTCTTGCCGCAGATTCCTGGTGGTATGTCTCAGCCTTTGCATGAAACACAACCATGAAACACTAAGTGCCAATCATTTCCTATAAACTGCTTTGATTTCCTCCATGAAGCTCTTTTAAAAAATCTGGTATTGTGGTATTTATAGCTTCCTGTTTCTGCCACCTACATATTCTGATGGTTGTTGTGCTTTCTCTTTGGAGATAGATAAACATTCACAGCACCAAAGGGAGTAAGGGCTTTGTACCTTTTTTCATGGAAAGAGTTAGTCATATTTAGATTGAAGTTATAGCTTAAAAAGGAGCCCTCGTTGTATAGAAACATGGATGCCATGACACCTCCAGTGCAATATTTTTAAGCCTCTCCCTGCCATTGGTCACTTACATAGTACTGTTAAATCACTCTGTGGAATATTGTTTCTATCTTCTAGAAGCTCACAATCTATGTCAGAAGATTAGACATGCAAGTGTCTGTTGAAGTAGCTGGAGAGTGAGGCAGGAGGAGTGGAAGGATGGCCAGCAGCATGGAACCCACAAGGGGAGATTTCACAGAGGAGCCTCAATGGTGTGGGGGGTCAGGAAGAAAAAGGACCAGACAGCTGTGAATTTTGTTTCCAGGACATAAATAGGGGATTTCTAGCAAATACACCCAGGTGAGTGTGTAGAACGGGCAGTCAGATGCAAGGGGTAAAGGAGGCGGAGAGGGAGCAAAGCCATCTAGAAAGATTGTTCCTTCAACATGTGCAGTGAAAGAAATCATGGCAAAGGGAAAGCCAGGATTAGGTTGTTTGGCAGGATGCTGCAGTAGGCATACTCAGGGGCTTCTGCTCTACCTGCTCTCCCTTCTCACAATCTACCCCTACCCACATGCCTGCTGAGTGGAAAGGGAATTGGTTATCCCAACGGTTATTCCAATCTCCTGGCCTTGGGTGATTGGACCAAGATGAGCACCTGATTTGAGGAGGGCCAACCTAAGTTTCCAATGACATGTCACCTGACTGACTGGCCTCAAAAAGATGAATATGGAACAATCAGATTCGTTCTCATAGGAAGCCCAAACCAAGAGGCACAGAGAGGAGATGCCCTTCAGGAATGGATCCTTGAGATGAAAATCAAGTTGATGAGAATAAAGTGGCTGTTATCAGGTCGTGTGTATGCATAAGTCATGGGGAACCACAGGAAGTAGCTGGGAAAGAGAGAACAACAGATACAGGGAAGAAAGTGGAGAAGCCGGGAATGAGAAAGAGCGATCACCTCTAGCATTTCCTGTATGCCAAGTGCTGCACTAAGTCCCTAAGTCCTTTACATTAAATTACCTTATTTATTTCTCATAGCAATCTTATGACATGGATGCTATGATTATCCTCATTTTACAGATAAGAAACCAAGGCATAAACATAGTGTGCCCAAAATGACTCTTGGGAAAGCCATGATGTATACTAAATAGACTGGCTCCCTATTTAGTTTTTTTTTTTTTTAGTTTTATAAGTGCTTGCTTGTAGCCACCATGAATTACCACCTCTCAAAAGGGAGATGAGATAGAAGTGATCCCTGAAGCCATCTGACACCCAACCTTTCCTAAACTCAGGTACTTAGAGTTATTGGATTTTCCAGAGATCACCTGACCTCATGATCCTGAATGGGTTTCAGTTCCTGGCAACCAAAAGAACCCTAACCCAACTGGATAAGGAAATTGAGCATTCTGGGTGGGAGAGAATGATGTTATACAAGGGAGTGTTGATGATGCTGACCCACCTATGAGGAAGCACAAAGCGATGGGATGCATGGATATGGAGAGATTTTTCTTCTCTGTTAGCCAAGACTATCCAGCTTAGTTTTACCATCCGGCACCCACAGCACCACATGGTAAGCCAACTAGATAACCAAACCCACAGGGAGTGGCACATAACCCAGCAGCCGTGCCCTTCCAGCTGGCTCTGCCACCAGTGCAAGGTGAGGTTGGTCCTGTTATGTCTCCTCCCTTCCAAGCCTTCATTTATCTGTCAATAGAAAGGGGATGATGACAAAAGATGGAGAGAATTTGACTTGCTAGGACTCTGGGGGAGGCTGGGGAAATGCAGATTACCATGATGGGGCTGCCCCCGGGGGCAGCCAGACCCAGGTTTTCCAGAGATGGTCTCACAGAGGGAGATTGGCATGCAAGAAGTTTACCAGGGAAGGTTCTCAGGGTCAGCACTTGTGAGCGTAGAGAGGCAACAGGACATTGAGCAGAGGGGGAAGTGGCAGCACAGTCATCAGCCAGTTCCATGGGAAACTGGAACTGGGGTGGCCTTTCACATTGCCCCAAAGGGAGGCATAAGGGCTACGCTTTGTACCCCACCTCCCATGGAGAAGTCACTGGGTGTAGGATGCCCTGTTGGTGAGGCAGCTCCCTTCAGTCTGGGGCAGTTCCTGGGGAAGGGCTCAGCTGTGAGAGCTTCTGGGGGCAACATCCCATGCAGATAGAAGATGGTCTCCTCGGTCCTGAAGGGGAGCTGAGCAGGGCAGCACACCATCAGCTGCACACGAGAGCTGGGCCACACTTCCCAGGGGCCAAATAAACAGGGGAGCCCCAGCTCTGGGGAAGATGAAGGGCTGAGGGTCAGGAGGAGGTCGCAGAAGGCTGTTGCACGTGGAAACCATCCGGAAGTTAAGTGACCAGGGAAAATGCTGCTTGTGAGTGTGTGGAGACTGTAAAAGGATGGACTTCTGTAGCTGGTCTGAGGCCAGCAGGCCTGAGGAACTTAGCAAGGAGTCAGAGAGAAGCTGGTGACAAAAAAGTAGGAAATTGTAGGAAGGCTGTAGAATTAAGAGTTTGGGCCAAGTTAACCTAAACCATTTGTGTCATATTAGAGAAGGGTACTTTTCCCAGCACTCAGCTGGGTTTTGAGGATTTCGGACCTTAAAGAGCAGAATACATCTATTCCCAGGCCATGCCAGGGGCTGTTGAAAGAGGTCCTGAGAACTGTGCCAGGCCTGATTCAGGTAACAGGAAGAGATGTGGGAGAGGATAAGCCTCCGACCAAAACAGCTTCACTTCAGAGAGTTAAGGGAGTTTTATAGACTGAATCATGTCCTCCCCAGAGTCATACACTGAAGCCCTAATTCTAGCATGACCATCTGCAAGCCAAGGAGAGAGGCCTCAGGAGAAACCAACCCCGATGACACCTTGATCTTGGAATTCCAGCGTCCAGAACTGTTGTTTAAGCGCCTCCAGTCTGTGGGATTTTGCTATGGCAGCCTAAGCTAAGACAGGGAGACAGGCCACCCACCAGCTGAGAAGGTGGGTGCCAGAAGCAAAGCCAACCCGTGTGTCCTCACCTCGCTCTCCCTGCTCTTTCCTGATCCACAGTCTCTGACTCTGGAGGGGACTGCTCAGTGGCCAGCAGATGCCTGGCAGAGGCACATCTTCCCCACTACATGTGAACCCTGGACCTATGTAAAATGCCAGAAATCAGGAGCTCCCGGGTTACTTTGCACATCTGCAAGCACCAACTTCTGGTCCGGCTGCATGCACTTGACTCGGAGGGAAAGGAGCAGCTTCACACATGGGTCTCCTCGTCCCCCGCTGCTGGCCTGGCTATCGCCAATGTCACTGACCTGAATTCAGTTTTCAAAGGAAATGTGTTTCATGGTGATTCTTTTGGTTCCAGTTCAGAACTTGGATAAAAAATATGCTCCAATTTAAGAAAAATAGTCAATTCGCAAATCAAAACTGAAATCTAGAAAGGTGAAAGAGTTGACTCTCTGGGCCTCCTTATCTGAAAAATGAGGCAGTTGCACTAGATTTGTAGGTTTTCTTTAAAAGTTTTTTTTTTTAACCACAAGAAAACTTTCTTCAAAAGAAATGTTACCAGGAAGCAGAAACAAAAGAGGGGCATAAGGGTTGAGCTGCTTGATCAAAAGGGGAGAGAAAGGTTGAGTTCCAGAATCCTGCCCTCCAAGGCACGGCTTTGCAAAGCAGAGTCTAAAAGGCATTTTACTCTCATTGCCTACATGCTCCTCCAGCCTCCTGTCTGAGGATCCATGAAGAGTCAGTATTCCCACACACCCGGTTGTATACCCACCAGGCACCTCGGAACCAGTCACTGAGAACATGGGCCATGCAAAGAAGGGAGCACGTACAGGGCTCAGCAGGGGCGAGCAAGCCTGGGTCCAGGTGAGCTTCTTTAGCTCCTTCTCCCAGATTCTCCATCCAGGAGCCAACACTGACCACAGGGAGAGGGAGGGCTGGGTGGGGAGAGAGCCAGGGGAGGTGGGCCTACTGAAATTCCTCCACATAAAAACAAGAGGTGTGGCTCCAAAGTGGCACATCTTGTCACAAAGAAGGTGGAAGCAGCAGATGAGAATTCGCTCACCTCCCAAGGCCAAAACCACTTGGAATAAAGAAAATGTGGTACCTACACACCATGGAATATACTATGCAACCATAAAAAAGAATGAGATCATGTCCTTTGCAGGGACATGGATGAAGCTGGAAGCCATCAACCTCAGCAAAATAACACAGGAACAGAAAACCAAAGACTGCATGTTGCCACTCATAAGTAGGAGCTGAACAATGAGAACACATGGACACAGGGAGGGGAACAACACATACCGGGGCCTGTTAGGGGGGCGTGGCAAGGGGAGGGAGAGCATCAGGACAAATAGCTAATGCACACTAGCTTAATACCTAGGTGACCGATTGATAGATGCAGGAAACAACCGTGGCACACATTTACCTATGTAACAAACCTGCACATTCTGCACATGTATCCCAGAACTTAAAGTAAAATAAAATTTAAAAAAAAAAACCACTGGGAGACTCTCCCCAGGGCCACCTCTCCCGTGCACCTTCAGCCTCTCCTTCTCTACCAACCTCTTGCGACCATCAGGCAAATGTGTCTCTCCTCGTGAAAGATCAAACAAAACTCGATAAAAAGACCTTCAACCCCTTGTTCTCCTCCTTGCTGACAGCTTTTTGAAAGTGCCTGTAATTGTCTCCATCTCCTCATCTTGTATTCACTTTCTAAGTGTTCTTTTCTGCATGTGCATGTCTTGATTCCTTGCTCTTTTCTGGATTTGCATTGCCAATTCCCTGTCAATCACTTATTTTTGTGAATGGGTCACTAGTGCAGAGGTCGTGACCTTGGGCTTGTGTCTTTGCAGGGAGAAGTTGAGACATCCCCCAGGCTTGCGCAGTGCCCCTCCATTGAAACCAAGCACACTAAACTCACTGCCAGCCTTCTTGGTGGGTCCATTAGCGCTCATCTCCCATTCCCTCTGCCGCACCAGAACCTCAACTCCAGTCGCTCACCAGCTGCCCCTTAAAGGCACCCCTCACTGGCCACTGCCCTGTCAGTGAAGAGTAGCTGCCTCCACTAGAAGGCCTCCCACTCCCTTTCCCCTAAGCCAATGACTGCCTCCCTAACATCTCTCAATTCTCTCCATTCCCACTGCCGTTGTCCAGTTGAGACCACCATCACCTTCAATCTGCATCACTGCTGATGCAGTCGTGACTTCTGAACTAGGCTCTCGGCTCTGGTTCCCTCCTCTCTAATTAAGAATCCACATTGCCACCAGAGCAAGTAACAGACCTGTCAAATCTGTTACTCTGCTGAGTAAAACTCAAGGGATAAAATCTCAACTCCTGAGTGCAGCTTGAATTGTGTCCCCCCAAATTCATATGTTGAGTTCCTAACCCCCAATGTGACTGTTTTTAGACATGGGGCCTTTCAGGAGGGCATTAAGGTTAAACATGGTGAGATGGGTGGGTCCCAATCTGATAGGATGGGTGTCCTTATAAGAAGAGGGTGAGACGCCAACAGTGTGTTCTGCACAGAGGACACAGCAAGAAGGTGGCCCTTTGCAAACCAAGGAGTATGGCTTCAGGAAAAAACAACCCTACCAGTCCCTGAATCTTGGACTTTGAGCCTCCAGAGCTGTGGGAAAATAAATGTTGCTTAATTATGTTGTTATGCCACGTGGTCTGGTATTTTGTGAAGGTAGCTGAGCTTCCTGGGATGGAGACCTTTCGTATGCTTTGCCCCAGCTTCTCTCTCCACCCAGCTCTTGGGCCTGCGCCCTTTCATGCCCATGCTCCAGCCAGATGGAGCTGCAGGCACATCCTTCAATGTGCCACACCTCCCTTAAATCATGCCCTCACCATTTCCTCCACGTGGATGTGTCCGCTGCGCTCGCCATCTCTACCACCTGGATGGCTTCCATACTCATATTGGATGTGGGCTTAAGACAGCTGTCTAGAATTGTCATCTCCACTTCCTCATCCCACTTAACAGGTTTCTTTTACATGAATTAATGATCTATATTTTTTCTTAATTTTCACTGATGCTTCTTTACAGTTGTATCATTTATTCTTGTGTAACCTCTGTGCTTTGTATCCTCCTCCTTCAAACTCATGTTAAAACTTGCCTACTCCACACCATATGCCCAGACCAGGCAACTGACACCCACTGATGCTGGAGGACTTGCAAAGCTCCCTGGACTCCCTAACTCTGCTCTTCATGTGCGTCTCTGTACAGGTGTGTGTATGTGCATGTGTGTGTGCAGATGTTTGTATGTGTGCAGGTGAGTGTGTGTGTGCAGGTGTGTGTCTCTGTGCATGTGTGTATGTATGTACATGTGTCTGTGTGTTTGTATAAACATGTTCATGTGTCTGTGTACGTGTGTACGTGTCTGCGTCTGTGTGTCCATATGTGCATGTCTGTGTGTGCATGTGTCTATGTGTCTGTGTCTGTATGTGCATGTGTGCATGTGCATATGTGTGTGTTTGCATGTCTATGTGCCTGCATGCATGTGTGTGTGTTTGTGTGTCTGTGTATATGTGCGCATGAGTGGATGTGTGCACCGCTCCGGACGAGCCCTCCTTCCTGTCAGTGCCTTCTCTACCACAGCCCACCTGGATTTGTCTGTCCTGGGAATGCTCCCACAGGGAATGTTGTGCCTGCAGGCTCTTGCTGATATTGAGCTAAAAATGCAACTGTTGATGTACCCAATTTAAGATTAAACTCTTCCCACCCTCATGCACACCCTTGCCAGTCAGCTGCCTTCTTCAGTGACCTCTAGATATCACAAACAAGCCAGGTTTATCAGCTCCTAGTGCCCTTAGAGAAGGGGGCTTTTCCCAGCTGCCCCCAGCCTGGGGTGGGGGGTGTTAATGCAAGAGCAGGAGTGAGGTGGGCTAACCACCAGCCGCTCTGAGGGGCCTCTGAGCACCGGGCAGCAGTCCTGCTCCACCCCAAGCCCCAGCCCCAGGACCACACTGTCCACTGGCTCCTCCCAGACAGGCTTAAGGCAGGATAGTGCCACCCTCTGACATCCCATGGTAACATTAAAAATCCGTATAAGGGGAGTTCTAACATTTTCCTCCTAAGCTCAGTGGATTGACTTAGGCTTCCCTGGCTTCAGCATCTGCTGGGCACTCAGGGGTGCACAAACGCCTGAGGGGACATGGTATTGTGCCAGAGGCAATGGAAGCTGCAATAGACAGGACACGTTTTCATGGAGCATCAGTCATACTCAGCTATGAGTGATTCAAAATACTTTAACATAGATACAAACACCGCGGTGTTATGGAGGAGGATACACCACCCACGCACGTTGTGAAGGTCCAGCAGGAGGACTCGGAGGAAGCTTCCGTGCTGTGGGACACTCTGGAATCTGGGCCAGATCACCAAGAGTGTGTCTTCTTCTGAGATAGGGGCACTTGGCGAAAACATTTCTGAAACAATGTGCTAAGTGGAGGCTGTGAGGCCTGAACGTGAGAAGGAGTTTTAAGAAACTTGGAGTTACTGGGTGGCTGAGTGTTAAATAAGAACATTTGTCCTTTACCCTAAATGAGCGTTTACTCACTCGCTCATCCATTCATTCAACAGATATTTCCTGAATGCCTACTCCAGTCCAGGCACCATGGAAGATGTTGGGCCAATTATTTGGGAAAAGTCTCATCTTACTAGTATCAGATATGGGGAGAAGGAAGGGACAATTATGTTTGGAAAATAGGAGTAGAGGTTCCTCTAAATCCCAAATACTCTTTTGTATCTCTGTTTCCCTGACTGCAATGATGGTTACAGAAAGGATGATAAAGGAGAAATACTTTGAAATGAAAATTGCTATTTATTTGCAAATGAATCTAAATTATGAGCATAATTTATTCCTCCGGAAAATATGAATTGAGCACCAATTCATGCCAGGACTTGTGCTGGGCGTGGTGGGGAGGACAAAGATGGTCCCGAGGAGAGCTGCCCACACAGGGGAGCTTGGTAAGGAGACAGGAGACAGTGCAGATGAAAAGCCTGGGATGGATCAATGGGTGCCACAGGACTTCCACTTGGGAAGAGGTGATCTGCATTGTACACTGTTAGTGGTGTGGTTACTCCTTTTTCTCCCAAGATTTCACTATGCTTATAAATAAATACGATAACCAGAACAATGGCTATACTGTGAAGGCCCGTGAGCAAGTGGCTGGTTCGCCAATGGTCATCATCAACAACGTCTCAGCAGCTCAGACTTAGGACTGTGATTAGCCTCATCATGCCTGCATGGACGAGGCACAGGCCCTGTCTGAAAAACACAAGCTGCAGGCAAGCATGTGTCTGTGTGCTGTGCTGGTGTTGCTGGAAATACACTTGGGAAGGTGATGCCCACTGGATTAAACCCGTGATGCAGGGAAGAGTTGTAAGATCTGGTGAGTCGGTTAGCTAGAATGGAGGGGACCGAGAAGGTAGGTTGTACATGTGGGTCCTCTCCTCCCCTCTGTTCCCCTCCACAGACTGTTCCCCAGCCAGAAGCACCTGGTAAGCCTCTGCAAGTCCTCAGAACTAGAAAGATTAGAAAGAGAGAGAGAGAACACATGTGGATGATACCACAGTCAGTGAGAAGGGACTCCAAGCTCATGCCTCTGGGGGATGGCCTCATTGCCATCTCTGGATCCAGAGGGCAAATTATTAGCAGTTCTATTCAGAAAAAGGGCTAGAGAGCAGGGGCAAGAAATCATGCTTGCAGTTGCTCTTGAGGGCAGATGTATTAGTTTGCTAGGGCTGTCATAAGAGAGTACTGCAGATTGGGTGACTTAAGCGACAGAAATTTCTTTTCTTACAATTCTGGAGGCTAGAAGTCCAAGCTCAAGGTATCAGAAGAGTTGGTTTCTTCTGTGGCCTGCCTCTCTTCTTGGCCGTCTTCTTCCTATGTCTTCACATGGTCTTCCCTCTCTGAGCGTCTGTGTCCTAATCTCTTTTTAAGGACACCAGTCATATTGTCTTAGGCCCCACCCATATGACCTACTTTCATCACCTCCTTGAAGGCTCTGTCTCCAGATACAGTCACATTCTGAGGTACTGGGGAGTTAGGGCTTCAACATAGGAATTTTGGGGGGACACAATTCAGCCCATAACCAAAGTGTCTCCTTAACTTTGGTAAAATGAAGCAATAGGAAATAAATAAATAAATAAATAAAAATTAAAAAAAAAAAAAAAAACAGCTCTCTGTGCAGAGTGCTATAAAGGCCTCTCCGGGTCCTGGTGTGGATGACATGAAGACTGAGCCAACCTGACCCTTCTTGGCCAGGACCTCGGTAGGGACCGGCTCCTCTCGAAGGCCTTCTCTGCAGGAGGGTGGTGAGAATTCTAAGAGTCTGTTGACCCAACCACATGCATGAAAAGGGAGATCCTCCTTGATCCCAAATGTGATATGGCCTCACTGCCCAGTGAAGTGAAGCCATCTGCACAGACGGCTGTCAGGGCCCAGTCTGAGCTAGAGGCAGCACTTCCCAGAGATGGGCCCTGATGCTTCCTCTTCTTTCCCAAGAACGTGCTCCCAAATTCACATTTCCCCACTGGCCCAGGCCAAATCCCCATCTTTTAGATGCGGTGCCCCAGGAGGCCATGTGGTATGGGGTTGAGATCTCTGTCACTGTAGAGGCCTGAGCCTTCGAGAACCTGACGGAGAAGCAGCTCCCCCAGAGCGTCGCTTTCCTCTCTGGGGAAGTGTGGGCTTTCCTGGGTGCTGACAGCAGGAGGCATCTGTAATGCTGCTAACAGCTCTGTGTGGCTGTAATCTGGTTTATGCAAATCCAGTCACTTTGCAGCCCACAGGGAAAGCTGGAAGGAGGGATCTGCTTTGATCTCTTATCAAAGAAGATTTTGCATTTACGTGAGAATGGCTAATGCTAAAAATATTGCTGTTTGGGAGAAATGGCCCATCCCTGCCCTGAATTTATAATTTATAATGATACTGTAGCATCTTGGAACACTCGTCATTAAACAAACAAATGTGAAACTCCTCCTTTATTCTTCACATAAAGACCAGATGATGAGAAGGCAAAGCACCCAAGTGCTCGTGCCTGTGTCCCACCCCTGCTCTTGCGCAAGAGTCCTCCACCACCCGTACTCCAGTCTGACCGTAGCTTCCAGAACATGGGAAACTGCTTTCCCCTGGCACAAGACTCTGCACAGAAGGGCTGGGCTCCAGCAACTTTGTTTCAGAAAGAAGTTTCTTCTCATTCTGATCCAGCCCAAGGAAACAGGATTTAAGTCAGGAGACTGGGTCTGAATCTAAGCTCTGCCCCTCACCAGCTGTAAGGGATTCACCTGGGTGAGCTCTTACCTCTGAGTCTGGACTTCCTCATCTGTAACATGGGAATGACACTATTTGACCTTCCTCCTTCCTCCTTCATGGGGTTTGACCTTCCTTCTTCGTGGGGTTTGGTGAGAATCAAATGAATTAGTGTACATGAAGGTGCTTGTAAGTGATGAAGCTTCATATACCTTGCAGGGGACATTTTTTGGTTTTGTCACCCAGCATCTGTTACCTCACCTTCTAGTAACAGTATAATGACTATACTATAACCTAAACTTCCTCTGGACTGTTGGTCCCCAGGCTACTGGTAGACTTGACCTTCCTCCTGTCTCCAGTGGACTTGACCTTCCCCTAGTCCCAGGAGATAAGTGTCACTCAAGGCCTGGCAAAGGGAAGCCTTGCCCCGCCCCACCCCCATAAGCCTCTTCCCGTGGTGGACTGGCTCTCAGAATCCTTTCCAACCTCTCTCCAGTGTGCCGTCCTGTATTACAACTTGCAAGAGCTGTACAGCTAAAATCTACCTTTTCCTGACTATTCTGTGGACAATGATCTGAATGTAAATTACTATCCAAAATGTTCCACTCAAGATTTGGAAGACAGGTATGTGACACTTGTGTCTTGGGTTTGAGAAGCAGATGGGTGGCAGTGCTGGCCTCCTGAGGCCTGTATTACAAATATGGCGTGTGAACTTGAACTCAGTTGCTCCCATGGCAGTCTCCTGATCCCCCATCTTGCCAGGTGTTTCAAAGACCATAGCTCTCTGAAGCAGGTCAGTTCTGCTGTGTTCTGGGAGTCATTTCTGAAGATTCCACCTGGAACTCACTCCTTCAGACCATCCAACAATTCTGCAAGCATCCAGTACCTGTGTTAAATCCTGGTCTGCTCTCAATATCTAGAGTGACTTCTGTGTTCAAAAATGAAACCCACCTGGTACCAATGAAATGGGCACTTGGAACCCGACTAGGACCCAAGAGTCAGATCACACAACGTCATTTAAACAGCTGAGAAATGGAGGCTAAGTTTCTGATGGACTCGGAGGTTATAAGGCCAGAGCAGCTAGCAGCCCTCCTGCCTTCACAAGGAGCTTGTCTGAGGTAAATAACCAACCCGAGAAGGGCCACGCTGAGAGGAGAGGAGCCCGTTCTTGACACCTTTTGAGTAGCTGAACAAAACAACGTCTTGTGCCAAACCTACTTCTGGATCTCCAGTTACGTGAGCCAACACATTCCTCCAGTCTAAGACAGTTGGCATCAGACTATTCCATCATTTGATCAAAACATAATGTATGAGGGACGTGATGCTAACAGGAGCGAAACCACATGGCAGCAGTGATCACGTGGTTACAGATCACATATTCTCAGCCAGAGGCTAGGGATCTCCTGGGAGCGTTTTATAGGATACACGTGAAGAGGTGTGAGCCTAGGCCTTCTGGATCCCATGAGGGACACATGCGAGCAACCGGAAAACCTCACAGGTGAAGGGGGTCCCATATGCACCCCTAGGGACGGGGGCTGCTACGGACCAACGCGTCGGGAAGGGAAGGCCAACAATGGGTATTCCTTGGAAACACTTGAATGTTTGAATCCCAGTTTTAGGCACTAACATTATTTTTTACTTAATTTTGATTTTCTTCTTTTAGGGTTAAAAAAACCCCTTGCATTAATTCACTCAGTATTATAACCACCAGATGAGAATACTATCGAGTGAAATATTTCAGCCCAGCTTGTGTAAGCTGAAGCAGCTGGGCCATTTTTAAAAATTGTAATAAATAAGTGAATGCATAATCAATCCCGCGAGTGTCAGCTTTCTGTTCTGTGTGCTCCCAGAGCTGTGCTTTTTCATCTTTATTCTACACCCCTGAAAAGAAAAGCAACATAGAGAAAAATGTTCACAGACTGTTCCCTGTGACCTTAACCAACAGAAAAAGGCTAAATTGTTGATGCTTATTCCAGAAGGTATTTCTACCATGGGCTAGGGTGGGTGCAGATTTAGAATAACCCTTCCTTTTCAGGGATAACTGTTTAATCCCAAAAAGCTACCTGGGAAGAGAAGGCCGATGTTTTGATTTTGGGGGTCTGCTATCTGTAGAACCTAACAGTGTTGGGAACAGCCCTATGGAGTAGAGTGAACAGCCTCAGAAGAAATGTGGATCAGGCATTTTTGAAGTGCCTGGCCAGGGCTTGGATGGCCAAAGATGAACCAGGCATGCTCCGTTGGTTCAAGAAATTTACAGTCTACAGAGGAGGAGGCTTGGTGGACAAGCATAATTATTTGACAAACGATTTTTATCTTTGGAACCAAACAAAAATTATTCAAAGGCAAAGCTGAAGAATAAATTGGGCGATCAAACCAGCTGACTCCAAAGTATGACTCACGGAATGGCTCTGAAGTCAGTTTTCAAAGATAATTTCTGAAAGTATCATGAGCATTGTTGGAATGCATGGGTAACCTCCTGAGATACTGTTTTGAAGGGGCAAATTCATTCAATATGTACGTTTCAGTTTGTTTTTTGTTTTTTGTTTGTTTTTGTTTTTAGAACCATCCATGGGCAAAAGGGATCACATGATGAAATGCTTGGTTGATGGAATTTTCCTCTAAGCTGAATTTCCCTAAGCCTTCCCCAGATGTGGATGTTTGTTAGGCCACATAACTATTAACATTAAATTATATTGGGTCATTGTCTCTGACCCCTTCCCCCCCACCCCCCACTAGTATTGCTGGGGTCTCCCCTGTGTAAAAAACCAGCTTCCCTCTCAGGATCTTCTGCCTGGACCCCTCACTGATCGCTGCCCATGAAGCCACTCATGAGCATTTTGGCCAGAATCTCTGGGAGCGTGGCCATCTTCTTGAGCTCCTACTTACCTGCAAATGTGGGAGAAAGACCTTCACCCCAACGCTGTGTTGAATTCCAACCTCTGGACCGGGTCTCCAAAGTCCCTGTGGCAGGGAGCTCATTGACCTTCTGTCTGTAGCTTCTTTTTAATCCCACCTCTTACCCACAGCAGGGGGACAAACACCATCATGTCCACCTCCTTCCCTCCTCCTCATTAGGCTCTGAATGGAAGTCTGCATGGGCTCCTCTCTTCATGAAAACAGATCCCTGAGCACCTGGCTACCAGCTCATGGCAGCTCCATGCTGGGAAACTGTCAGATTCAGCCATGACCTCAGGAACTTAGAAAGTAAGATCAGGGTAGGGCCTTACGAAGTTAGTGTCCCTCCTGGCACTTCCTTTGGTTTCTGATGGAGCTGACATCAGGCCAAAGCTTACATCTGATGAACAAAATGGGAAATAGGCAGGAGTCTGTTCTCTGTGCACAGGGCAAGTCACAGTGCAACCAAGACACAAGTCACAGACTCTGGGGGGCAGGGATGTTCCACACTCAGCAGGGCTGATGGAAATGAAGATACCACAGATACTGTTTACCAGGGGCTTCTTTAGGGAGTTAGATTATAGAGGATGTTCACATTCAGCTTTTTTAAACCTGTAATGTTTTAGTTCTTTCACAGAAAGATATTTCCTCTAAAAAAAAAAAAAGCCTCTACCTCATAGGGTTATGGGGAGAGAATTAAACAAGGTTTCAGATGTGAGAGGCCAAGTTCTCCCTCCTTTTCCTCAACACCCAGTCCCCTTCTCCCAGCAACTTCCTAGAACTGTATATTCTATTTGAATATTTGAGGAAAAGAATATATTTATATTAAAACAAGCATGAATAGATTATGGAGTAAGATGCACAATTCACATGAATTTTTAAGATAGAACAAGGGACTTAAAAGAAATTTCCTATCTATGGCTCAGGGGCAGGCATTTGCTCTTCTTAGGGACACTTCAGCAGAAAAGTTCGAGAAGTTCTGATGCAGGCTCTGGGGAGCACAGGGCTGACGGTGTCCCAGAAGCCACTATGAGGGCAGCATGGCAGCGCAGAAGGCACCGGTCAGGCCCCTTGGGCTCAGCCCCCAAGACATAGCTGTGCACGTCACCTCTTGAATCCGTCCAGGCAGCTTTCGAGCTCAGAAATCCACAGACGATTCTCTCCAGGTACACACAACCAGCTCCATATTATTACACCAAAGAACAGTCGGCCTTGAAGAGGAAGAGCTCAAAGTCACATGGCTACGTCCAAACCTAGGCTGCTGAACTCCGCCACACTGCACCAGCTGACACTGTCCCACGCTTACCACCTGCTCCCCCACCCATCTCCGATATGGCAGGGCCCCCAGAGCCCCTGTAACCAGGCCCATCTGTAGGACGCCTTGATTTCTCAGCCATCCTGGCTAGGGCCAGATGCTGGCCACTGTGCTCTCTCTCTCTCTCTTTTTTTTTTTTTTTTGCTTTGAGACAGAGTTTCGCTCTGTCACCCAGCTGGAGTGCAGTGGTGCGAACTCGGCTCACTGCAACCTTTGCCTCCCAGATTCAAGCAATTCTCCTGCCTCAGCCTCCCTAGTAGCTGGGATTATAGGTGTCCGCCACCACACCCAGCTAATTTTTGTATTTTTAGTAGAGATGGGGTTTCACCATGTTGGCCAGGCTGGTCTCGAACTCCTGATCTCATGATCCACCCGCCTTGGCCTCTGAAAATGCTCAGGTGATCTGCCCCCCTCAGCCTCCCAAAGTGCTGGGATTACAGGCATGAGCCACTGTGCCCGGCGACTGCATTTCCTGGCAGAACACTCTCAGCTCTTCCACACGGAACTGCAGGATAAAGCAACTCTGATTTTTCCAGAGAGGCACATGGAAATGAGCTTCAGGTGTCTGTGGTTGACTCTGAAGAAAGGGAGTGGAAATGAAGCTCCCCTTACCCTGAGAAGGAGGCCGACAGCCGTCCATGGAGGAGAAGCTGCCTTCCCCCACGGCCACATCTCCCTTCAGGAAGGTGAGCTACTCCAAGTGCCCATGTCCTTCCAAGGGAAGAAACCAGTGGCTCCCACGCATGGGCCCTCATGGGAACCTCACCCCACCCCCGGCATCCCAGCTGTGGTTTCTCCCACCAGACCTCTTTCTGCAGCCCAGGAGAGACACTGACTTGGGAACCTCCAAGGCTTCCACATACTACTGAGGAGGCAGGAAGGGGACAAGGACGCCCTCTCCCCTGGCGTGCAGTGCAGGGGGAACAGGAAATGGCTCCGGCCTTTCTTCCTCTCAGCCTACGCTTTCTGTTTGAAGTCTGTAGTCTGTATCTTTGAGTGACACCAACATTTTAGAACAAAGAGTAAGAAAAAAGTCTGCTTGTGTGGAGAATGTCCAGAATTCTAACCGAGACATTTTCTCTCTGGAAGGCAACAGCCTTGCTTCCAGGTTCCAAACCGGACTCTGTCTACATCCATTTCTTTCCATATTCTGTCCCCGCCAGCAGGAACTTTGTAGGTGTGAAGCTCCGTAGATGCTTAATTAAGAGGCCAAAGAGAGTCTCGAGGGGGTAGTTGGGGCCACACCTGATAGGCAGCCAGCCGATATTTATTTCCTAATCATTGATTGTGTGCCAGGCACTGTGACAGCTGCTTGGGATGGAGTGTGGAGCACCGTGAACAAAATCTCTACCCTTTTAATTGAATGAGGAAGAAAGTTTCCATTACATTGAATATTTGAAGGAGACAGGCAAGATACAGTGGGTGCATGTAAAGAGGATGGGACTTAGCTGGAAGTGGGAGACAGAGGAAGAAAACTTCTCCTCCAAGAGGTGATATGTAAGATAGAACATAAAGGAGTTGGGACTGTGGAATGAAGGGGCAAGTGGAGAGCTAACAGCTCCAAACCGAGGCATCAGCCTAGGTGGAAAGCCTGAGGTGGGAGAATGGGGTGTGTGGCTTGGAGTCAAATGTCCCAGGCATCTAATGGTGATGGGAGGAATGTGGGCATCGGCGTGGAGAACACTGTGGGCAGTGGGAAGTAACTGGCAGCTTCCAGGAAAGGAAAAGACATTATGAGATTTGCATTTTTGAAGGATCGTTCTGGCTTTTGTGGAAAGAACTGAGTAGGCAAGCAGCAGCAATCAATTCAGAGACCATTAGGAAATATTTCAATTGTCCGGATGAGAGATACTGATGATTTGCACCTGGGTGGTGGCAGCGATGGTGGGAAGGACAGGACAATTCATCAGAGACTGAGGAGCTAATATAGTGAAAAGTTGGGGCTTGGCTGCCTGCAGTGGGCATGAGAGAGAGGAGAGTCCAGGACAACCCCTGCTCTCAGGTTTCCCCAGGTTATAAATTGCATCCTGAAATGCTCAACACCAGCTCTTACTGGAAACCAAAGGAGAGCTCTCTGCTTTATGAATGACCCCTAAATTTCAGCCTTGCTGCGGCTCAGTTCAATGATACCATCCGCTGGATTTCAAGTCCACTTAAGCATGAGACTTGGAGGAGGCGGAAGACCAGCAACTCCATCTCTAATATGGGGGACAAGCCAGAGCCCTTTGCAGGCTGCACGCCCTCCCCTGCCACGGGAACTCCTGGTCCGACAGCCAAGCCTTAGTATAGCCTCCTACTCCTGCTAATGCCCTTTCTCAGCATCTCATGATAATAAAAATAGATTTGCGTCATTTCTGTTATGAATATTCTGTCAGGGAAAGGGTGCCATAGGTATTTGTTATTGAACTAAACTGGGGTTCATTTACCCGCTGCAGCAAAGCCAAACACTGGTATCAGGATTGCAGCAAGAGAAAGTGAGGCATTTATTGCAGGGCGCCAAACAAGGAGAATTGGGCAGCTAACTCCCTGAACTCCCTGATGGCTTACAGGTAAGGGTTTTTAAAAGCGAAGAGGCAGAGGTTACAGGCAAAGTCATAAATCAGTGCATGGAGGTTATACACTGATTTGACCTAAAAAGGCTTGACATCTCAAAGAGGGTCAGAGGTGGATTCAAAGATTTTCTGATCTGCAAGTGGTTCAGGAGGCAAAGCTTTGTCTAAAAATTTGAGCTCAGCAGCCTGGGCAACAAAGCAAGACCCTGTCTACACACACACACACACACACATACATATATAAATTGGTGCAACGGCTCACACTCATAATCACAGCTCTCAGGAGGTTGAGGCAGGAGGATTGCTTGAACTCAGGAATTGGAGGCTGCAGTGAGCTATGATCACCACTGCCCTCCAGCCTGGACGATAGAGTGAGACTCTATCTAAGATAAAAAAATAAAATAATAAAATAAACTTGGGATCAGTAGGAAAGAGTGTTAGTTCTGGCCTAGGGTTGTGACCTCCTCCAGGGCCCTGAGGAAGAAATTGACAGTAGTCAGAGTTCAGTCCTCAGTTCCCCCTTATCTGAGGTCTTTGTGCCAGTGGATGCAAAGTCTGCAGGAGACTGGGTGTCTAAACAAAGTCTGCAGGAGACTGGGTGTCTAAACAACCACTCGGGGGCACGTGTTAAGATGCGTTCTTTAATTTCTAGAGGGAACCAAACATCCCATGATTCTAGCTCCTTGGCTGTTCTTTTAACCTACTATTTACCTTCTTGCTTATCAAGTTGCTTACTTACTTCTCAGGGCCAGCTAGGTGCCTAGAATTCCCCTTGAGGAAACCCAGGAGTTTCCTTTGTTTCCATGTTTTTTGGCGATGGCGAGGTGCCTGCTAGGCCTCTAAGAGGGTTCCCTCCTTTGTCTCATTCTCACAGCAATCCACAGCAGCAAAGGCCGGGCACAAGTTTCCTATCAGCCCCTTGGAAGGTGACACTTAATCTTGTGTCCGGAACTTCAAGTTAATGTCATTCAAAGCAGGATGGTGTGACATTAGGAAAAACTGTCTGGGTCGAAATGGTGCCAGGGTATGCCAATGTTTCCACCTTCTGAGAGACCCCTCGTACCACTGCCTGCCTCCTGCATTCCAAACAACACGGGTGACTGCAGGATCCGGGGTCCCCTCCCTTTTCTCTCAAAATAAGGAAACGGAGATCCAAAAAGGTTTAATAGCTCATTCCACCAGTTAGGGAGAATGCTCACTCAGCCTTGGGTTTGTTAGAAGAGTCTTGGTTACTTACAAAGATTTATCTCTTTGTTGTAAAAAACACAGTGGCTTGAAGGATATGAAAATTTATGACATAGGAGGCTGAGTTGGGCTTATCACTTGAGGTCAGGAGTTTGAGATCAGCCTGGCCAAAATGATAAAACCCATCTCTATGAAAAATACAAAAATTAGCCAGGCGTGGTGTTGGGAGCCTGTAGTCCCAGCTACTCGGGAGACTGAGACAGGAGAATCGCTTGAATCCGGGAGGTGGAGGTTGCAGTGAGCCGAGATTGTACCACTGCACTCTAGCCTGGGCAACAGAGTGAGACTCTGCCTCAAAAAAAAAAAAAAAGAAAGAAAGAAAAAAGGATGAAAATTTATCCTTGAGGGGAATTGAGCGATAAGGTGGCCTTCAGGGTTGTTTGATCTGTCAGCTCAACACTGCTGCCGAGGACTTGGGCTTCTCCCAGCTTTCTGCTCTGCTGCTTAGCACATTGGCTTCATCCTGAAGCTGGTTTTCTTCCAGGTTGCAGCATGGTTGCTGGTGGTACCTGAGGCCACCTCCTTTCTCCCTCCTGTCTAGCTGAGTAGGAGAGTAGGGAGAACAGTTCTCAGAGACCCACCAAACCTCTCCTTCTATGCCGCGTCCTTCTAGAACTAATCATCGGCAGGAAGGTTGGGCTCACTCTGATGGGCTGAGACTAATCAGGGCTGGAGGTGGGAATGGGTCACCTTCCCTTGAGACACAGGGCTGTGTGTGAGGAGATGACACCTGCATGAAATCAAGCGGTTATTTTAGGAAACAGCAAAGGAGCAAGAGATTCTGGGTGACCATCCCAGGGCCCAGTACAAGCTCTGACTGTGATGGACACTACAGGGCTACAGAAAAATATTGTTTTATTTACTTTTTAAACACTTTATCATGGAAATTTTCAAACATATAAAAAGTGGACAAAATAGCATAACAGATCATCCTGTACACATAATCCAGTCTCAATAATTATCAACTCAGAGCCTATTTTTTAAATCAATTTTCCTGCCCACGTTCCTCTCCAATGTATTAAAATCTCAGATATCAGCCAGGCACAGTGGCTCAGGCCTATAATCCCAGAACTTCGGGAGGCCAAGGCAGGCAGATTTCTTGAGCCCAGGAGTTCAAGCCCAGCCTGGGCAACATGGCAAAACCCCATGTCTACAAACAAACAAAAATTGGCTGGGCATGGTGACACACACCTGTAGTCCCAGCTACTTTGGAGGCTGAGGTGAGAGGTTTGCTGCTTGACTCTAGGAGGTCCAGGCTATAGTGAGCCAAGATCGTACCACTGCACTCCAGCCTGGGTGTCAGAGTAAGACTCTGTCTCAAAACAAAACAAACATCCCAGACATCATATCATTTCAGCATGTAACTTTATTTCATGCATGTAACTTTAAAAGACAAATTATTTCAGCATGTAACTTTAAAAGACAAAGACTCTTTTTAAGACAAAATCATAGCTCACCTAAAAAGTGATTAATCAAAACTAATTAAAAGTAATTTCTTAACATCTTCAAATTATGTAGTCAGTGTTCAAATTTCCAACTTTCTTATATGTGACAAAATTTCTTTCTGCAATGCATTCAAGGGTAAGTTCTTAGAGATCAGTCTTGTCCTTATCTTTCAAAATAAGGAAATAGAGATCCAAAAAGGTTTGATAGCTTACCCCAAGGCCATTAGATTTATTTTAATTGATCATTTTATCCTGCCTTTTTTCTTGATGTATTTGAGGCAGATCATCACGCAGTGGAAGACCCAAAAATTCATTCATTCATTTAGCAAATGTGGTTTGAGCATCAGCTCTGTGCTTAATTCGGCCAGTGTGGTCACAGCACTGGGATCTGTAATCAGAAGACGTAAGCTTCTACTCACAGGGCTTCTGCCTATGACATTAGGCAAGTCTCCCCTGTCCATCTGTCTTGGTGCCTGAAATCCCCATGAGAGTCACTCTTTTGAGTTAGGGAGTTGTGGGAGGCCCCCCTTATGAATGTACACACATATTACTTTACTGGATAGTTGTTCTTTCGGGATGCCGACATTGAACACTCGTCCTATTTTGGAGAAATCCTAGAATAGGTGGTGGGGATGGGGCAGTGGGGGAGAAAGGGCTCCTCCCTCACTACAGAAACAAATGGATGCATGGTCTTTTCCCATTCCAGGCAGCTAGAGAGGGACGCTGGGTCTGGGGCTTGCAATCAAGTGCCGCAGCCCGAATCATCAAGCTTGAAGGAGTGACACAAAGGCCTGGGGCCACTGAAGATGACCCACGGGTGCCTCTGCCAAGGCCAGTCCAGGGCAGTTGTGTTGAGTGTCCAGAGCCACCAGGGTGGCACCAAGATGATGGTCCCCCAGGAGCCACCTCTGCTCAGCCTGGCCTTGTCTGCTTCCACAGCAACGTGGTTCCTTCCCATCCGTCCATGCTGTGAGCTGCCTGTCCTTCCAGTAAGTGACATTTCTGCTTAAATTGCCTAGTCACTTCCTGCAGTTGGCAACCAACATCTCTGACTAAAGGAGTCCATTGAGAACAACAATCTAGTAACATGATAGGTGTTTTCCAACATTGTTCTGATTGGCTTATCAAGTTCAATAGTTGTCATCTATTAAGAAATAAAATAGAACCCAAGGCAAGGCACTTGACACTGCTGGGGACATGAGAGGTTCAGAGCTGTGGAGACCCATGGCCAGGACCTGGAAGTCTAGTGTGCTACCCTAGAATGCTGGGGGACCAGGCGTGTGGGGGAACCTTCACCTCCTTTCCAAATTTGCTGAGGGATGACCCTGAAGAACGGGCCAGTGTGGAACAAGGATTTATGCCAGTGCCCAGCACTGTGCCTGGAAGGAGGAGACACATGGTTCCCTAGAGCCCCAGACAGAGCAACCTGCTCTACCCACTCCAACCCATTCATTCTCTGCTGGACCCACAGCAGAGTCCCCTGGGGACAGAGATCGGTAGGATGATCTTGGGGATTATACTATAGATGGCTGCCGGGAATGGTGTTTCCTTCTGGATCCGAGGGAGCTTGGAGCTGTACCTGCTTTCCTTAGGGTGTATGAGTGGGCAGTATCTAGCCAGGGCCTGGGCTCAGCTCCCACAGGAAGCAGCTCCACACCCCCCAGGCAGTTCTACCAGTCCCCTTGCTGGGGTGTCTGTTAGCCTGGACTTGGGACCACAGCTCAGGGATATGGCTCCAAATGCCATAACCCTGGCTTCTCCCATGTGCTCATCCACTTCTAAGCCACATGAAGCAAGACCATCAGCTGGCTGAGCAGAACACCCACTGCCCTTCCAGCCTCAGGCAGGAAGTTGCTTAATGAACTCCTAAATAGTTACCCACAATAACCAGATTTCCTACACAGAGTCTGTGGTTTCCTGCCCTCCAGAAGGTGCTCCCAGCCCTCCTCCCCCATGTTCCTCACTGCCCATGAGTCTTCCTGGGCTCAGGTGCACCCCTCCTTCCCTCAACCTCCCATCTCCTCATTCTTGCGCTACTTCCTCACTCTTTGCTCTTATTTTCTTCCTAACCTGTGCCCTTATTGTTTGTCTGTTTTCTGAAAATATTTCCACTCTCAAGGGATTTTGTGGCTATCCCTGGATCTCCTTGCTGTTGCACTAATAGCTCAGAGGGCATACCCATCTTTAGCCCTAACCCCAATTTCTCCCAGATCCAGTGATGTTATAGTTGAATGACATCCCCTTAAAAAGATATGTTGACATCCTAATCCCTGGTACCTCAAAGTGTGGTGTTATTTGTAAACTTGCAGACATAGTTAAGAAGTTGTACTGGAGTACGGTGGGCCCCTGATCCAATGCTACTAGTGTCCTTCTAAGAAGACAGCCATGTGAGGACACAGGCAGCTGAATAAATGAATGACTGCCTACATGGAGGAGCTAAAACTCCTCCATGCTGGCAGGGGCAAGAGAGGGAGTGGCAGGACTGGAAACAGTGAATACAGTGGCCAAGTGACAGAGAATGAAAAAAAGCTAATTTTTCATTTGTCTAATGAATCCAAGTGAGAGCTATAGTGAACGCAAGGCCTCCCTGGGTTCTTTTCCATCTTGTGATCGCCATTTCTCTGCTGCTAGAGGACATCAAATCCTTCGCTCTCAACTTGGCACAACCAGGTGAGCCCACCCAGGTGGTTGCCATCCAGCACTCCGGCCTGGCGTCTCCAAGGTCGACCCTAGCCAGCACAACCAATGCATCTGATGGTTCCAGACCCGAACAAGGAGGCTGAACATGAGCCTTGGGAGGCGGAGGTGGGGCGGGGCGTGGGGTTCATGTGCTGCATGTTTGGAGGCTGAAGTGCTCTCCCTCACACTCTGGGCCTGAGTGCTGCACTCACAGTGAAGCTTTACCATTTATGAGGCTCCTGCTACTGCAAGGTATGGCCAAGACTCATCCGTAGACACACATTAGCAACTCTAAGGCAGAAATCAGTGCCATGGAACTGGGCAGTGGGCCACTGGAATTCAGAGAAAGAAGACGTCAGTACTGTGGAGGGCATGGTGGGTAGATGTCAAGAGACCCAGAAGTAGCCCTTGAAGGGAGAGTGGCCCTAGAATCCCCCTCTCTAGAATCCCCCTCCCTAGAAGCCACCTCCCTAGAAGCTCCCTCCCTAGAAGCCCCCTTTCTTCAAGGGCAGCTTCTTGAGTGGCAGGCATTTCATGGGAGGACAGCAAAGACATGGGTGTGGGGATAAGTTTAGAAGACAGTCAGCCCCTGGCTGTACATGAGCAAACAAATAGCTCCAGGACAGACAATGCCAAGGTGGATGGTATCTGGACCTTCCCACCCAGGAACAAATGTGTCCTTGATGCCAAGAGATGCAGAAGGGCTGCTTTCTGAGTTAAAGAGGGAAGCATTGGCCTTTTTTCTATTTGGATGAATAACATCCTGATCGTTTTGGTAACTTCAAATAAAATATAAAGGCAGAAATAATATAGCATCAGCCAAGTTATTATTAAAAAATAACAGAATGCAGTCATTGGCAGTGTTGGACCAGAAATACAATCCCCCTGAGGAGCTGACATTATCCATGGGCTGGTAGAGGGGCCTCTCACTTGCTCTCTGGCTGGTGTGTCTTTGCTTCTCCACTGGCATCTGCAGGCTGGGGGGCTATTCAGGTGGCTGACCCATAGGGACCCTACTGAGTGCTTGCCTATTGGGAAATGCGCAGTGAACATTTAATGAAGGGAGTGGGATGGGGGAAGAGAAGAGACAGCGTGTGAATTATCTTCTGACAGTGTTAATATGGAATCAATTTCTAAGAAGAGATGAGCATTTACCACCAAGGTTAACATGATGGAATATGTGGATACAAGCCTTCAAGACTTTTAAACCAACGGTGTTCATGGTAGGCAATTGCTTTTCTTTATAATGAGAATTGTAGGCAAATGATAACATGCTGTAGAAGTTATTAATTGATGTTTTAAAAGTTACCCCATGGCAGAAAATTAGAGAAAATGCGTTGCTGGCTTAAGCTTCTTCTCCTGAAGATCATCAGGATCTTGTCCAACGAAGTGCCTTCATTATGTCACATTTAACTCATCCATCTTCATTTTCAACTCAACTGGTTCAGCTGCTGTGTATCTCTGGGTCCCTTCAGCCTTCTCCCAGGACAAGCACCATTTAGATGCTCACTTGATCATTAGATGTTTAATGGCTGGGACGTTTGCCACTTCTTGGCAGTCTCAGGGCCCTCTTGTGTTAGGAAGTGGGCCAAATGCATCTAAATGGGGAGTGAGGTGAGATAGAGGGGCTTTTGTGCTAACTTCTGTCTGAAAGATGTGCGTAGACTGCTTAGTGTGGAATCTGTCACAGAGCAGCAATGGGAATGATTTTGGCCCATCTGTCCCCGTCAGTCCATCAGTGATCTTTTGCCCCAGGCAAGGAAGTCATGGGAGATAGGGCTCTTTGCCACCTTCAGGGCCCAATTCCCGCCAGCCTCTCAGTGTGAGCACTCCACATACTAATATGATTCTTGGGCTTAACAACAATACATTTTTTATACAATATGGCTCTTAGATGCAAGCCAACTACACATCCGGTGCTTGACCAAAGCGGTGATCTATCCTCACTCAGCCAGAAGAAAAAAGTGGACTCTGTGTCGGACATTTTGACAGATGGTGCCTTGGTCTCCAATGTGGCACACAAATACCAACCCTGTGGGCTGAATTCAGGTGTTTTTTTGTTGCTTGTTTTGTTTTGTTTTTTGAGAAGGAGTCTTGCTCTGTTGCCAGGCTGCAGTAAGGTGGCGCGATCTTGGCTTACTGCAACCTCCACCTCCTGGGTTCAAGCGATTCTCCTGCCTCAGCTTCCCAAGTAGCTGGGACTACAGGTGCGTGCCACCACGCCCAGCTAATTTTTGTATTTTTAGTAAAGACTGGTTTCACCATGTTGGCCAGGATGGTCTCAATCTCTTGACCTCGTGATCCGCCTGCCTTGGCCTCCAGAAATTTGGACCTCATGCAATTTTCATCTTAGGAGCAACCCCTAGTTCAGACATGATGGCCCTGAGGGCGACACTCTAATTAGTCCTAGGTTACTCAGGCTACCATCACTGAGTCAGCCCCTCACAGCCCTGTGCCCCCATGCTAGTGAACTGCAATTCTCCAAACGCACCTCTATTCTGCATTCCATCTGAAGTAACTGCAGGCCCGGGGAGGAGGGCATGACATGAGGAAGGGGTGATGGAGCAGACTTTACTGGGAAAAAGGCACTAAGTCTTGCCTTGCTCATCCTTGAGCCCTGGAAGAAGGCAGGCCTGGGTTTGCCTCTTTCCACTTGGAACAGGCTTAAAAATTCCAGCTGAGTGAGTCTTGGAGCGCAGGCCAGAGGCCTGAGGTAGGGACACTGACAGGGCTACCCTGCCTCAGCTGGAGGGGACCCCGGGGACTGTCCCTTATCTTTCCTCTGTGATGGGTCTCAGTTAAAGCCAGCAGTGGTAGGCAAATGAGTGCTAAGCCCAGCTTTCACCTTCTCATAGCAGCGGTCTTCAAACTTGGGTCAAGTACACCTGAGGGTGTACAGACCTTTCAGGAGGAAAAATATCCATGAGTGATTTAGAGGAAATCCACGTCCACAGTCTTAATATCCAAAGCACCGATTTCTAAAATCGTCTCATGGAACTTCCCATGCCCCGCTCACCCATCGTGATCGCAACATGAAGCCTTACTCTGGGGTGTAAAAACTTCCTTGGACCAAAAGAGGGGAGAAGCACTTTGGGAGGCCGAGGCGGGTGGATCATGAGGTCAGGAGATCGAGACCATCCTGGCTAACAAGGTGAAACCCCGTCTCTACTAAAAATACAAAAAATTAGCCGGGCGCGGTGGCGGGCGCCTGTAGTCCCAGCTACTCGGGAGGCTGAGGCAGGAGAATGGCGTGAACCCGGGAAGCGGAGCTTGCGGTGAGCCGAGATTGCGCCACTGCAGTCCGCAGTCCGGCCTGGGCGACAGAGCGAGACTCCGTCTCAAAAAAAAAAAAAAAAAAAGAGGGGAGATCGATCAATTGGTTTCTGGGGGCTTCTTTAATGATTCATCAAGGCATCTTCCATCCTCAGGGCGTGCCGTCTTTCCCTGTCTTATGTATATTTCTGTCAAGGGTGAAGCGTGGCCCACATTGAGGTGCTCTAAATTTAGAACAGCTAAGGCAGTATAGGTTAAAGAATTTTAAAATGATTTCTTTCAGATTCAGTCTGCATTATTCAGTAATTAAAACTTACTTTATCAAACCAGCTCATGAAATACTATTCCAATTATAGTTAGTCCTCATCTTATTTCATCTTATGAAATGTTTAATCTTTTATAACTCCTAACAAAAATAAACTTTTAAACTAAGGAGGAAGCATTTAGATGTCAAATTTAATTTCTGCAAAGAGATATACAGTTGTTTAAAACTGTTTTAGGGAGCGCATGTGCAAAAATGTTTGGAGACCATGACCCCAGGGATCTCATGCTCCCTGCCCCCGTATCCCACATGTGCAAGCTCCTCCCAGCCCCTCAGCTGCAAACATAAAGGATGTAGTCACTAGCCACAGATGGCAATTAACATTTAAATTAAGTTAAAAATTTAATTCCTTAATTGTACTAGCCACATTTCAAGTGCTAAGTAGGCATGTGAGGCTAGTGTCTGCTGTATTGGACAGGTCAGATGCACAATAGTTCCATTGTCACAGAAAGTTCTCTTGGACAGCCCTGGTCTAAACTATCCTGGGAACTGACATGGCCAGGAGAAGCTGTGACATCATCAAACACATTTGATCATTTAATATTTTTAGAAAGGCAGTTCAAGCCCATGATGAAAAATTCAAAAGATACAAAATGGTCTATAGGGCAAAGTCTCTTCCTGCTCTGGCCTTCGGTCACCTGGTTTCTCCCGGTACCAGCTTCTTGGGATTCCCTCCAAAGATATTCTACTTAAGCTCATGACAATACTGTACAGTATTTATGTTTCTGATATCGCCATGAAATTCTGTATTTTCTATATACAACAATGAAAATTATTGGCTGTGCGCAGTGGCTCACACCTGTAATCCCAATACTTTGGGAAGCCTAGGCGAGCAGATCACTTGAGGCCAGGAGTTTCAGACCACCCTGGGTAACATGGTGAAACCCCATCTCTACTAAAAATACACACACACACACAAAAATTAGCTGGGTGTGGTTGCGCATACCTGTAATTCCAGCAACCAGAGAGGCTGTGGCACAAGAATCGCCTGATCCCAGGAGGCGGAGGTTGCAGTGAACTGAGATCATGCCACTGCACACCAGCCTGGGCAAGAGAGTGAGACATTGTGTCAAAAAAGAAAAAAAAAGGAAAATTCTTTGAAAAAGTTTGGACTATTTTTCAACACAATTTTAGTATTATCTCACATAAGTTGTCTCTGTGGCAGCTTTAAAACATGGCCATAAATCTTCCTGAACATTCCTTCCATAGAGAGGATAGCTTTGTGCTTTTTTCCCCATGATCTGGGTGAGGTTTTGACTGCTTCCATCATTGCAACAGGGGAGAAGCAACCCTATGTGACTTCCAGGTAAGGTCATAAAAGGCCGTGAGACCTCCACCCTGTCTCAGGAATACTCACTCTTGGAGTCCTGAACTGCGGCGTGAGAAGTCCCACTCCCCTAGCCTGACCACACTGGAGAGGCCACACACATGCACAGGTGACACTCCCAGCAGAGCTGTTCATTGGCGGTAGCTGGATTTGGGGGTGAAGAAGCAGTCTTGAATGGTTACCTGTGACTCAAGAGAGGACTTTTGCAATTTGATTGGAAAGCTTAGCAAAAACTTAGTAATTAATATTTGGAAGACTAAGCAATGAAAAAATGAGGTAATTAGTAATTCCAAGAAAACCAAAGTTGACCCATAAAAGAATAACAGCCTATATGGTTCAGCTGTGAGTACTTATAGTAATGCTAGCACAGTACATTGATTTAGCCAAAAATGGTGCTGTAACGATGTTGGGAGGGTGGGTGGAGGGGAAATATGCACAAGGAGGGTGCAGGAAGGCAATAAGTGTCTAAAATTGAAGAACCTAAAAATAGCTGTATTATTTGGAAGTACAGATATAAATTACAGAAGAAACAGATGGGCGATACTGAAGCAGGTGTGTGTGCCAATGGGAACGATACAGTAGCAAGGGAGACGCTGATGGGAGGGACTGAATGGATGATAGGAGGCCACTTGGACACAGCTGAGCAGACAGGGAAGGGGCAGAGGAGGCCAGCAAGTGTGGCTGTGCTTGTAGGTTTCTAGGTGGGGAAATGTGAGCATTTCCATCGGACAGCATCTCTTTCCTCAGTGAAACGAGGAGAGTTCATCAGCTGAGACTAAAAAGCAGGGAAGGGCAGTGGGAGTTTTAAGGATAAAAAAGGAATGAAAAAGTACCCTAGAAGAATACGAATGCTGGTTTTAACAGAGAAACACAGCAATATTGCTTAGTAGCTCCAAGTACCCCTTTGAGGTCTGCGATGAACTGAAAGTGAAAGCAGCCTGCTTGCTTGACTTTTCCATAGTAATGTCGAGCTGCTTGAGTGGAGAGATACATGGGTGGGCTCACTTAGTATTTTGTAGGAGACTCCGTGGAAAGGCAAGGGGATTCTGAGGATGAGAGTTTTGGAAGGAAGTTGTTTATGGTGATGAACCATAAGCCCTAAGCTGGACACGAGGAGTGAACAGAAAGGTGACTGACAAATTGTAAAAGGCGGTGGAGCCAACAGAAAAGAGATCTCAACAGAGTTGAAGAATTGTCACAGTAGACGCTCAAGTATGTGTCAAGGACAGAAAGCTTATGAGAGAGTGGGGCTTTGGGCTTGCAGCAGCAGAACAGTTTCTGGTGGTGACAAGGTTCAGGCTATGACCTTGAGGTGGAGTGGAGGGAGAAAACGTCATTCGAGATGAGAAGGTCCAGGAAACTGAGAAGCCAGGCTGCTAGATGGGACATTGTATGGTTACTTTAATGAGATTGTCAAGAAAGGCTATGCAGAGAAAAAGATGGGGAGCCAGGAGGTGCAGTCCAGTGAATGAGTGAATGGATCACATGGAAGAAAAGAAAAGACATGTGATCGCGTGGTATAGTCAGGAAGCCAGAGCTTTTAATGGGTAGGACATTTTGTAAAAGGTAACAGAGGTTAAGTTCCAGGAGCAACAGTAGAGAACAAGCAGGCACCAACACTCCTTCCAGGCCCTAAGGTTTGTAAGATATCAGACTGTAAGATATCAGACAGGCTCTGCCAGAAACAGCTGTGTGAATGTTGTACTCTTGGGACCAGCCAGGCTCCAATTAAGGCAAGGAAGAAAGAGGGAGGCTCTGATGTAGGCTGAGGACAGGCAAAATTGAGAGTCAAGGATTGGGGCTTCCAGAAGGCACAGTGGAAATGTTAGGGAGGAAATGAAGAGAATGGGTGGGAAACTGGATCAAATCAGGTGACGAGCACAGCAGGAAGGGGATGCAAGTCCAGGTGATAGTGGATGACTGGAGAGGTCTGCTCCTCTGGGGATAGCAGAGGAAAATGAACATCAGCTCTTGCCACTCCCCTGCTTAGAATCTTCTGATGGCTTCCATCACACTTCGAGTATAACTGAACTCCTTACAAGGACCCACAACGCTCTCCATCAGTGGTTCTCCAAGTGTGGTCCTTGGACTTGCAGCATCACCATCACCTGGACCTTGTCAGAAATGCAAATTCTTGGGCCCCACCCCAGAGCTACTGCGTTAGAAACTCTGGGGTAGGACCCAACAAGCTATGTTTTAACAAGCCCTCCTCCAAGTGATTCTGATGCATACTAAATCTGAGACTCTTTGGTGCACATAATCTGGCCCTTCTCTAGCTCTCTGACCTCAGAATTTCTTAATTTGCTGAGCGTTAGCCACACTCGTCTCCTTTCTCTCTGTTCTCAAGCTCATACTCTCCCTGGGGCCTTTGCTGTCACTGTGTCATCTGCTTGGAATGTTCCTGCCCCAGGCTACCATGTGGCTGCTCTTTCTCCCCAGGCAGGTCTCTATTCAGACTGATACCGCCTGACCATTTCATCTCACCCTTGACTCCCATTCATTTTCTAATCCATTACCCTCTTACTTCTTCAGGCACTTGCCACTTCCTGAAATCTTTACTTTTAAATGCGTTTATGTCTGTCTTCCCCACTAGAATGTAAGCTGTATGAGAATCGAGACCTTACCTGCCTTTTTAACCACTGTGACCCCAATATCTAGAACAGCAGGGTGTCTAGTGGGGTATCTGATAATTGTTAATAAATGAATGAGACATGATGGAATGAATGTTGATATTTCTTAGGCTTTGTGCATATAAATGGCTTGAGGCTCTGTTCAAATGCAGATTCTGCTTTGGGAGGTCCGGGGTGGGCCCTCAGATCTTGCATTTCTAACAAGTTCTCAGTGGTACCTGGCTTCTGGCTCACAGAGTTCACTCTGGCTAAGTTTTACAGTGAGCCCTTGGATCTGTCTCTTGTGGTCTCAAATACTTGATAGTTTGGTGGTTTCCAGACAATATCCTGAACATGCAGTTACATCTGTGATGATTCTATTTGAAACACCTTCCAGCCAGGAACAATAGCAGTTTTCCTAAACCAGCTCTCCTTGGGGAGATATGATGTTTGGGCTGTTTCCAGAGTACAGGGTAAGGAAAAGGAGCTTACTAAGGAGGCTACTGCTTTAAAGGAGGCCAAGTTTTGCTGAGAACAACTCAGCAGAAACCAACTTCCAAGTTTCCAGATTAATAAAGAAAAGAGAGCCTAGATAATTACAATCTGTGGCTAATCTGCTAACTCTAAAGTAAGGAATAGCTAAAATCTGTTTCCATCCAAATTGTTTTCTAGGAAAGCCAACAAGAAACAGCTGAGTGTCCAAAACACATTTTTGTCTCTTCTTCTCTTCCCTGCCCAGACACCATGGGTTGGCAATTAGTTAGATATCAAAACAAGAAAATATTGGGGGCTATATCATCTTAAAACTTGGTTAAAAAATACTCTAATTGAAAACTATGACCATCAGATATGCCTTTCTCATAATGTATTCTTAACGGGTGATAACATGCACTAAAGAGCTCTTTGACAAAAAATATTTTGGAAATCGCTGGCCTAAATGTACACCAGTCAGAGCTCCTGACTGCAGGACTTCTCAGAGCCATGAATTTGCTAACCTACTTATGACTCTCTGAGGACTTTCAGTACACAACATTTCCCAAACTTATTGGACTGCAGAATTTTCTAAGAGTATCATGAAGAACCAGTGTTTCATGGAGCAAACCTTTAGAAGCTTGTGGAATGAGGTTGGCCTCCACTGAGGCTTTGCTTAAAAGAAGAAGGCCAAGGAGAGATGGGAAATAAGACCAAGGAAAGAGGTAAAAGTATGTGGCTCGTCTCCAGGCCCCTCACTCAGCCTTTTGCCTGCCAGGGATTTCGCAACTTCAATATCTCACCTGTCCCAGCCTTTCCAAACGATGTTCTCTTAATCCCTCTCTTCTTCATTCCCCCATATTCCTGTCTCTCGGAGCCCTGATGAAGAACTAAAGGAATCAACCATTGTTGTGAGTTAATTTGATACCCCTGCCAAAGGTGTTAGTATTTTAAAGAGGATTTATGGAGAGGACCTATCTGACCCAAAAGGAATGGTTCTGCATGGGACTCTCTGGCTGGTGGGAGTGGGTTTTGTTTCAAGAATGTGCCTACACTTACTGAGGGACGTCTTCTTCCTGATCCTGGAATTAAGGGGCAGGAGTCTTGGCTGATAAAGAAATGGCTCTTATCTCGATCTGTTTTATTCTGTGGAGTTTGATGGGAAGACCTGGGATACTATTGCTGCCCTGCAAGCCTTCAACCAGTTCTCTTTCAATAGGGTGTCTGGGAAATACCAGCTACAGTTCCAAGTAATATTTTACAAGTAGAACATAGTTTTCAGCATTTTGGGGTAATGATCAATTTTTTCCACCACACTTTGTTTATGTGATATTTCTGAATCAAATTCCTATTTTTCTTCCTCTAAACTGTACTCACTTTGACCTTGTAACTGTATTTCTCACCAAGTATATAATCAACAGCAGTACAGAAAGTGAAGATACAAGTGTAGATGAATACTAGATGAACTGTTTCGCATTTATTTCCCACAACTTGGATGAAATATAACCTGGAAATTTTTTTGGCTTGGGGTTTTTGGTTTGCTGCAGCACAATCATAGCTCATGGCAGCCTCAAACTACTTGACTGAAGCGATCCTCCTATCTCAGCATCCTGAGTAGCTGGGACTACAGTCATGTGACACCACTCCTGGCTAATCTTTCTTTTTTTTTTTTTTGGTAGAGGTAGGGTCTCACTATGTTGGCCAGGCTGATCTCAAATTCCTAGCCTCAAGTGGTCCTCCCATCTCAGCATCCCAAAGTGCTGGGATTACAAGCGTAAACCACTGTGCCCAGCCGGTTTTAAAAACAATATATAAGCACTTCAAGGAAAATGACCAAGATCTTATTCCCATTTCATTCCCCAGTGCTGAGTGCCTGGCATGTAACAGCTCTCATGGTTGTTTGCTGATGTGAATATCCTAGTTGTGTTACACAGAATTGTTTTTGTTTCACCTTATTTCTATTGTTACCTTATTGCTATTATTTCAGACCCTCTCCCCGTTTAACATGGTGGTTGACTATAAATCTTTACACATTTTGTTTTGCTACTATTTTCAGCCAAGCGTGAACACATATATATCAAGAAAGGTTTTTTCATCAAGATTTTTCAAGTTTTGAAATTATTTTTAAGTTGCTAGGATATTTAAAACAATTTGACCATCTTTGCCTTAAGGCAATGTAGAACCAATCTAAATCTCCATCATTTACTAGGCTTCTAGCCACTGATAACACTCCAACTCAAATGGAAATAAGGGGTATAGAAATGTATTATCTCACGTGACTGGAAGGCTGGGATAGGACCAGCTTCAGGGCTGGTGGAATCACTGGCTCACCAATGGGCTCAAATTGCAGCAGCTGCAGGCATCATACCTGGACATGCCATGTCCAGGGGAAGAAGAGGAAAAGAAGGGCCATCTCTTCCTGTGGCTCTCTCACGGAAGATGGAATTGTCCTAGAAACTCTCTAGATTTCCCTCTGATTTGGCCACATTTTGGACATGTCCATTCTTGGACCACTTGCAAGGGGAACAGGATTACCACAATTGCTTGGAAAAACCAGGAATGACCCCTGGATATGAGGTGGGGTCAGCTTGCCCTGGGGCACAGGCTACCTATGGGTGAGGCAGACACCCATGTCAGACAGGCTTCTGCAGGAAACAGGTGGCTCACGAAAACCGAGTAATGTGAGAAGAGGTTAACAGTGAGACTACAAAAGTATGAGCGGTCTAAGGAAAGCAAAACAAAACAAAACAAAAAAACCACTGCACCTGCAAGGCCAGTAATAACAGGGCATACTGTTACCATCTTACCATCTATATTGGTTTCCTGTGGCCACTATAACAAAATAACACAAATTAGGTGGCTTAAAACAACAGAAATTTATTCTTTCACAGTTCTGGAGGCCAGAAGTCCCCAGAGGCCCCAGTCACACTCCCCCTGGAGGCCTGAGGAGAGAATCACTCTTTGCCTCCCCAGCCTCATGCGGCTGTGGGCACTCCTTGGCTTGTGGCTGCATCGCTCCAATCTCTGCCTCCTCACATTGTCTCCTTCTTTGCTGTATGTCAAATCTCCCTCTGCTTCTCTTTTATAAGGACACTTATTGGATTTAGAGCCCACCCAGATGATCCAGAATAATCTCTTCATCTCAAAATCCTTAATTTAATTACATTGACAGAGACCTTTTTCTGAAAAAGGTCACATTCACAGGTTCTAGGGGTTAGGGTGTTGACATGATTGGGGGGTGAACCACCACTCAGCCCATTACACCACCCCAAGGCTGGCAAAGGAAGGCGAGGGTACCAGAGACAAAGACAACTGTGTGAAGAGAAGCATCCGAGGGAGACGTGGCCTTTTGAAGAGGGTCGCAGCTGGCCTGCTGGGAGGAAGCCCGAGGAATCAACACCCAGCATCACGTTCCCAACTCCCTTTGATCTCCTGCTGGTGTTCCCTACTAGCCAAACCCAGCCAAGGCTTTTGATGTTGTCCATAAAGGTCAGCCTCCCTCCAGGACATAAAGTGGGAAAGAGGGAAGTGGAGAGTGGGTCTGGAGGGGTGCATGGAAGTTGCAGAGCACAGCAAAGGAGAGAATTGAAGGAAGGAAGAAGGGGGAATGGATGCTGGCAGGCCAGTAACAGAGCCCACCCAACCCCTTCTCATTTACCGACAGCTCCCTGACTCTTTGGCCTTTAAATGGAAGTACCAGTTTAAATAGAGCTAATGCTACCATTTAAATAAACAATTATTGTCCTCTGTTTACAAAAGCAAAGCATGTTGATTACAGAAAGTTTGGAACACAGAGAAAAACATGAAGAAAACAAATGTTACCCACAATGCTGCTACACAGAGATAACCAGTGCTGATAACTAGTACCTTCCCAGGCCAGCGGTGGAAGTGGATGTATTCAGCAAAATAACTGGACTCCGTATCTGTACCTGCTGTTTCTAGTGTTGGTAATGCTAGCTTTTTTTTTTTTCAGTTACAAATATATAATGAAGGCTGGGTGCGGTGACTCATGCCTGTAATCCCAGCACTTTGGGAGGCTGAGGCAGGTGGATTGCTTGAGCCCAGGAGTCCAAGACCAGCCTGGGCAACATGGCAAAACCCCATTTCCAGCAAAAATACCAAAAATTAGCTGGGCATGCTGGTGCATACCTGTGGTCCTAGCTACTCAGGAGGCTGAAGTGGGAGGATCACTTGAGCCTGGAAGGTGGAGGTTGCAGTTAGCCAAGATCGTGCCACTGCACTCCAACTTGGGTGACAGATTGAGACCCCATCTCAAAAAAAAAAAGAAACAAATATATAATAATTTCCCCATATAAATATTCTTAAAGAATAGCATGATTTTTAATGACTACATAGTATTCTATTACATGGCTATACTATGCTTGTCTGGGGCTTCAGGTTTGAAGTCACCTGGGCCCCACCATACCCCTGATCCCTGGAGAGGTCAAGCTGTCAGTCTTTCCATAGGCCCTGTTGGATGCCTGGCCGAGCAGCTTGAAATCCAGTCCAGCCCATCAGGGTTGGCTTCCTCTCCAAAATAGCCAGGAGCAGATACCTGGGCTTGGGCTGGTCTAACCCATCAGCTTTGAGCTTCCTTTTCTTCCTTTCTCGAGCCTGCCCTCCTCCCCCTGAAGTGCTTCTCCAGGGATTCTGGTGCATCTCACTGCCTTCTGACTGAAGAGCACCCTACCTGTGGCATCCCTTAACTGAGTGTATCACGATGAACTTGGGGCCTCCCCATTTATCACCACACCTCTACCCACCATCACTACCTCCTCTGTCCCTGCCTTGCTAGCTTGTACCTTGCAGAAGCTTCCAAATGTGCATCCTATATTAAGATGTTCTTAGCTTAACGTTATCCTCTCCCTGGGTTTTTGCAGCTGTAAGGAACTATTTCTTCGTATACCAGAAGAATAAGTCTCAGGAGTTTGGAGGAGAAACAAAACACCTATGTTCTTCTGTTCTGGTGAAGTCCTAGACTCTGTGTACTGAGACCTATCCCAAAGATCATTCCTTAAACTCAGGGGCAGATCTCTTGCTTGAGACCGGCCAAGGGATGGGAGTGACTTTTCAGGTCTCTCCACAGGCAGCCTCAGCCTTTTTCTTCCACTCTTTGTGGAGATGCCCAGGACTGTAGTGCAGCCCTGACTGGCACCAACAGCACTGGCTGTGTTCCCAAAACTGTCCCCAGCCACCTAATACATGGTGCAAGTTTCAGAGCCTTTTCTTCCCAGAAAATCTGTGCTAACTCAGGATCCTGAACAGCTGGGAGTGATTAAGCAGGAATCGAAGGGGCAGCATCTCGGGGAGGCAGGGCTTCAAGCTGGCCCTTGGCCTCCAGGAGTTGATGAATCTGTCTCCAGGCTGAGATAAGGGCCCCAGCTGGATGTTAACATATGCTCTGAGCAATGCTGGGCAGGGGAGAGGCAGCCCAGCCTCTAGGACCAGGGCGGCTGTGGGTGGCCCTGAAGGGACTGAGCAACTGGCCCTGACGTTCCCCTTCATGCCTTGGACACTTGTCCTTCTACTGGAATCTAGTCCGTTGCCTTGACTTAGAAACCTCACCAGACCTCTCAGGAGGTCAAGAGAAAGCGGGCCCCAGGACAGGCTCCTAGCAAAATCAGGGCTGGTCAAGAGGTCTCAGAGCTCGTGCTTCAGGCCACCAGCCAAGCTGCAAAGCCTTTTTCCCAGGGCATCTGTGAGAATTCAGGAGACAGGTAAGCCTTCGTAGGCCTGTTTGTGTTCCTAAGGAAACAAGATAATTTCTTGACTCAATTGTAGTTCCCTCACAGCCTGATTGGATAGCTATTATATTAATAGTTCCAACCTCTCTCTCTGGAATAGCCCCGCTGGAGCCCTCTTCCTGCAGAACCCCTCTACAGCTGCCTCCAATTCCTTCCTCCCTAAGGCTGCCCCAGGCCGGCATCTCTCCAGCAAACCCGCCCCGTAGCCTGCTCCCTCCCAGGCACGAGGCTACTGTATGGGAGGTTCTTTTCACAGCGCCTGGCTTGAGTAAAGATGGTCGAAGGTTCTTTTTCCCCCAGCTAGGGCTCCTTGAAGCCCCTTAAACTGTGGAAGGACTTCCAACGGCGGAGGGCATCTCCTCCTCTGTGTTCCTCAGAGGGAAAACCTGGGAGCGCCAAGAATGTGCTGGGACAGACCAGACTTCCTGCCTCAGGTGCCCTCTGACCTCCGGTAATTACAGCTTCGGAAGTGGTCGGCTCCCCATGTAGACATTGGAGATAATGAGCTCCGACTTCCTGGGGCTGCTGGAGGTTTAATTGGTTCATGGTGGCTAAGCGGTTGGCGATCCTGGCCTGGAATTCCGGCGGACGCTGCTCCATCCACAAGGTAAGGGGCAGCCCGAAGTGGGGACCTGGCTGGCTGCCAGCCTCAGCCGCAAGTTGCCTCTTCCCCCACTTCCTCAAGCTGTTCCTAAGTGTCCTGCTACTAGAACCTCTGTCTGGCATGGGTGGTCTATTCCCAGCCTCCTCGTATTGCCCCTTTCCTCACCTGGAATGTCCACTCCATATGTCCTTGTCTGTTGAATTTGAATCATGCCCTGCAGAAATCCCACAGTGCCAGAAGTCCTCACCGTTTATACCAGCCCTACTTGATTTCTCTTCTGTGAAGTCCTATGGACAGGCACTTCTCAAACTCTCATGTGTGGGGGAATCTTACTGAAAGGCAGATCCTGATTCAGAAAGTCTGGGCAGGGGCCTGGGATTCTGCATTTTTGCCAAGCCCTCCATGCTGCCTTTGCTGCTGGTTTGCATGAACACTTAAAGGGGCGGGTCATGGATCTTCCCGTCCCAGTGCCCAGGCCTATTTGTTTGTAGCACAGGCCTTTTCATTTCCCCCAAATGAAAATCAGTATTTCATTCAAATTTATAAGTTTAAGCTTAACATTTATTTGTAAAATCAATTAGACTGTTCAATAGATACAAAAATATGAAATTGAGTGCTATAGATGACAGTAGTCTTTTATCAGCTTCAGCTTCCAAATTTATTTCTGCATTTTATCTCTTAAACCTGGTATGCACAAATAGTTGGAAATACATATATTTTTTAATAACAGCTCATCTAGAAATTTGAGGAGATTCTTCAGAGTAGGTAATCTTGTTAGAAACTGTTCTCCTTTACAATTGCTGTGCCAGCAAGATTTAGTCCAAGTTCTCCACAAAACCATTTAATCTGACAGCAGCATTTAATCCTTTGGTGAGTACAATGTGTTAAAATTTAGTATGTAATCTACGCAAATCAATAAACATAATCCATCATATAAATAGAATCAAAGATAAAAACCACATGATTACCTCAATAGATGCAGAAAAGGCCTTCGACAAAATTCAGCAGCCCTTCATGCTAAAAACTCTCAATAAACTAGGTATTGATGGGATGTATCTTAAAATAATAAGAGCTATTTATGACAAACCTACAGCCAATATCATACTGAATGGGCAAAAACTGGAAGCATTCCCTTTGAAAACTGGCACAAGACAGGGATGCCCTCTCTCACCACTCCTATTCAACATAGTGTTGGAAGTTCTGGCCAGGGCAATCAGGCAGGAGAAAGAAATAAAGGGTATTCAATTAGGAAAAGAGGAAGTCAAATTGTCCCTGTTTGCAGATGACATGATTGTATATCTAGAAAACCCCATTGTCTCAGCCCAAAATCTCCTTAAGCTGATAAGCAAATTCAGCAAAGTCTCAGGATACAAAATCCATGTGCTAAAATCACAAGCATTCTTATACACCAATAACAGACAAACAGAGAGCCAAATCATGAGGGAACTCCCATTCACAATTGCTTCAAAGAGAATAAAATACCTAGGAATCCAACTTACAAGGGATGTGAAGGACCTCTTCAAGGAGAACTACAAACCACTGCTCAACGAAATAAAAGAGGACACAAACAAATGGAAGAACATTCCATGCTCATGGATAGGAAGAATCAATATCATGAAAATGGCCATACTGCCCAAGGTAATTTATAGATTTAATGCCATCCCCATCAAGCTACGACTTTCTTCACAGAATTGGAAAAAACTACTTGAAAGTTCATATGGAACCAAAAAAGAGCCCACATTGCCAAGACAATCCTAAGCCAAAAGAACAAAGCTGGAGGCATCACACTACCTGACTTCAAACTATACTGCAAGTCTACAGTAACCAAAACAGCATGGTACTGGTACCAAAACAGAGATATAGACCAATGGAACAGAACAGAGCCCTCAGAAGTAATACCACACATCTACAACCATCTGATCTTTGACAAACCTGACAAAAGCAATGGGGAAAGGATTCCCTATTTAATAAATGGTGCTGGGAAACTGGCTAGCTGTATGTGGAAAGCAGAAACTGAATCCCTTCCTTACACCTTATACAAAAATTAATTCAAGATGGATTAGAGACTTAAATGTTAGACCTAAAACCATAAAAACCCTAGAAGAAAACCTAGGCAATACCATTCAGGCCATAGGCACGGGCAAGGACTTCATGACTAAAACACCAAAAGCAATGGCAAAAAAAGCCAAAATTGACAAATGGGATCTAATTAAACTAAAGAGCTTCTGCACAGCAAAAGAAACTACCATCAGAGTGAACAGGCAGCCGGCTGGGCACGGTGGCTCACGCTGTAATCCCAGCACTTTGGGAGGCCGAGGAGGGTGGATCACTTGAGGTCAGGAGTTCGAGACCAGCCATGGCTAACATGGTGAAACCCGTTTCTACTAAGAACACAAAAAATTAGCTGGGCATGGTGGTGCATGCCTGTAATCCCAGCTACTCGGGAGGCTGAGGCAGGAGAATCACTTGAACCCAGGAGGCGGAGGTTGCAGTGAGCCAAGATTGTGCCATTGCACTCCAGCTTGGGCAACAAGAGCAAAACTCTGTCTCCAAAACAAAACAAAACAAAACAAAAAAAAAAACGGGCAACCTACAGAATGGGAGAAAATTTTTACAATCTTTCCATCTGACAAAGGGCTAATATCCAGAATCTACAAAGAACTTAAATTTACAAGAAAAAATCAACCCCATCAAAACGTGGGCAAAGGATATGAACAGACGCTTCTCAAAAGAAGACATTTATGCAGCCAACAGACACATGAAAAAATGTTCATCATCACTGGGCATCAGAGAAATGCAAATCAAAACCACAATGAGATAACACCTCACACCAGTTAGAATGGCAATCATTAAAAAGTCAGGAAACAACAGGTGCTGGAGAGGATCTGGAGAAATAGGAACACTTTTACACTGTTGGTGAGATTGTAAAGTAGTTCAACCATTGTGAAAGACAGTGTGGCGATTCCTCAAGGATCTAGAACTAGAAATACCATTTGATCCAGCCATCTCATTACTGGGTATATACCCAAAGGATTATAAATCATGCTGCTATAAAGACACATGCACAAGTATGTTTATTGCGGCACTGTTCACAATAGGAAAGACTTGGAATCAACCCAAATGTCCATCAACGATAGACTGGATTAGGAAAATGTGACACATATACACCATGGAATACTATGCAGCCATAAAATAAGGATGAGTTCATATCCTTTGTAGAGACATGGATGAAGCTGGAAACCATCATTCTGAGCAAACTATCGCAAGGACAGAAAATCAAACACCGCATGTTCTCACTCATAGGTGGGAATTGAACAATGAGAATACTTGGACACAGGGTGGGTAGCATCACACACCAGGGCCTGTTGTGGGGTGGGGGGAGGGGAGAGGGACAGCATTAGGAGATATACGTAATGTAAATGATGAGTTAATGGGTGCAGCACACCAACATGGCACATGTATACATATGTAACAAACCTGCACGTTGTGCACATGTACCCTAGAACTTAAAGTATAATAATAAACAAAGTATGTAATCATTTTAGCTTATCTGTTGTTTTATTACTATTTTTAAATAAAGGGTAGTTTTAAAAATAAAATCAAGTAATTATATTACCCTAGAGCAGCTTTCTCAACCTCTCAAAAAGACTGTTGCCATTTTGGGCTGGATAATTTTTTGTTGTGGGTTCTGTCCTATGCATTGCAGGATGCTCAGCAGCGTCCCTGCCCTGTGCCTAATAGATGCCAGCGGTGCACACCCTCCAAGGTTGTGAGAATGAAAAATGTCCCCAGACATCACCAAATGTCCCCTAGGGGGCAAAATCATCCCACCCTTTGAGAACCGTTACTCTGTAGGAACTAGGATCTGGGGTTTCCAGGGAATGCAGTTTTGAAAATAGTTTACAGCCTTCATTTAGCACTAGGCATATGCATCCCATGTTGCTATGTAGCCCATATAATAACTCTTTATTAGACAGTAAAATTCTTGTAAGCAGGACCATAAGAAAAACTTCACATGAACAGTGACTTGCTCAGTGTGATGCCGGACAAATGTTTGTTGATTGACTGATAGAGATACTAGCATCTGCCCTGGCTGCCTTACCTAGATATTTTGAGAGAAATCTAAGGAAAGCATAAAAATATAATAAATTAAGGTGTTAATAAAACTGCCAATGTGCATTTGTTCATCCACATGTAACAACCTGTTTTCTCCCAACCAGAAATAGGAACAATGTAAAATTCTTTTTTGTTTCCTGAAATTCTCTTTTTCTGATAAAGTAATATCAGCTCTGCCGTTTATTAGTTGTGAGACTTTTAGCACATTACTTAGCCCTTTTGAATCTCAATTTGTGCATCTATAAACCAGACACAATATTCATTTCACTACCATTTTGAGGGTCAAATGCAGTAATATAGGTAAAGTCTTTACCCATCCAAAGAAGTCACAAACGAAGCACTTAGTAAATGTTAGTTGTTTGTTCTGCTTTGGAGTATCTTTATTCTCACTCTAAAGAAGAGAAGAGGTGGCAAAAATAATATAAAATAGCAGAAAAACTAAACTTCTTTTCCATTTAGCTTTGCAAGGAGCCTTTCACTAACTTCACTCCTTCCACTCATATGTACACACACTCCACTACACACAGTCCTTCATCTTCATCCTGCATCCAACGAGAAAGTTATCCTTCCACTTGCACACCCCGTGTCTCCTGAATCACCATGATCCACTCCAATTACCCAAACCAGAAACCAGGGAGTAGTCCCTCCTCCTATCAATAAGTTCTTCAGGCTCCACTGATTTTGCTTCCATACTTGGATTCCTGGATTCCTTCTGCTTTAGCTCAGGTTTCATCTGTCCTGCTTGAGCCACTGCAGTAGGTCCCTAACATTTTTCCCACTGTCTAAGCATAGTCCCTTCAAAACCATTCTACACTGTGTTTCTAAGTGGTATTCCCCTGCTCAACACCCTCTGGTGATTTCTTACAGCTCAGAAAAATCAAGTTAAAGTGCCCAGACAAGACACCTGGTGTGCTGATGGAACCCTCCCTCTCCAGCCTTATCTCCCTCTCCTTGCACTTTAGGCTCAGGTCATACTCTGGTGCCTGTGTGTTCTGGACTCATCACGCTGTGCCTTGTATTTGGACTGCTAGACACATTCTCCCCCCTGAATGTTATATCTGTTCCCTCCCTGCTTGTCTGCTTGGAACCTCTTCTCCATCACTCAGCGGCACTCACATCAAGGCATGCCAGATTATCGGTGGCAGGAATATAGTCGAATGACATGTGTTCCCACCCTTTACCCTAACGTTCCTGAGAATATATGAAGTACTGGGTAAATTATCTTCATATTTACATTAAGAAATATAATCAGGCTGGGCGTGGTGGCTCACGCCTGTAATCCCAACACTTTGGAAGGCCGAGGCAGGTGGATCATCTGAGGTCGGGAGTTTGAGACCAGCCTGGCCAACATGGGGAAACCCCGTCTCTACTAAAAATACAAAAAATTAGCCGGATGTGGTGGTGGGCACCTATAATCCCAGCTATTTGGGAGGCTGAGGCACAAAAATCACTAGAATCCAGAAGGCAGAGATTGCAATGAGCTGAGATCGCACCACTGTACTCCATCTTGGGCAACAGAGCAAGACTCTGTCAAAAAAAAAAAAAAAAAAAAATTCTATATAACATAACAACACAGATAGCACCTATAACACCCGATATTATGTACATGACTGACTTCCTTCAGTGCCATCCATGTCTCCCCCCTGCTGTTAACACTGCATTCACTTCCTGGGCTGACATGTGAAACTTTGGAGTGTTTATCCTCTAAAGTTATGGCCTTTCTCAGAAATCAAGATACTGCCATTTTGGTTCCCGTGAGCCCCTGGGCAATGCGTCTTTTTGGACTGTGTAACTCAGTTCTTCTGCAAGGAGACTCCGACTTGGCATATGGAGGCATGGAGGTGCCTGGGAGACTCCCATCTGCCCAGGGATTTGCCACCCATTTCTCCCCTTCTCTTCACAATTCCAGCCCCATCTTTTCTCTTCTCCCCATTCCCCATCTCTTGGGTTTTGCTTTTTCTTCCACTTTTATCCCTGTTGGGCAAAATGAAAAGATTCCCATCACAGGAAGGGTAAAAGCAGATGTTCTGAAGTTGTCTACTAGCTAAGTCAGCACTTAATATATACCAGAAACTGTGCTAACAGCTTCACACGTGTTAACTCATTCAATCCTCACAAGAAGCTTGCCAGACAGGAACTTGTGTTTCCTCCACTTTTATAGATGAGGAAACCATGACCCAGAGAGGTTAAGTCACTTGCTCAGGGCCCCACAGCTAGAAAGGAGCATAGGCCAAATTTGACCTTGATGTCTGACTGTGGCACCTGCACTGCCATATTCCCACTGAGTCCTGCAACAGTTTTGTAAGCTGTGTCTCAACATCCCACAAAGGTGTCTGCTCCATGGGGCTTCTTGACCACCTCTCCTTCAAAAAAAATAATTTAAGAATAGAGAAAATAAACCAATAGCATTTATTCCTATATGCTGTTTCTGTCCATGCTTTTATTATTGCATGTGCCACAACTCCATGGTAGGACTTTAGAACTATGCCTTTTGGGCCATCTTTCTACCCTAAGAGCTTAGTACACAGAAATTTGTCTGGGTGAAGATATTTTTCTAGAAGCAGCCTAGTCGCAGAGCCATAGTCACCAGCTCATGCTACCACCACAGTGGTCTTGTTTCATCTCTTCTGTAGGTCAGCTGGCCGAAGCCACAGGGCTGAAGCAGATGGCTGAGCCTGCAGATGGTGCAAGGCTTCTGATGGAAGGACCTAGCAATTGAGGTAAAAGTGCAGCAAAACGTTCAAGAAAAATATCTGAGCCCGCGGCAGACCACAGTCATCATTGCCCTCCTGTTAAACCAGAAGGCTTCCAAGCCTGAGAGCAGGCATGTTTGCCTGACCACAGTCTGTCCTCATTGATTAAACAGTTTATAAATGAAAATGAAATAAGAGCTCTCTGCACTGTAGTAGAAAATGTTTCCTGTGAGGCCAGTGCTGCCCAGACCTGGGAGTGTGTGGGAGACAGCAGCATGGGTGTGTGCGAGCGCATCACCTTGGCCGCATGCCGCCCTGCACCACTCCACAGCGTGCCGTGGGGTTACTCAGCGTCACCACATCCTGGCTCGGCTGGTGCCCATAGGTGCAATGTGGCGCTTCCATGGAGCTAGCTTGATCAAAGGAGGCTCCTGGGCCTTCTAAAAACCCCCACACCAGCTCTTGGAAAAGGAGTCATAGAATAATGTCAGGGAGAAAAATGAGTAGGGGCTGGTGACCCCCCCAGAGGGAGTGGAGGGGAGGGTGGAACAGGGTAGGGCTGTGCTCTGCGTGTGCCTGTTCCTGTAACTGAGTTCCAGTCTTGAGGCGTGAAGGCATCTGCTGGAGGAAAGTGGGCTGGATGGCTCTGCCCAGGTAAATGGTCAGGAAAGAGAAAAGGAGAGCCTGGTCATTAGGACATCAACCATGTGGCTAACAGGCCACTGCGTTGATGCGTCTTGTGGCAAACTGTCCCTTTAGTGACCTGAAGATCCTCAGGTGACACAGCAACTTCCATCCTCCAGGTCAGTCCTGGCCCTGTGTGCCCCATAGCCAGGGAACAGCTGAAGTAGCCACTCCTGCAATGCCCACTTGGCTGTCACGATGCCCCACGTTCTGCCCAGGTGAGGCCAGGCTGAGGGTGGAGGGACGGGAGAGGAGAGATCATAACCCGAATCAATGCCGAATCAATGGCAGCCTCCTGTCATCGCATCCTTTTCATAGGGAGTGGGCACCAGAGAAGGCACTGGGTGCAGGGAGGAGGCAGAGGATGCAGCATGCAACCCCACATCTCTGAACCCACTGTGAGATGCGGCCTTTCTCCCCACCTCCCTTTGTAGGATGGTACGATGGTGGGGAAGAAGCAGCTGCAATCCTTCATCTACCTTTTCTTGTTCATTCTTCTTACGCTTTGGGTCCTTCTCCAATTCTGACATTCAAACATGGAGACTTAATACATTTGAGACTGGAGAATCTGGCTAGAATGTACACAGCCACATTCTGGCTTTGTGCTGGGACCGGGACCACAAGGGGACACCATCTGATTCATTCATTGCCTCTTTGGCTTTGTTTCTGGTCTGCTCTCAATGTCTTTTTGGTGACTGACTCATGGATTTTGGTTAGCACACATTTAAAAAGGTGAACATTGATGTATTAGTCCATTCTGACACTGCTATAAAGAACTGCCTAGTGGGGATCTGTGGCTCACACCTGTAATCCCAGCACTTTGGGAGGCCAAGGCAGGCAGATCACGAGATCAAGAGATCAAGACCATCCCGGCCAACATGGTGAAACCCTGTCTCTACTAAAAATACAAAAATTACCTGGGTGTGATGGCGCACAACTATAGTCCCAGCTACTCAGAAGGCTTAGGCAAGAGAACCGCTTGAACTCAGGAGGCGGAAGTTGCAGTGAGCCGAGATCGCACCACTGTACTCCAGCCTGGTGACAGAACGAGACTCCATCTCAAAAAAAAAAAACCAAAAAACTGCCCAAGACTGGGTAATTTATTATATAAAGAAAAGGTTTAATTGCCTCACAGTTCAGCATGGCTGGGGAGGCCTCAGGAAACTTACAATCATGGCAGAAGATGAAGGGAAAGCGAGGACCTTCTTCCTTCTTCACAAGGCAGCAGGAAGAAGTGCTGAGTGAAGGTGGGGAAAAGCCCTTCATAAAACCATCAGATCTTGTGAGAACTCACTATCACAAGAACAGCATGGGGGAAACTGCCCCCATGAGTCAGTTACCTCCACCTAGTCTCTCTTTTGACACGTGGGGATTACAGGGATTTGGGGGATTACAATTCAAAATGAGATTTTGGGTGGGAACACAAAACCTAACTATATCAACAGAAATGCAAAGAAATGGTTTTGGGGTTGGTAATGCTTCCTTTCAGATACAACTACCTTTTCCGGTAGGCTACAAAAAATATATTTAAAAAGCCGTGTCCTGCCTAGAAAATATCCCTTACTTCTCTTTGAGGAGACATTGACAAGCAGGCTGGATGGAACACTTTTATTTTCATGCCTGGCTGTCCTTAGCTCCATCACTGGTTAACAGGAGGTGTCTCAATGCCATTACAGGCAGACTGAAAACTGCCGCAAAAGAGCAATGAGAAGCAGGGTTCTCTGGAGTCCAGCTCTGAGAGAAGCCTTGAGGGAAAAGGAAAATGGCTGAGTCTGTAGAACTCCTGGCTTCTCTTCTGCTGCTGCAGTTGTCCAAAAGAGCCACCCATCAGCCACACATGCAAGGGGTGGGGGGATTCCTGGAATTTCTCTGCCACCTTACTGCACTCTTCACCCTCAGTGTCACTTTTGCCTCTTGGGGATGCAGTGGTTGGTATCCACAAAGAAGCAAGTGGAGTCAGCTTCTCAAATGTCTAATCAGCGCTATTGTAGTTTGGGTTTCCTGGGAAACAGACTCTGAGATGGAGGCTTGAGTGCAGGGGGGTTGTTGGGGAGTACGCTCAGGAACAACACTGTAAGGGAGTGACGGAAGCAGGGTGGATGAAAGGAGAACTCGAACCGCAATGCAGTCACAGCGAGGCCTCAGTTCTGAAGCTGGGGTGGCCCTCAGATGTGTCTCAAATTGAAGCAAAGGGTACAGGCCTTTGGGCCTCCACTTCGACTAGACCCTGGCTTACCTAGCAACGGGCATAGCCTTGGCTGAGGTAGCTCCCTTCAGCCAAGGACAATTTGTGGGGAAGCCTCGACCGAGAACAAAGCCATCAGCAAGCACCACTCCTGTACGTATCAACTGGAGGAACGAGTGCCTCGGTCCTGGAGCGGGATTCTTGTGTCCGCTGCCATCCACCCCTGGTGTCGCTTAGCATACCTCCCTAGCTAGAGAGTAAGTCCCTTGATCCTTGTGATAGTTTGCAGGAGTCTATGTTAGTGGATGGAACATTCTGGAAGCCCTTGGATAGTGGTGCTGGCTGAGGCAGGAAAGATGAATCAAGGCATGTCACATGTATTCTTTCCAGTCAAGAGGAATCAGTGACCCTCATGGGGTGGGAGGAGTCCAATGTTTTCAGCTTGCCAGCAGTTGGTTGGTTGGTCTTCATGAGGGATGGTGCTTTATAGGGGACTCACTGTTGGTTTCTGTTGCCAGGACTTTGGTCATTCTGCAGTGGCAGGTCTAGTGAGTGGGAGCACAGATTATCTATTGTATTACTTATAAATAATCAGCTTTTGGATTTATTTAATTGTACTGTTTTCAGTTCATTTTTTTTATTTTTATTCATTTCTTCTTGCTTCCTCTAGTTTTTGTTTTGTTTTGCCTTGTTTTTTGTTTGTTTGTTTTGTTTTTTTGTGGCAGAGTCTTTCTTTGTTGCCCAGGCTGGAGTGCAGTGGTGCAATTTCAGCTCACTGCAACTTCTGCTTCCCGGATTGAAGTGATTCTCCTGCCTCAGCCTCCCGAGTAGCTGGGATTACAGGCACGCACCACCATGCCCAGCTAATTTTTGTATTTTTAGTAGAGACAGGGTTCCTATGTTGGCCAGACTGGTCTTGAACTCCTGACCGCAAGTGATCCGCCCATCTTGGCCTTCCAAAGTGCTGGGTTTACAGGTGTGAGCCACCGCTCCTGGCCTAGTTTTTGTTTTGTTTTGTTTTTTTGTTTTTCTTTTTCTGACCTCCGCTGCCTACCCTTATTTTTTCCTCAGCTTATCTCTTGAATGGCTTGTCACAGAAAGATCTTGGGTCAGGAGTCAGCCAGAATACTGCAGAGTCCACTGTCCCAAAGGTTCTGAAGTCCTTCCCTCCTCCCCACCCCTCTGAGGTGGGTACTCTCACAGGTGGCCTGTCTTCATCTTGCTGTAATTTAGGGAGACCAAACACTTTGTTAGGAAGGCATCCAGGTTCCTTGCTAGGGTAAGAAGCCTGTTGTACTTTTTGTGATTTTTTTTTTCTGGAACCTAAGGAGGAATTTTTCCTTTGCATCTTTGATCCTGCCCTTGGCTTGGAAGGAAAGTAATGGAAACCAAAATGTTGGACCTTGGGCTCCAAAGTGAAGCCCTTCCTGTGAACACCACCAAATTGACAGGGGCAGCTCCAGGGTGCCCTAAACACACTTTAAGTTTCTGCAGCTCAGCTGGGGAGGGCTTTCCTTTACCCTACTTAAGCGTCAGTTCCCTGCTCTGTAAAATGCCCTTGCTGGTTACTGTGTGGATTAAATGAAATGCCTAGCACAGAGCTTGGCACTCAGTCCTTGCTCAATAAATGTTCATTGTTACTGGTAGTACAGATAGGGTATTCCTTATTTGAAATGCTTGGGGCCAGAAGTGTTTCAGATTTTGAATATTTTTGGATTTTAGAATATTTCATATACATAATGAGATATCTTGGGGATGAGATCCAAGTCTAAATAGGAAATTTATTTATGTTTCTTATACACCTTTATACACATAGCCTGGGGGTAATTTCAGTTTTCCCTTGGAGATGCTGAATAAAATCCATGTTGTGCGCCTGCATTTTGACTGCGACCTGTCATATGAGATCAGGTATGGAGTTATCCACCTGTGGTGTCATGTCAGCACTCAAAATATTTTGGGTTTTGGAATGTTTTGGATTTGGTGATTAGGGATGCTCAACCTGTGATGATCTCTGCACTCCTTTCAAGCCTTCCTGAGGGCAGGCAGCTGTCTTAGTCACCTCATTATCCCCCTGAACTTTGAATATGCTCAGTGAATGCTTTGGAGGCTAACAGAAGAGTCTCCATCTGGAAAATGTGGGATCCCTGTAAAACTGCCCAGGCCTGATTTTTTTTTTTTTTTTTCAGTAAGCCTCTTGCATTCCTACTGCTTTTTCTACTGCAGCCCATGTCTGGCTGTAGGTATCAGGTCTCTTACCCAAGTACAGCCCCTACACAGCAGTACTTCATAATGATGCTGTTGGTTGGGATTACCATCACAGTCTCATTTGGCTTGGCCAGCCCAGGTAGGTTTGTTTATGATGCGAAAATTCACGCAGTGCAGATTTATTCAATATTGCTCAACCTTGGAAGCAACCCAGGTGTCCTTCAATAGGTGAACAGATAAATAAACTGGGGTTGATCCAGATGAAGAAATATTATTCAGTGCTAAAAAGAAATGAGCTATCAAGCCATGAAAAGACATGGAGGAACCTTAAATGCATATTACTAAGTGAAAGAAGCCAATCTGAAAAGTCTACATACTGTATGATTCCAACTGTTTGACGTTCCATAGAAGCTAAAAGTATGGGGACAGTAAACAGAGCAGTGGTTGCCAAAGGTTGGGGGCAGAGCGAGATGCACAGAACATGAGGATTTTTAGGGCAGTGAAAATATTCTGTATGATACTACAATTACGGATATATGTCATTATACATTTATCAAAAACCATGGAAAGTACAACACCAAGAGTGAACCCTGATGTAAACTATAGACTTTGGCTAATAATGATGTGTTCGGGCAGGTTTATTAATTGTAACAAAAGTACCAGTCTGGTGTAATCTGGTGTGGGGTGTTGATAGTGGGGGAGGTTGTACATGTAGGGAAAGGGAAAGGGGGTAAATGGGAATTTTCTGTACTTTCCTCTTAATTTTGCTTGTAACCTAAAACTATTCTGGCAAAAAAAAAAAAAAAAAAGAGAAGAAAAAATCTATTAAAAAGAAAAAAGCCTGCCAGATGAATGAGTGTGGAATTATGTGACGGGGATTCTATGTGGTCTCTGTGATAGGCCATGCATCGTGGGAATTTGCAGGGAACATGAAAGCCTTTATGACTGGCTATCTTCCCTCATCTTTCCTTGGAAAGGACCAATTCAGGAACAATAAAAATAGTTATAGCCACATCTCTTTTTAATCATTCACAATGAAAATAGCTCTTTTTGACTCTGATAAGAAGCATTTTCTTACACCCAAGATTACCTATTTTATTGAAAAAAATGTCAAAAAGAAAATTAGTGCTAGCCTGCCACAGTGGCTTATGCCTGTAATCCCAGCACTTTGGGAGGCTGAGGCAGGAGGACTGCTTGAGCCCAGGAGTTTGAGGCTGCAGTGAGCTGTGATTGCACCACTGCACTTCAGCCTGGGTGTCAGAGCAAAACCCTGTCTGAAAGAAAGAGACTGAGAGAGAAAGACAGAGAGAGAGGGAGGGAGGGAGAGAGAGAGAGAGAGACAGAGAGATGGAGATGGAGAGATAGAAGAAAGGAGAGAAAGATAAGAAAGAAAATTGAAGCTGATTTTACTTTTTAATTTTTATTATCTGGTCATGTTTAGAAAGTAGCAACATGGAGGCGGGTATCTAATTTTTTATTATGAAATCAGATAACTGGCTCTTGAAGCTCGGAGGATTATGGTTGGCTCTATCAGTTCTTGATTGTGCTGGTTGCTGGTGCGTGTTCCTGGATCTTACGGAAGCCAAAGCACACATAGGGAGCAATCAAAGGGCTGCGAGGAGCCATTGGGAAGCAATGTGCTTCAAATGGTATTTTGTGAAGATTAATATGTCAGCTGTGATGACAGTAGATTCAGCCAGGGGAGAAATGGAGGCAGGGAGACCCATTGCATGATGTTATTGCAACAGATGTGAGGTGAAAAAGATACAAATTTTGGTGAGAACCAAAGGACTGTAAGAAGGGATTGTGAGCTGTGAGGATAAATGAAAAGTCAAAACATTCATGGGGAGGAGGTGTTGGTCACTGGATGTAGATGTAAGGCCTTCTCCATTGCGGGGTGTGGCATAATACCTAAAATGAAGCCTCCACTGTTACGTGCTGCCTTGACAGCTGGTAAAATTGGGAGAGCTGCAAGTGGCCTAATTCCAACTTCCCATCCTCATTCAACTCCCATGGATAAGGTCCGCCAACCAAACTCCCAGCCTTATCAAAGGCCCCAGACACAGTTCCTGCTGGTCCTGAGCACCAGGTCTCAGTTCCCTGCCAGCCCATGGAATATGTCAAACATGACAATCACATCTTTGTGTGGGAGCCAGGGGTCACCTCACTGTCTTGACACTGCACAGCCTCTGGTGGTTCACTCTGTTCCCAAATGCAAATTCTGTGTAGCCCTGCATGGCGTGCAGTGTCTCCTCCCCCAAGCTGTGAGTACCTGTGACTAGTGTATACATATATGTCCACTGCCAGGTCCCTTTCTTTGGCCATCCCCATAACCATAGGGCAGGAATCCCCTCAGCCCCCTCACCGACAGGGTGGATGACAATTGATTAAAACAGGATGTAGCATAGTTAGGGTGAGGCTGAAGGTAGTTCCACACATAGAGGCAAAGAATTTCAAAGCCAGAGAGCTGATCTCACCCTGTAGATAAGAAAACAGACCTAAAGGGCAGGGTTTCTGATTGTCTATGCCTCTTCCACATCTCAAGAAGGAGATTTGAAAGCTAAGGGCAGGAGAGACGTATATATAAAGGTAAATGCCACTGAATAATGACATGAAAATTATAGATGTTCTAGATGATGTTATCTTCCTCCAGAGTTGACTGACTTTTGCTTCTATAGGGCAACTAGAATAGGGCTGTTTGCCTTAATCCAACCTTGAATTGATCTGATCTGAGGTTAGGTTTCACTCTTCCTGAGACAGAGCTATTTCTGGTTCTTTCTTGTTCCTATGGTGTGGCCCTTCGGGGATCCCAACTGAGAACCTGAGGTATTTACCCATGCCGCTTCTACTTGACTCCAACTTTTATTTCTTCAACCCTGTGAAACTACTGGAAATTCCATTCAGTCTCTCTGTCCCTTAGCCATCTCTTTCTGATTGTATTCTCCGCCTCTCAGCCCCATCTCTCCTATGAATCAAATGCCTAGGTGGGATGGGGGGTAAGGGAAGTGGCTCCACTTGGGTCTGCCTCAATGTATTTCCTTTCTTTCCTGGACCTTGCCCCTAATTTATGCCTGCCTTGGTCACTCTATCTGTTTGATGACTTCAAACAGATGATCTTTTTACAAAAATTTAGCCATTCTAGTTGTTTTCAATGGAGAGTTGCTCTAATACAAGTTAAACTTTTGGAGCCAGAGTAGAAATCTAGCTCATGCAGCATTTCTTGAATATTTACTGTCTGCTCAGCATTGTGGAGCTTCAGTGCATATAAAAGAGATAAAAGACTCACTCCTGATCTGCATTCATTTGGGGAGATAAGACAATATCCAGAATAATTATAGCATACTACAAAGAGTACATGATTAGGTGAGAAATGAAACACTAGAGTGAGCCGTAGTAAGCAAAGAAAGTTTCTTTGTTCCTCAACTCCTAATCCAAAACAATAGTAAAATCTCGCTGTCAATTTCTGAAGGTGTGTATGCAGGTGGATGTGCTCCTGTGCACGGAAATGCACATTTGGAAGGAGTGACTGGGTCTGGACTGGAGAGCGTGGGGCAAGAATAGCCTCAAGTGAAGACCATGCATGTTGTCCCAGCCTTGCTTTGGCCAATCTGATGCATCTGAGTAAGAACTGCCTTGCAGTGAAGTTCTAGGTGTAGACAGGTGCTCCCACATTAAGCAGCTAGTTTCCTTGTCTTGCTTTGGTTGTCTCTCATTTGCCTGTTCATTCCTTTCTTGCCTTAGAATCAGGACTATAGTGAGATATTTCTATAGAAAAAGGCAAGAGAATTTGCCTCCAAATAACCTGTAGAGTCAAAAAGTTGTAATTCAGCATATATTCAGTGACTTTATAGTCACTTTTGAAGTAGGAATCATTTTCCCTATTTGACAGATTTAAAAAGCAGACATTGAGGTTCAGAGCAGTTAAGTCATGTAGTTAGTAAGAACCTTTTTTTTTTTTTTTCTTTTTGAGACTGGGTCTTGCTACATTACCCAGGCTGGACTTGAACTCCTGGGCTCCAGCGATCCATCTCCTTCAGCTTCTTGAGACCCTCCCACTCCCGGCTGGGGCTATTGTGTGGACCACCAGCCTGGCTGTAAGAGGTGTTTTTACTCCAAAACGGATGCCCTTTCCACCACACCCATTGGGTTATGCTCCTTGCCAGACACTTCTCAAACAAAATGTGCTTCCTCACTTTGATACCTTCTTGGTGTCCCCGGTTCCCCTGGGAAATAACCGCTTTGGAAAGTCTAATACCCAGATGTATTGGGAAATGATTTGGAGTAAGCTTTTCCCAATCTCTGGGAAAACTCAGCTTACAAAAGTTTCCCAGAGGCAAAATTCCCTTTTATTTTTGTTGATGTCAGAGCATTACAAGGACACAGTGATTGTAACTAGTTCGTTTGCTTTAGTTGTGAGCAGATGAACCAAAAATATCAAAGGAGCCAGCTAAAGCAGCACTCAGCTTTGCAGCTCTATTCCTCTGTCTGAGACGGGTAAAGGGTGTGCTCTCTGTAGCGAGAGAGCCAACAAGAAACATCATGGGCAGGTCGGAAAAATGAACCTGAGGCTTCAAGTTTTCTGAGTTTTCTGGAAGGCTATGTTGACTCTTCCATTTATTTTCTGCCTCATTTGAACTCATTTCCCACCCCCCAGGTGTGGCATTTTCAGCTCATCCTACTGACCTCTTTACTCACAGATGAGCTTATTGCTCATCTGTGGGTCAGTGATTGTCTCCTCAGTGGGGGCTGCTGAGAGGGACAAAGAGTTCACAGCAGGAAGACTGGCATCTTGGCTGTTTGAGAAAGAGTCCTAGATAGGTTGCTTCTTTGGCTTTCTGGAAAGCAGCAGGTAGTGACTTAAGCCAGAGTGACTTCTGAGAAGGGTCAGAAGAAAATGTCAAAGGGGGTGACAGCTTGGGAGAAGAGGTGGGGAGTGGGCAGTGGGGAGGGATGAGGAGAAACAGGAACAAAGATATGGAGAGTATGAGTGAGTTTTTGTTCTCCCATAGAGATGATGGGCAGGTTCTTTGAAACCAAGTCACTGCTTTCTCTCTAGCAATAGCTATTTCCTTTGAAGAATGATGATACCAAGTGAGACCAATGTCAAGTGGTCAAAAGACAGAATGAAACTGGGAGGAATGGCCCATTGTCTAAACAAGCCAGCTGTTGAGGAAGCAAAACATTTCTCAGTCCAGTCATATACATACAGCACAGAAAAAGGCATCCCTGTTACAGATAGAATTATGTCTCCCCAAAGCCGAAGTCCTAACCCTCAGTATCTCAGAATATAATCTTATTTGGTGATAGGGTCTTTACAGAGGTAATCAGGTTAAAATGAGGTCATTAGGGTGGGCTCTAATACAATATGACTAGTAGCTTTAGGAAATGAGGACATTTGTCCACAGACAAACCCACAGGGAGAACGCCAAGTGAAGATAAAGGTAGAGATCAGGGTGATGCTTCTTCAAGCCAAAGAACACAAAAGACCACTCATCCTCCAGAAACCAGGGGAGAGGCACGGAGCAGATTTTTCCACACAGCCCTTACAAGGAACCAACCCTGCCAACACCTTGATCTTGGGTTTGTAGCCTCCAGAACTGTGAAACAATACATTTCTGGTTGTTTAAGCCAACCAGTGTGTAGTACATTGTCACGCAGCTCTCGCTAACTATTATATCACCTTTGGTATCCAACACTAATTCTCAGACATACTTCCCTACATGATTGTAACTGTTTCCTTTCAGTAAAGAAACTGAGAAATTGAAGAATGTGAAAGAAAAAAAATACATCAAATTATGAACAATGCAGTCAATCTTTCATAAACAAAACCCCAGGAAAATTTTGCGTCAGGAAAATGAAGGCAATATGGTTAGCACTTCATCTAATTTTCTGCCTAATAATTATTCCCTGTCAGTTAAATATCAATACAGGGAAAGAGTTGGCTTGACAAATGAGTGGTTAAAAGCTTTAGAGATGCTGGAACAATAAGAGAAAGGCTATTGCAAAATTACAAGAGGAAGGAGTAAAGAAATAGGATGGAAAATAAGTTGATAAAGAGGCAATTCGGCAGCAGGTGAAATGGGGCGAATTATGATAACAAATGTAACAGAAAGAATGAGATGCTTGAATCTATGTATTTTATATGTCGTATAATATAGATACATGTTTATTTTTTACCTTCTCATTCTAGAAATCAGGTGTATTTTTTAAAGTGATAGGCCAGGCTTGGTGGCTCACGCCTGTAATCCTAGCACGTTGGGAGGCTGAGGCAGGTGGATCACCTGAGGTCAGGAGTTTGAGACCAGCCTGGCCAACATAGTGAAACTCCATCTCTACTAAAAATACAAAGATTAGCCAGGCATGGTGACAACACCTGTATTTCCAGCTACTCAGGAGGCTGAGGCAGGGGAATCGCTTGAATCCGGAAGACGGAGGTTGCAGTGAGCCGAGATCGTGCCACTGCACTCCAGCCTGGGTGACAGAGCGAGACTCCATCTCAAAAAATAAATAAATAAATAAAATGAAATAAAATCTGATCAAGATCACAAAGTGAAGGTGTGAGTAAGCGCATCCATGAGAGAGAGACCAAGTGAGGAGGAGGGTAATTTGTAAAATCTTCTTCCTGCAAAGATGCCATTGTACAGAAGTGAACCCTCTCCCTGCCAATGTCCCAATTTCCAAATGATATTATGGAATTGATCTGCCTGCAGCTCAGGCCCCCAGAATTCCGAAGAACTTCCTGCTGCCCTTGTGTGCCTCGTCAGGGCACACAAGGCTCTTTGCATGTCCAAGTAAGAAATTGTGGGTGCTTCCACTTGAGCCAGGAGCTACTCAGGTGACACTCTTGGACACTCTAATTACATTTGCAATGGCTAGTGCTGCAGCAGGTGGTATCTTCCTGGAATAATCTGCATGGAGCCTTACACATCAGCTACATAGATTGATGTCGAATAGTGAAGACTTCTTTATCATGCAAGTATTGGAGGATGAGACTAGTATCTACCAATACAGGTGGACCATGCCAGAACATAGCATAGTATAAAAATAGCTTATACTATTTATTAGTATAAACTTCACAAAATAAGCTGGTCTCCAATATATCCAAATATGTGTACTAAAAGGTCTATTGTAGTGGGAAGCTACCATAATAAGAACACAATGTAATACATCTTGTATAGGATGTACCAAGGCAGCAGGATATGCTACATAGATTCTGGTCTCCCAAATTGTTCAAAGGAATTCTTTCATAGAAGGTGACATTTAAATACAACTTAGACTTACAAACACACCCACACATGCGTAATATGCCTTGATCATAGGAATTTTGTTCAATATCTGACAGCCCAGTCCCACCATAGTCAGTCGCAGCAAAGAGGGCAGAATTTTTCAAAGGTGAAATGGTTGACTCTAAGAAAATAAAGGAGAGTTACTCTCACAGAATTCAGTCCCTGGCTACCCAAGCCTATGGAACTCTTTCTTCTCCCGTGGTGTTAATGTCATGTCTGATTCTCCCACGGAAGGCACTCCTTGCGTAATCACACCTTGACCCTGGCAATGACGAGCCCCGGATGAAGCAGGGGAGGGTCCAAGGACCTCCACAGCTGCCGCAGAGATAGGTTCAGGGGCCTCTGATCAGTCTGTGGCAAAGGACTCATGCTTGTCATTTGCTGCTGAGGAGATGGGTAGTGAATGACTGATTGTAATCCATGGAGCTAGGAACAGTGGAGCTAGTTCACTATGCCTTCTTTGACTCAGGAAGGCTAATTTCTATGCCTTCTTTGACTCAAGGCAATAATGTGGTACTATGGTACTGCATCATTATTCCTTCATTAATTGAAGCCTATTTATTTATTTATTTATTTATTTATTTATTTATTTATGAGATGGAGTTTTGCTCTTGTCAACCAGGCTGGAGTGCAATGGCGCAATCTCGTCTCACTGCAACTTCTACCTCCCGGGTTCAAGCGATTCTCCTGCCTCAGCCTCCCAAGTAGCTGGGGTTACAGGTGCATGCCACCAAGCCCAGTTAATTTTTGTATTTTTGGTAGAGATGGGGTTTCACCATGTTGGCCAGGCTGGTCTCAAACTCCTGGCCTCAAGCAATTCTCCTGTGTCAGACTCCTAAAGTGCTGGAATGATAGACATGAGCTATAATAGCTGGCCTATTTTTTTCTACTTAATAGACATGTATTAAGCACGTGTGATGGGCTAGGCAGTATGGGTATGATGTTGAGAAGCCTCCCAATAGTCATCATTAAGATCTTCAACACACACTGAAGAAAGGTACTGGAAATATAAGACCTGGCCCATGTTCTCAATAAACACAAGAAAAAATATTCTTTCTATTACACTGAAATCTCAATAAACTTATCACTCTGATTTACATATGCATGATTTTAATACGATATGATAAAAACATGTATTTCAAAGTAGTGGTTCTCAACCTTGGCCCACAGGCTGATCACATAGAGAACTTTTTAAAAACCCTGATGTCCACTGCCCCACTTCAACCAATTGAATCAAAATCTCTGGGAATGGGGTCCAGGCATTAGTATAAATTTTTTAAGATTCCAAGTGATTCTACTATACTGCCAGGGCTAAGAACGACTACATCAGAATTTCTGTTTTAGATATTTAGAGCCAGAAACAGTACCAAGCACATAGTGGGCTCATCTGTAATGTATTTTAATCTACTACTTTACCCAACTCTTAGCAGGCACTCAGCAGAATGCCTGGCACAGAGTAGGGGCACAGTAACTGCCCACTTCTTTCTATTCTTCCTCCTTGTTACACAGTACCTGGAGAAAACTGAAGCACATGAATATTTAGGCTTTGAAATGCGCTTGTCAAATGTACATGTTGAGGAACGCTTCCTCTCAAATAAATGATGTTACTCTTATTTGTATAGACTCATCAAAGTCCTTGATTATATATAATTACATGAGATAATGTTCTAACAATAACCTTTTATCACCCCCAACAGCAAATGTTGAGAAGCTAGTTGGGAAAATTTTTGAATATGCTGAAGAAATATGACACAGAAATGAAATGGTATCAACATTGGAGCCTAGAATGTTTTGAGTTCAGAATAGAAACCTGGAAACAAGGAATGAATAAGCTAAAAATAAAAGAATTTTCTCTTTTATCTAAATATTAGAGTATGGCTCATGCAAAAGGATAGAATCTCCATGGTTAGGAGCAGCCCCCTGGCTTTTTGTTTGTTTGTTTTCTGATTGGCAAATTTCATTTGGCCATCCTAATAACCAATTTCTGCTTAGTCATTGGAAATGTTAAAAAATGGTTTTGATTTTATTGTGTTGTTAGGATGGCAGAAAATGATATCAAATAGCCTTTAGCAAAATTCCAGAGATTCCACAGGGGCTGAGAGGGAAAGGAGGATTTCTGGGCTATTGCCCATAAGGGGAAGTGATTTCACTCATTCATTTATTTAACAAATAGGTGTTGAATGTTGACTAAATGAAGAAATTAAGGAAGGAACAGGAGTTCTGAGATCAATAAGAGAGCCCTCTGGGCAATGCTTTCTAGAGAAATGTTTCCTCATAAAAACACCCATGTCTTCTCCCTGTAGAGGTAGACATTTCCTTTTTTATGTGAATAAATTAACCCATACATCTTTTACTTCATTTGGATGTTTGCACTTCAGGTGTTCATTTGGAAGCTTGCAGTTTGACAACATGTGACAGGTGTGTTTCAGGCCAGTGAGTGCAGGGGTGTGAGGTGGTGAGATCTGGTGGGAAGAGGAGGAAAATGAGGGCTATTTTTATGTTAACCTCAGTGCCTCAGAAGGACCACAAGTTATGGTTTGGGGTTTTGATTTTAGTTTAAATTGGTGTTTATTTTTTCCCCTAAATGAAATAAACTTTCACTTCCTAAGTTTTCTGTGTAATGTGGTGTTCCTCAAAGACGGTGGAGAAGAAACACTCGAAAATCTCAAGTTTTTAATCCATCAGGATCCGCTGGTCTCCTTGCTTCCCTGCCCTGGGATATGTCTAGGAAGGACTATTTTTAGATAAGCCACGGTTAAGGTAGGCTTAGATGGCTAGAGCAGTGCTTCTCAAACTTTATTATTCATACAAATCACTTGGGGCCAGGAAAAATGGCCAGTTGGGCCAGATTCCAATTCAGCAGGTCTGCCATTAGGACCCGAGAGCCTACATTTCTAACAAGCTCCAGGCCATGCTCATGTCCACCAACCATACTTTGAGTAGAAAGGGCTTAGAGGACCTCTGGCTGGTTGTAATAAAGGAAAGAGCTCGAGTAGTTTCTAAAATCTTTTCTTTCCCAGATTAATCAGAACAAACCTGTTTTCCTTATTTCCTAAACAAAATTCCAAAAAAAACTTTTTTGAAGCAAAGATCATATGTGTTTTCAAGTATCAAGAGATCTGAAGCTTTTTGCCAACATAAAGCTAATTAAACTTCAAGCTCCAGTACTTTCAACACAATTATCCTTACTTTGCCATGTAAATAGTTAATAGGATTTATTTTTGTGCTTAAAGAATATGTATTGTTGTATGTACTTATATTTGTCCGTGTCAGTCTTGACCCTTAGAATTTTGGGGCACAGATGGTGTATATCTGACTTATAACCACAGAAACACCAAACACAGGAGCTAAGAATATTACTAGGGGCCAGCTAGTTCCATGTCATCCCAACATGGCATGGCTCCCACTGTGGGTAAGAGAGATGATTTTAGGTGTAACATGAAAAAACATTTAGGCCGGGTGTGGTGGCTCACACCTGTAATCCCAGCACTTTGGGAGGCTGAGGCGGGTGGATCATGAGGTCAGGAGATCGAGACCATCCTGGCTAACATGGTGAAACCCCGTCTCTTCTAAAAATACAAAAAATTAGCCGGGCGTTGTGGCAGGCGCCTCTAGTCCCAGCTACTGGGGAGGCTGAGGCAGGAGAATGGCTCGAACCCAGGAAGCGGAGTTTGCAGTGAGCCGAGATTGCACCACTGCACTCCAGCCTGGGTGACAGAGCAAGACTCCGTCTCAAAAAAAAAAATTAAAAAAAAAAAAAGAAAAAACATTCTGTAAGTTTTTATAGTTATGTATTTATCTTAATACATAAAGTATATTTTATATATTAGGGAAAGTTACAACTAGATTTTTAGGGAAAGCTAGCACATCTTGCCCAGGATTTCATGGATATGATTATGAGAAAAATGCCACATTAACTTACCTTTTAAAAGGGGGTTGCTGTAAAGAACAAATACGGTATGAATGTCATTATTGTAGAACATACAGATAGTAAAGATGGTGAGAGTTATTTGCGAATAACTGAGGTTTTGGAAATAGTATTTAATCCAACACTAAAACTCACAACTGAGGAAACAAGCTCAGAAGAATCACCATGTTTCAGAGAATTTAAGATGCCATGGATCATAGGATGTGTCTTAATTTCTGAGATGCTAAAATGTGAGGAAATTTCAAGAATAAATGAAATATGAAAGTAGGTTACTCAAAATCAGACATCTAGGATTAAGAGTATTTATTTATTTTTATTTATTATTAGTTTTTGAGCCAGGGTCTCACTCTGTCACCCAGGCTGGACTGCAGTGGCACACTGCAGCCTCCACCTCCCAGGTTCAAGCAATCCTCCGTCTTAGCCCCCCAAGTAGCTGGGACTACAGATGCGCGCCACCACACCTGGCTAATTTTTGCCCAGGCTGGTCTCAAACTCCTGGACTCAAGCAATCTACCCACCTTGGTCTCTCAAAGTGCTGTGATTATAGGCATGAGCCACCACACCTGGCTGGATTAAGAATATTTAAAGGGTAATTTCTTCTCTAAGAACCTTTCTACTTTAATAGGTGATAAGTGTTCACCCAAAGGAATAACATTCTCAGGATGGAATTTCAGGCATTGCCTGTGGTGAAATAGTTTTGGGCAACAGCCCTTCCAAGGTCCCCTGAAGTCATCCTTGTAGAAGCTGCCTGTTCTCCTGTCAATGTCCTCCAGTCAAATATCACCAGGAACGCAGCTGTAAATGAACAAGTTGGGTTTACTACTCATTGCAGTGAGGGAGAACTGTGAAGCATCTCAGCTAGAAGTGTTTGAAAGGACATATGGTAGGATTTGGGCTTGAATTATGTGATTTTGAAAAAGGTTTGAGGAAGCTGGGCCTTGGTCTGGAATAGATGCTGTCGGGGAGCCAAGGCAATTCTATGATTTGGCGTCCTAATAAAACTTTGCTAGAGGGTGAGAGAAATGAAGGAAAGCTAAAGCTGGGATTAGTAAGGAAACAGCATTCACTCGTATTAGCCAGGGCAAAGGGATGTTTGGTTATTTTGGTGGTTTGGACAATGTTCATGTTTTTGTCCATATTCAGACATAAGAGAGTGGTCTCGTCTTTGTGTTGAGCCATCAGGATCACAGAGTGGCCTTATCTGATGTTAATGTTTATGAAATTGTTTATGTTCAACAGAATGAGACTTGGCTGTGAGTGCCATGTCAACCCCTGGATGTCAGGGCTGCTCTTCCTTCTCACACCCAGGCAGCTCTCTCCTAAACTGTCTTGCTCCATTTAGCAGAAGGGTGGTTACCAGAGGCTTGGAAGGGTAGTGGGGGCTTGAGGTGGGGAGGTGGAGATGGTTAATGGGTACAAAAAAAAAGAAAGAATGAATAACACCTAACATTTGATAACTTAATTGTACATTTTTAAATAACTAAACAAATGTAATTTGTTTGTAACACAAAGGATAAATGCTTGAGGGGATGGATACCTCATTCTCCATGATGTGCTTATTTCACATTGCATGCCTGTATCAGAACGTCTCATGTACCCCATAAATATTTACAGCTACTATGTACCCACAAAAATTAAAAATTTAAACATTTTTAAAAATTAAAATGAAAACAAAATGTCAGATGCAAATTGTCAGCAAGTTAAGAATTTTGTATAATGCTAATAAATGGAAGACCCAGACTTGGACTTTAGGATGGCAAATGCCTTTGTTTAACTCTGAAAGTAATGGCCCTGCTATTTTATCCTTCTAGAGAATGTGATCTTCAGCCATCCATGACAATCAATACTCTACTTCAGTAAAGGCAATAATCTGTGTGCTCATCAGTTCATCCTTCACCAGCCGTCTCACACATACCCTCTCTTTTTACATGACAAAGAGTAATTGCCCTACTGAGACTTCCCTGGGATTTCTTTGCTTGGTCAATAGCATTTACCGGTGGTGGCAGAGCAAGAAAAGTATCTTAGAAACAGAACTCTCTCAAGGCCTGTGATGCTAACGGCCACCACCTCCCAAGGCTAGAGGCATTATTAACTAGAGGTAAGCAGGAGGAAATGAAGGTAGATTAGTAGTTGCCAGGAGCTGGGGATAGGGAGTTTCCTTAGGGGTGATGAAAGCATTCTAGAATTAGATAGTGGTGATGGTTGCACAACCTTTTGAATGTACTAAAAATCACTGAATTGTACACTCAAATGGATACATTTTATTGAATTATATATCAATTAAAAAATTTTTTTAAAGAACTGAATAACAAGAGAGGTCAAATAACACTTCAGAAAGACTTATCTTATTGGTCATCGTTGGATTTCTTTTTTTTTTCAGCTTTTAAGTTTAGGGGTCACATGCACGATGTGCAGGTTTGTTAATAGGTAAACGTGTGCCATGGTGATTTGCTGCACAGATCATCCCATCACCTAGGTATTAAGCCCAGCATCCATTAACTATTTTTCCTGATGCTTTCCTTCCTCTGACCCTCAACCCCCAGTCAGCTCTACTGTGTGTTTTTCCCCTCTATGTGTCCATGTGTTCTCATCATTCAGCTCCTACTTCTAAGTGACAACATGCGGTATTTGGTTTTCTGTTGCTTCATTAGTTTGCTGAGGATAGTGACTTCCAACTCCATCCATGTCCCTGCAAAGGACATAATCTTGTTCTTTTTTATAGCTGTATAGTGTTCCGTGGTGTATATGTACCGAATTTTTTTTTTATCCAGTCTATCATTGATGGGCATTTAGGTTGATTCCATGTCTTTGCTAGGATTTCATTTTTATTTTTGTCCCCTAAATTGTGGAGTTTTCTAGTTCATCAGTAATGTGGCATTTGATGTGATGGATTCATTTAGTAACAGGGTTGCTAGTAGTAATCAAAGCTTTCTTCTCTGGCTAAAGGTAACCAGTAGAATTGGTCATTGTGATTGTGGTTAATTCAGTCTGCTCAGCACAGCACTATCAGAAGTGGAAGCTTCCTCTTTGGAATAATGTAGAGTGAACCAGGGTAGGATATTATATTCTGTTCTTGTAATAGGAAGCTTCATTTTTAAGAAGTCAGTTGTGTTTTCAGAGAGAATCCATACTTGTCTTTTAAAATATTTTGTCATCAGTTCTAGCAAAAGTCTAAATCAGTAGTTTCTAAAGGATTTCTTCAAAGGCTAAAACTCAGTTGAGAGTAATATATTAAGCCATTCTTGCATGCTATAAAGAAATACCTGAGACTGGGTGATTTATAAAGAAAAGAGGTTTAAGTGGCTCACAGTTCTGCAGGCTGCACAAGCGTGGCACCAGCATTGCTCACCTTTTGGAAGACCTCAGGGAGCTTTTACTCATAGCAGAAGGCAAAACAGGAGCAGGCATATCACACTCATAAACAACCAGATCTCATGTGAATTCAGAGCAAGAGCTCATTTATCGCCACGGAGCTAGCCCATGATCCAAACATCTCCTATTAGGCCTCACCTCCAACAGTGGGATTACATTTCAACATGAGATTTGGACAGGGACAAATATTCAAACCATACAAAGAATTAGGAAAGTAATAGAAAGTATGTCATCCTGCACAGATTTATAATACACACAAGGATGCTCCCAGCTCATTCATTCATCTGTGTGCCATCATTCTGCCAGGCACTGAGGGATACAAGGGTGAATTGGACACATCACCTGCTGCCAGAGAACTTCAAGTGCAGTAGCACAACTGAGCGTGCTTTTTATGTCATCTGGGTATATGGCCGGGCTGCATTTTGTTAGTTTGTTTAAGGTATTGTCTTATACTGATTCTATAATAATGGAAATTAAGACCCTGGACTTGGAAATAAAAGAGAAAAGATATCTTTATTCATTATTTAGGAAAAAACTCCTCTCAAAGAGGAATCTGTTCTTTCTTTGGGACCTCTTTGAATCCGTGGGATGATACTGTGTCAGTTCTGAGGGAAGGGACAGCTGCCTGGGCCGCTCCGTCTGAGGCCCACTCTGCCATTTCCTCTGGGAAGTATGATATTAGGTAGTATTCTCATGCAGAAAAAGCTCTCAAGTATTGCAAGCTTCCAAACATTTTTTAATATGAGCACCCCATTTTTAAAATAAAATAACAAACTTCTACATGATAGTGGTTTAAGTAGCCATTGATTGAGAAAATACATCATAAGTAGGTCAAATGAATGTAGTAATACTTTGATACGATTGTATATTTCAACAATCACAACAGCATCTGTATACACTTGAAACATAGAATAGCATTTACTCAGTTTACACACAATTCTTCTCAACCATCAGATTTCCAAAAATGTAAGTTTCCAAAAATTTAAAGTTCTAACTCTGTGTTAATGAGAGTGTGGCAAACTTCTGTGCCCTGGGTGGGATAGATTGCTTTTTGGAAAGCAATCAGACAATATCTATCAAAAATTTAAATTTAAATGTGCATTCTCTTTGACTCAGCTATTTCACTTTCACTTAAAAAAAAAAGTCTGTGACATATTATTAAGAAAGAATTTAAGTTACAGAACAACACAAATAGGATAGTCCCATTAAGATAAAATATATTCATATGTTTAGTCTACAAGCCTACACAGACACAAGAGACATTTTTTAGCTAATTTACACTAGGATTTATCAGATTTGGGTAATGTATTGATCCCGTAAAGGGAAACAGTTCTTTGGATACTTACTATTGGCTTAAAATTTTCAATCCTAAATTTTACTTAACTAGGTATAAGTAGTAGAAACCAGTGTTCTCTTTATGTTTTAGCACTCATAGGAATGTAAATCCAAAGACAATTTACAAATTAAATGCCTTAGGAATCTGTGTCATAAAAACCCAGATTCACAGATGATGTGCTAAAAATGAGGTTTCTGATGAAGTTACAATTGTAGAAAGATGTACAAGTCTATCATAAATCTTTTTCCATTTGGCTATGTCAGTATTCTTTGTATTGTTATTATGCTAGAAAAAAATATGAAAAAACTTCAAGCCTATGTTTAAAATTCAAGATAATCAGACCACACTGAACCAAAACTGTAGACCAGTTTTAATGATATGACACCTGATATGACACCTGATAACTCCACATTGGTTTTGGCCCCTTAAAAGTAAGGTTAATGTTGGCCAGGCGCAGTGGCTCATGCCTGTAATCTCAGCACTTTGGTAGGCCGAAGTGGGTAGATCACCTGAGGTCAGGAGTTCGAGACCAGCCTGGCCAACATGGTGAACCCCGTCTCTACCAAAAATACCAAAATTAGCTGGGCTTGGTGGCGGGTGCCTGTAATCCCAGCTACTCGTGAGGCTGAGGCAGGAGCATCACTTGAACCTGGGAGGCAGAGTTTGCAGTGAGCTGAGATCACACCACTGCACTCCAGCTTAGGCAACAAAAGCAAAACTGTGTCTCAAAATAAATAAATAAATAAATAAATAAATAAATAAAATAAAAAGTAAGGTTAATGTGATTTTTTTAAGTATTAAATATTCTGGGGGAACAGAAAATAATATCTGAATCTGCTCTATTTTTTGTAGATGTTGAAAAAAATGCAAAGTTTCAACACAGAGTTAGCTCATAGTCAAAGTGTAGAAAGAAAATGCTAAAAGCTGGAAATGAGTCATTTATATCATTTAGAAAATAACCAAAATTCAAATATTATTCTTTCTATCTTTTCTATAATTGAAATGTTCAAGCTAGTATCAGCATGATGTCCTGTGACTTTCAGATAGGCCAAATGTATCATCTTCATATTAAATCTGCTTCTGGTCTTTTCTCATTACTCCTCATTAATTAAAGTAGTGCATTACTCATTTTAATTATGTTAATTTTCAGGATGTTAATTTGAATCCTCAACTTATTAAATAATTCTAAAAACTAAAGTCTTTGCATTTGAAAATGGCACTCAACTGTAAATTATCACAGCCAAAGGGAGGCTTTGTCTTGATAACGAGAAAAGAATTCAATGTAAGGGTGACAGTTATCATTTTGATGCTGAGACCTGCCAACCTTATGGCAGTCAGGCTTGCTTTCTGACTCATAAATGATTAAAAACCAGACAGAGAAGGATGGTCAGAGTGTTTATGGCATGAGTGGTAGCATTTCGAGTGACTTTTCCCTTTGCTTTATCCTTTCATGTAGTATCTGAAACTTTGTATATGATAGTGATTGTTTACACAAACTTAAAAGTAAATGATAAATCTAATTTCATTGTGGAAAAAATAAAAAGATAAAATGCTATCATTGTAAGTTTTCACTTGACTCCCAAAGATTTTAAACACAAATGAAACTGAGGGCGATTGGCTGGGTGCAGTGGCTCACGCCTGTAATCCCAGCACTTTGGGAGGCCGAGGAGGGCGGATCATGAGGTCAGGAGATCGAGACCATCCTAGCTAACACAGTGAAACCCCGTCTCTACTAAAAATACAAAAAAAAAAAAAAATTAGCCAGGCACGGTGGCAGGCCCCTATAGTCCCAGCTACTGGGGAGGCTGAGGCAGGAGAATGGCGTGAACCCTGGAGGCGGAGCTTGCAGTGAACCGACATAGTGCCACTGCACTCCAGCCTGGGCGACAGAGCGAGACTAGCTCAAAAAAAAAAAAAAAAAGAAACATAAAAAAAGAAAACGAGGGCGATAGAATTGGAGTCTAGCCTTAGGTTGAATGTGGTCATCTTCTGGTATCCAGATGGTGGACTTTTTCATATTTAATCGTTGAGATGGCTATCCAAATGCATAGATAAAATTAAAAATAATTTCGTGGGCTGGGCGTGGTGGCTCATGTCTGTAATCCCAGCACTTTGGGAGACCAAGGCGAGCAGATCAACTGAGGTCAGGAGTTCGAGACCAGCCTGGCCAACATGGTGAAACCCTGTCTCTACTAAAAATACAAGAAGTAGTCGGGCATGGTGGCGGGTGCCTGTAATCCCAGCTACTCAGGAGGATGAGGCAGAGAATCGCTTGAATCTGGGAGGCGGAGGTTGCAGTGAGCCAAGATCTCACCACTGCACTCCAGCGTGGGTGACAGAACGAGACTCTATCTCAAAATAATAGTAATTATTGTTATTATTTGGATAAAGAACTTGTGGGCCTCAGATAATATGTCCAGAATCTCCAGGGATCCTTAGACCTGGCTGAAAAAATATATCTTTATGTGTCATTTAAAGTTTTTATGGTGAGCAAGATATAAATAAAGTGTGCTATCTTCTAGTCCCCCACCTTCTCACCTGCTCTCCCGTTTCCATTACAGGGTTCCCTCCCCTTGTGTGTCTACCTAGAACCTCTCCTGGTTCCTTTCAGTTGCTCTTGTCTCACCAAAAAGTGCTTTGATACATGGACAGGACTGCTACAGAAACAGCCAGCTATGCAGCATGACCAAGACAGAAAGGAACAGACCAAAGATTGGGTGCCACACAGGAAGCCCAATATGCACAGTCCCAGCTAGGATTAAGAGGTGAGAGGGAACCCAGGGTTTTGAAGCTTAAAACTGCGGGTATTGGCTCCATATTGGAAAGCAAAGTCTCTGAGTGCTGCTGATTGGCAACCAGTGTCAAGGCTTGAGGATGGGGAGCACTGAGTCCCCTGGAGGGTCTCCAGTGTACCTCTGGTGTCCACCCACAATGCCGGGTCCAGCGCCTCTGCTGTGTGAGTGATGTACCTGGATTTTGGAGCTCAACCAGGTTTGCAGGTTAGGTGCCGTGATGGGGATTAGTCAGCATCTAGAAGATGGTTTAAAGCACCCACTTTACAAGAAGACTCAGAAAGTTAGGGGAAAGCTTAAACGTTAGCTACTCTACCTCCTACAAATGGGAGAATATGAGTTTCATGGTGCTTATTGCTTGCCCAGTGGATCCATTGGAAATAGAATCCAATTATCTTGACTCATCTCAGAGCTCTTTGAAATTACAATGCATTGCAAAATCATCTTAAATGAAATAACCACCTTCTCCCTTTCAGAAAAACAAAAGCAATGTGGGAAGTGTCCATATTCAGCAAGACATTATAGGGAGCACCCATGAAACCAAAGTTTTGTCAGAAAGAGTTGCCTTTTATGAACCTCCCCACTGCTTCCCCTCTCTCAGGCTGGGCTCCCCAGAAGAGGACTCTGACAGAGTCAGATGCATGTGCAACCCCAGTGTCAAAGAAAGTGCTTCAGGAAACCCAAAGAGAATGGGGCAAGCAGGATGGGGAAGGGAGAGAACTCAAGCAAGAGTATGATTCAGGCAAAGTCTAGAGAAAGGAAACCAGCCTGATCCCACAGGGGACATCTGGAGTGAAAGTTACACTTCAGAGTTCCGTCCTCACGACTTGAGCAAGAGGATTAGCGTTTCATACCCCACTGTCTTGAGCAAAGGCCTGCCTGCAGTAGCTTAAACTCCTGGGTACCTCCAGCTGCTGCATAAGCAGGCAAAACTGCTCCAAGATTCCAACGGCAGGCCTCTGCGGAAAGCCACAGGTGCAGGCCACAGAAGGCACAGGGGCCAGGGGAGGGGCACACAAAACAGGACAGGGGATGTGGAGAGGAGTGGCAGTATCCACGACACACCCAGAATCCCACAGTGCAATCTTCTGTCAGATCCTTTCCCTGTTTCTTCTATAAACCAAATTAAACAGATGTACAGACTTGAAAAAAATGCATCATAAAAATGAGGCCTCTAGATCAGAGGTCGGTAAACTTTGCCCATAAAGATAGAAAATATTTTAGGCTTTGTGGGCCATAAAGTGTCTGTTGCAACTATTCAACTTTGCCAAAAGCAGCCACAGACAATACATAAACAAATGGGTGTGGCTGTGTGCCAATAGTACTTTGTGGACACCGAAATTTGAATTTCACATCATTTTCACACATCATGAAATATCCTGCTTTTTGAATTTTTCCAAACATTCCAAAGTGTTAAAGCCATTCTTATCTTGCAGGCCATACAGACAATAGGCAGTGAGCTGATTTTGGCTTGAAGACAGTATTTTCGAGCCTTGGCTCTAGATCAGTGGTTTGTGCACTCCTTTGACCGTGACTGTGAGCAAATAATTTAATTGTTTTTTTTTTGTTTGTTTTTTTTTTTTTTTTGAGACAGAGTCTTGCTCTGTCGCCCAGGCTGGCGCGATCTCGGCTCACTGCAAGCTCTGCCCCCCAGGTTCATGCCATTCCCCTGCCTCAGCCTCCCGAGTAGCTGGGACTACAGGCACCCGTCACCATGCCCGGCTAATTTTTTTGTATTTTTAGTAGAGACAGGATTTTATATTAAACCTAGAACATACGTAAACACACATACACATATGTAATTAAAGCTGAAGTTTCATAAAACAGTTCTTATGTTTTCTCTGAACTGTAAACTCTGGTGTTCTCATTTTCATCCTCCTTGATTTTGTTTTGAAATGCTGTCGTGATCCATTGACTTGTTTCTCCAGTCCCCAATGGGTCATGCCGCTTCTGGTTGGAAAGCCCTGCTGTGGATCCATTGAAGTCTGTGCTCTTGGTGGTGGCGGGTTTGCAGTCACAGTGGCTGTTTTGTATTCATCAGCTCTGACGTTACTTGGAATTTGTCAGTAAATAACATAAAGACCAAAAAAAGATGCTATCACAAACCTGTCAAGGGCAGCATGACAGGATTGCCTGCCTCAACCTGCCTGGCACCAGGTGTTTCAGGAAATTTCAGATGGCTCCCTGTCGTTCTTGATGTGTGATGCATGCATTTCATTTGAACTGAGCAGAATTCAGAGCAAAGAGAGAATTTAAAGTAACTGCAAGTCCCAGCCTGAAACCTCGCGTTTGGCAATTTTGAAGAGACTGTGGGCCATTTACATTATAGCCATGTTTGTCACCAGCTGAGGTATTTGAAAAGTGTGACAATTTCAAATAGCAGCCCTCTGGTATATCTCAGCCAAGTATTAAGGTAGACTAGACCATGGTTGGCTTTAAAAAAAACAAAAAAAAAAAACAAACCTTCACTGTGATTAGAGGACAAAAGCTCGAATGCTCAGTATATTTTTCGAATCCAGGACAGCTTCGCACACCTCCCCTTGCAGTTCAGGGTTCAGGACTCAGCTCTGGAAAACAGGGACTAGATGAAACTTGCCTTTGTCATTTCCCACTGTCCATTTCCCTCTTGTCACTCTTCTCTGACCTCTCAGTCTTGCCTTCCTATCTAGATTTTAAAGGTGTGGTGAGGGAGGCAGGGAGGGAACACTTTGAAATCCTTTTAAAAGGCCAGGCACCCTGGCACATGCCTGTAATTTCCAGCAGTTTGGGAGGCCAAGCTGGGGCCATTGCTTGAGGCCAGGAGTTTCAGACAAGCCTGGGGAACATAGCAAGACCCCATCTCTACAAAAATTAAAAAATAATGAAATTCGCCTTTGGCCTCATTGCACTCCTGACAGCAAGATGGGTCACCAGCAGCTATACTGGAGCCACCTGTGAAAATTCAGCCAGGGTTCTCATTCTTGTCGTGTCTGTTCAAACGGGCATGGTCTGATCTGGAAATATGGCCTCAATATGTGCCGCCAGTGTTTCCGTCAGTAAGCGAAGGAGATCGGTTTCATTAAGTTGGACTAAATGATCTTCCTTCAAAGGATTATCCAAGGCATCTACTCAATGAAAACCCACGATAGTTCTTGTACTTAAAATAAACATTTGAAAAAAAATAAATAATGCAATTCTATTGAAAGACTTCATGCTTATTCCTATTCTCAGTATTCTCCTCCCATCTCCCATTCCCCCCAACCCCTATGCATGATGATGATGATGACGGGGATCTTTCTGCTCTTTTCTCTCCCCAACTTCAGTTCAGTTTGGCTTAGAAAATATCTTTTGTGCACATTGCCTGTGCTAGACCCTGGGGATGGTAGTTGATGAGATAAGGAGGAGGAGGCAGTCATATTGAGCCACTCTAAGAATATGGGCCTTTATATGAGTGAAATGAGGAAAATGTGCAGGGTTTTGAGGAGGACAGTGGTATGATCTAACTAATGTCTTACTAGGATCATGGATGCTCCTTTAAGAATAGACTTAGGTAGGGCAGGAGTGGAAACAAGGAAACCAGTAAGGAAGCTGTTGTGAAAATTCTCATGAGAGATGATGGGCTAGAGTGTGGCACTGGAGACAATAAGGGATGATCAGATTCTGGATATATTGAAATGTAACGCCAACATGATTTTCTGATGAATTAGATGTGGAATGTGAGAAAAAGACATTAAGGATAAAGCTATGTGTATTAAGTCTCTATTGCTCCATAAAAATTAGCATAAAACTTAGTATCTTAAAACAATTAATATTATAGTCTCACACGGTTTCAGTGGGTAAAGACTTTGGCAGTGGCTTAGCTGGTGGTTCAGTCATGATATTGCAGTCCAGATGTTCGTCAGGGTCATCCAAAAGCTTGACTGGAGCTGTAGGACCTACTTCCAAGATAGCACACTCATATGTGTGGTTAGTTGGTGTTGGCTGTGGGTAAGCACTTCAGTTTCTTGCCATAAGAACTTCCCCATAGGGCTGTTTGTGTGTCCTCATGACATGACAGCTGGCTTTCCCCAGAGCAAATGTTCCAAAAAAGAGCAAGGTGACTGCAGCTGTGTCTTTTAAGATCTAGTCTCAGCCAGGCGCAATAGCTCACACCTGTAATCCCGGCATTTTGGGAGGCTAAGGCAGGCAGATCACAAGGTCAGGAGTTCAAGACCAGCTTGGCCAACATGGTGAAACCCCGTCTCTAGTAAAGATACAAAAAATTAGCTGGGTGTGGTGGCGCACACCTGTGATCACATCTATTCGGGAGGCTGATGCAGGAGAATCACTTGAACCCAGGAGGCGGAGGTTACAGTGAGCTGAGATTGCGCTATTGCACTCCAGCCTGGGTGACAGGGTGAGACTCTGTCTCAATTCACAATTCACAATAGCAAAGACTTGGAACCAACCCAAATGCCCATCAATGATAGACTGGCTAAAGAAAACGTGGCACATATATACCATGGACTACTATGCAGCCATAAAAAAGGATGAGTTCATGTCCTTTGCAGGGACATGGATGAAACTGGAAACCATCATTCTCAGCAAACTAACACAGGAACAGAAAACCAAACACCGCATGTTCTCACTCATAAGTGAGAGTTGAACAATGAAAACATGGACACAGGGAGGGGAACATCACATACTGGGGCCTGTCAGGGGATGGGGGACTAGGGGAGGGATGGCATTAGGAAAAATACCTAGTGTAGATGATGGGTTGATGGATGCAGCAAACCACCATGGCACGTGTATACCTATGTAACAAACCTGCATGTTCTACACATGTGTCCCAGAACCGAAGTATAATTTAAAAAAAAAAAAAAAGGGAGAGATGAGAGATGGTGAAGATGGTAAGAGGTCTGCTTCTCCTTAGCTGCATTGAATGCAGTTTAAGAGAATGCTACTGTGAGGGGATGATCAAGACAGTCACAGAGAACAGATAAACAAAATGTAGTATATCCATATATTGGACTATTATTCCACAATTAAAAGATGAAACAAAAATGAGTCATGTACAACGTGGATGAACCTTGAAAACATTATGCTAAGTGAAAGAAGCTAAACAATAAACCCCATGTATTATATGATTTCATTTATATGAAGTGTCCAGAATAGGCAAATCTTTAGAGGTAGAGAGTAGATCATTGGTTTTCTAGGGCTAGGAGAGGAGAAGGGGCTTGGGAATGACTGTTAATGGGTATGGGGTTTCTTTGAGGGTTGATGAAAATGTTCTAAAATTAGACTTTGGTAATGGTTGCACCACTCTTTAAATATACTGTAAACTAACCATATACTTGAAAAAAGATTGGCCAGGCGTGGTGGCTTATGCCTGTAATCCCAGCACTTTGGGACGCCGAGGCAGGAGGATCACAAGGTCAGGAGTTTGAGACCAGCCTGGCCAATATGGTGAAACCCCGTCTCTACTAAAAATACAAAAAATATTAGCCGGGCATGCTGGCGCATCCTTGTAATCCCACCTACTCAGGAGGCTGAGGCAGGAGAATTGCTTGAACCTGGGAGGTGGAGGTTGCAGTAAGCCGAGATCTTGCCACTGCAGTCCAGACTGGGCGACAGAGTGAGCCTCCATCTCAAAAAAAAAAGATCTAGTCTCAGAAGTCGCATACCATAATTTATGCAAGTCCTATTAGTTACATAGGTAGGCATATTCAGTAGGAGATGGGACAAAAAAAGAGAGGAATAGGGACTACTACTGGTGGCCACCTTGAAGCCTGGCTATCACAGTATGTCCCCAGAGCCCCATTTGTTCATGTCCCCAACATGCATAATATATTTCCTCCTGTCCAGACTCTTCCAGCAGTCTCATACCTTTATATCATTGATTCAAAATCCTGCCACCTAAATCATCTAACCATGAATGAATGGAGTGTCATTTACTGAGATGAGTAAAACTAGAGTAGAAACAACTTTAGTGGGGAATATTAAGTGAAGATTTAGGTATGTTAAGTATGAGATGTCTATTGAACTGCAAGTAGAAATTTCAAGTGTACAACTTAATGTGCAAAACTTGGGTTCAGAGAAAACACCTGGACTAGATGTATAAATTTTGGAGTTTTTGGTGTATGGGTAACAAAATTTAAATTAGGATAAATTCACCAGGGCAGTGAGTATACATAAAAATGAAAAGAGGCTTTCCAACATTTGGATGTCAAGAAGATGAGGAGGCACAAAAAAAGAAATACATGATATGATTGAAAAGGAATAATAGTTCCATGGCCGGGCACCGTGGCTCACACCTGTAATCCTAACACTTTGGGAGGCTGAGGCGGGCAGATCACAAGGTCAGGAGATCGAGACCATCCTGGCTAACATGTGAAACCCTGTCTCTACTAAAAATACAAAAAAATTAGCTGGGTGTGGTGGCACGTGCCTGCAGTCCCAGCTACTTGGGAGGCTGAGGCAGGAGAATCTCTTGAACCCTGGAGGAGGTAGAGGTTACAGTGAGCTGAGATCGTGTAATTGCACTCCAGCCTGGACGACAGAGTAAGACTCCATCTCAAAAAAAAAAAATAGTTCCATGATGCACTCATGCAAATCAGTCCCCTTACGTTACACTCCACAATGCTTCCTGTAGTTTCTTTCTTTTATTTTTTTTAAGACAGAGTCTCGCTCTGTTGCCCAGGCTGGAGTGCAGTGGCACAATCTCGGCTTACTGCAAGCTCTGCCTCCCGGGTTCACGCCATTCTCCTGCCTTAGCCTGCCGAGTAGCTGGGACTACAGGCGCCCGCCACCACGCCCGGCTAATTTTTTGTATTTTTTTTAGTAGAGACGGGGTTTCACCATGTTAGCCAGGATGGTCTCGATCTCCTGACCTCATGATCCACCCACCTCGACCTCCCAAAGTGCTGGGATTACAGGCATAAACCACGGCACCTGACCTGCTTCCTGCAGTTTTTAATGTCACACAACCATTATGACTGTATTAGCTGCAAATTATATAGCCTCAGCCTAGCTTCTCAAAGGACCCAGTCTTATTCCTTGCTGACTAGGAGTCAGAAGCCAGAAGATTGTGCAATCTTCTCCTTGTGTTACCTTCTGGTCAGTGTCAGGTTCTTACACAAACAACAGAGGTCCTCTCTCTTTTAGTCTCCCCTCTACTTCCTTTTTCTATCCCTTTCTCCCCAGGGTCTCTGGCTCATTTTACCTCCACTCTTTTTATTTGCACCAGTTATTCCTGTTTGCTCTTCAAACTTTTCTCAGTGGAGCATGCTGAGGTATTCTTAACTAGAATGACATGTTTTCATTGATGTCACTGCACCTGCCACCATCATGGCAGGCTGTACCTTCAAGGACTGTCCTCCGCATAGCACTCCCTGACAAAACATATCCACCAAAGTCCCTTTGGAACCAGTCATAGGAAACTTCTAACTTTGGGAAAATTCCAGCACCACAGAGGCCAGCATGACAGATGACAGGAAGAGCAAGGCTGGACTCTACAGCTGCTAGCCTTCATATCCAGAGTCATGTCTGTGGTCCAACACCCCAGGGCTTGCCTGCTATGTGCCTATGTCACCGATTTGCCTTTCAACCCTTCAGCCTTTCTGGAAGGAGCCAGATCCCAAGGGGATGTGTGTAGGCTTGGTTACTCTGACAGCTGCATTGTGTTCCTCCTTTTCCTGTATCTTATCAAAAGCAGGGTGATGTGAGCAAGGCACATGGGCATGCTGATTGTTTAGGGCATGTACTCAGAGATGTGTGTCAATCCACAGGGCTGCTCTGTCTAGCCTGATGTTTCTCAGTGGGAGCTCTATTAGCAATTTGGGCAAGACAGTTCTTCATTGTGCGAGACTGTCCCAAACACTACAGGATACCTAATATCCCTGTCACACTCCCACCAAAACACTAGTAGCACCCACCAATCATTGTGACGACTGGTAGCTGCCTTGTGCTTCCCTACACAGTCCTGGTCCAAGTAGAGCAGCTCCAGGATGACCTCCCTTCGGCTACTATTGTGCTCCTCTCCTCAGCATTATTTTTATCTTTGAGAATAAGAAACTCATGCAATAGGCAGAATTCTGAAGATTCCCATCTCCTGGTTATTAAATCAAACATTTAATCTAAGTTCTGCTTTGGACTTGTGGATGCAATTAAGGTGACTAGCTGAATTTAAAGTGGGGAGATTATCCTGGATTATCTGAGTGGGCCCAGTGTAATCATGTGAGTCCTTAAAAGCAGCCGCAGAAGGCAGAAGAGTCAGTCAGAGAGACGGGCAGAAGGGGAAGTCAGGGACACTTGAAGCATAAGAAGGACTCAACCTGCCATTGCTGAACAGGAGATGCATATGGAAAGCATGAGAAGGAAGGCGGCAGCCTCTGGGAGAAAAGATCAGTCCATACTGGCAGCCAGCAAGGAAGCAAGCACTTCAGTCCTACACCCACAAGGAACTGAATCTGGCCGACAATGTGAATGAGCTTGGAAGCAGATTCATCCCCAGAGCCTCTAGAATGGAATCCAGACCTACCAACACCTTGATTTCAGCCTCATGAGGGTCTAAGCAGAGGACCCAGCAGAACCATGCTGTACCTGGACTTCCAACCCACAGAACTGTGATTTAATAAATGGCTGTTACCTCCTTGTAAGGAAATGTCTCCTTATTTATTGAACTAAGATTTTCACTCTGTTCCTTTCACCATCAGACCTAATTTTATTTCTTGTAGCCATGTAGACTGACACTGCTATAGATTGAAGGCTATATCTGAGTCTTCTCCTCTTTGAACCAAAGATTCCCTGTGCATTCTCTACCCTGGTTACTTTTCTGTAAATGTATTTTATCTTGTTTAGGTCCCTGGATTTATATTCTAGATAATGGGGAATTTAATGACAAAATAAGTGTTCAGAAAGCCCTTACTACTCTGAGGTGTCTTACTCTTGCATTATAAAAAGAAATTTTCTATCTTTATCACCAAAGAGAAACATCGTTTTCTGGATCATTGACCATTCTATTGTCCATAGTAGAAAAGCATCATTTAGAATGACCTGGAATTGAGGAAAATGAAGTAGAAAATTGTCAGGAAGCTTTCACAAGTATGAATCTGTGTGAACATTATTATAGGTTGTGATACTTAATGAGGATTAAAATTCGATGCTTAGGAAGCTGAAGAAATTTTGCTGAGTGAAATAAGCTCAGCAAAAAGCAGCCGCATCTGGGAATTAGGATATTGTATTCCATCTGTCCAGCTGGGCTTCTGATTAGAATCAGTTTCCTTGGTTGGTTCTTGGAACATGGGGCAGGACCAAAGCCTTTGCCAAGATATCAGGGAAGGCAGGTGGGGCCGATTATTGTCATGATCCTCAACTGACAGCTCCTGAAAGCTTCCAGCAGCATGATTCATGACTGACTAGAACAAAAATGGACAAAAGGAGAAGCAACAGCCTTATAATGGGAGCAACAGGGGGAAGAACATTTGAGTCTTCATTAAAATTACTGAGTATGCCATAAAAAGTGACTTTAAAGATACGCAGACATAAGGAAATCATGGCTATTGGGAATACTTTGGAAAGTGACCAAAACAAACAAACAAACAAACTAGATTCAATAACTAGGAAGTGAGTAGTTATCTTGTTTGCTTTGTATTGCAATTGAACCATTTCCAGTTTCACACATACAGGGGTATTTTCCTCAATTAAATTTTAGCACTTTTGGAAGAATGGTTACATCTTATGATTTCTTTGAATAAGATAAATAGCATGTTCTCAGAAACTCTTAATTAATTGAACTGAATGAAATTGCCTGTTGACTGGCTGAATAATGAATAAAATCATTGTTGTTCTAATTAGAATACAAGTCCTTTGGGAGAAAGCTAGATTGAGTTGGAAGAAACCATATGTTCCCGATTCCTCCATCCTTCCAGATTAAATGACCTACAGCCCTGGGGTTTTTTCAAAGTGTGGCTAAAAGACTTCTACAATAGAATTGTCTGGAGATGCTTGCTAAAAATGAAGAATTCTATACCCTACTGCCCTAGACCCACTGAATCTGGAAGAGAGGGGTATTTGCCTTTTTCTAAAATTAAAGCACAATTTACATACAACTAAACGCACAGATTTTAAGTGCACCTTTCAATGGGATTCAACAAATGTATATAATCCACCACCTCAACCAAAACTTCCATCACTCTAGAAAGTTTCCATAGGCCCCTTTCCAGCCAGTCACCCACCCTCCCAGAAGTGACTACTGTTCTGATTTCTCTCACACTTGTATACTCTTTTGAGCCAGGCTTCTTTCACTTAACATAATGGTTTTGAGAGTCATCCATGTTGTTATAGATATTAATTGTTCTTTCTCATTGCTAAGTAATATTCCACTGTGCTACATATGGAATATGCTACAATTTGTTCATACAACCACCTGCCGAGGGGCATTTGGGTGTGTGTTAGTTTTTTAGGCTGTATAACCAATTATCACAAACATAGCAGCTTAAAACAACATACATTTGCAGTTTGAGTCTCCCTTATCTGAAATGTCTGGGACCAGAAGTGTTTTGAGTTTTGGATTTTTTTCAGATTTAGGAGTATTTGCATTATACTTACTGGTTAAACATCCCAAATCCAAAATACAAAATGCTCCAATGAGCATTTCCTTTGAGCATCTTGTTGAGCAAAAAGTTTTGGATTTTGGAGCATTTCAGATTGGGTTTTCAGACTTAGGACGTCCAATCTACATTAGCTCACAATTTCCATGGCTTGGAGCTGAGGCATGGCTTAGTCTGGTCTTCTGCCAGGGTCTCGCAAAGCTGCAACCACAGTGTCAGCAAGCTCCATTACTATCTGGAGCTCGAAGTCCTCTTCCAAGTTCACATGGTTGTTGGCAGAATTCAGGTCTTTTCAGTTGTAGTACTGTGGATCTTGGCTTTGTACTGGCTGTCAGCTGGAGGCTGCCCTCTGTAGTTCCCTGCCACGTGGCCTTTTCCAAGGGCAGCTTACAACATAGCTGTTTAATTCTTCAAGGCCAGCAGTAAAGTCTCTCTCTCCAGCCTGCTAAAATGGAGTCTTATATATGTAACATAATCGTAGGCATATGACATTTCATCACCTTTGCTATATTGGTTAGGAGCAAGTCACAAGTTCCACCCACACTCGAGGGGATTATACAGGCTGTGAATTTTTGGGAGGCCACCTTAGGGTGTGTCCACCGGAAGGTATTTTGCATTCTCAGCAATTATGAATATTAGCGCACAACTCTTTGTGTGAACATATGCTTTCACTTATTTTGAGTAAACACCTAGGAGCGGAATTGCTTGATCACAGGGTAGGCGTATGTGTAACTTTGTAAGAAAATGCCAAACCGTTTTTCAAAAAGTTTGTGCAGTTTTATGCTCGTATCAGCAATGGAATAAACGTCTCAGCTGCTCCACATCTTCACCAATATTTGCTGTTGTCTGTCTTTGTCATTTTAGCCACTTTCTACTGATGTGAAATGTGCATTTTTAATATGCTCTGTGGGTGCTTCTTTCACATCTTCCACCACTGCTTTTTAGAAGTGAGTCATAGAGAAACTGCCTGAGACTGCTCAGCTCTTGCTATGAGTCCCTCAGAAGTCAGTCCCCAAACCTAACTGATCAACCTGATTCACAGGGAGCATTTGTTAAGAACATGGACTCTGGGGCCTATTCCAGACCTCCTGAATGAGCATCTTCAGGATTATAAATTGGGAATCTATTTTCCAAAAACCCTCAAGGTGATTATTTGAATTGCTGGAGCTTGGAACCATTGCCTTCACTACTTCAAGACACAAAAGTGTCTCTAGTGTGCTCCTCACACAGAGAACATGTCCATAAAGTGGGGCTAGGACCCTGCGATGGCACCACAGCTGTCCCTGCTTGTAACATTGAAGAATTGTAAGTTGAACCATTGTATAGAGACCATCTATACAATTAAATTGTTTCCAGTTTTTTATTCTTGATAACAATGCTGCAGCCAATAGCTTTAAACATTTTCTTTTATGCTGATGTGCATAGGATAATTTCTTGAAAGTCAGGTTGCTTATTCAAAGAGGTAGGGCTTCTTTAATAACATCCATTAGCATATTAGTGCTTATTTGCTTATTTGTTTCTTCTTATGTTAATGACATAACTTCATGGGAGAAAAGAAGTTGGGGGAATTACAGCTCAGGTGTTTAGCTTTGCTAGTAAGACTTGTATTTCTTATTTTCATCTCCAAATGTAACTCAATCATTCCAAGTCATATTCCCTTTCAATTTTCAGGAAGACATTAAATTTCTTTAAGAAGTAATTCATATAAAAATACTTGTTGAGTACATATTATATGCCTATCAGGCTCTGTGACATGATGTGAGCACTAGATGGAAGCCCAGAAAGAAGACAGACAATAAACCAAGCAATTGCAACCCAGGGTGCTGGGTACAGAGCCCTCTGGCGGCACACAGCTGGGACACCTAACCTGATGGGGAGCGATCAAGATTCCTCCATGATTTTTTTTTTTTTTTTTGAGATGGAGTCTTGCTCTGTTGCCCAGGCTGGAGTGCAGTGGCGCCATCTCAGCTCACTGCAAGCTCCACCTCCCAGGTTCATGCCATTCTCCTGCCTCAGCCTCCCGAGTAGCTGGGACTGCAGGCGCCCGCCACCACGCCCAGCTAATTTTTTTTTTTTTTTTGGATTTTTAGTAGAGATGGGGTTTCACCATGTTAGCCAGGATGTTCTCAATCTCCTGACCTCATGATCCACCCGCCTTGGCCTCCCAAAGTTCTGGGATTACAGGCGTGAGCCTCCACGCCCGGCCCAGGATTCTTATTCTCTAACCTTCGTTTTGTTAAAAACACATTCATATGAATAGACATTCATGCATTCCTCTCTGATTAACAGTCTTTCCCCCTCAGGCCAGATCCAGGGTAGTTACCTGTCTAGGATGAAACATTCAGGAGGACTGCTCAATCCCTTGCTGCCACTGCAGTGAGAAAGATAGAGGAACGGACGAACAGGAGGACAGGGGCATATGGCCAGCTACACATTCAAATGCCTGTGGTGAACAGTTGATGGGTTGTAGAGTAAGAATCAGGAGAGCCCTAGCTGTGCTGCTAGTTGATTTCTTTGGGGTTGCATACCTCTGCCTCTTCCACCAGAAAAAATAAAATATCAGTGTCTCAACAACCTATAGATAGAGGGTGTCCAAAATGTGTGGGGACATAAGACAAACCTGTTTTTAAATGGTATGCTCAATAGTCTCTTTTTTCAATCTCCAGACAGCTTTTCAAGTAAAATTCTTCTAAATTTCAGTATATACTACAGAGGGTTCACAAAAGTCTGGACACAGAGAAAACAAGTACTTACTGTATTTTTTCAAATGGACAATTGGACTCATTGCTTTAAGTTGAGAAGTTCTTCACCTGAAAAGGTGTCTGGAGAATGAAGAAAAATAGATTGAGCACAGTATTGGAAAATATAACTGACATACTGTTTAAACATAAATTTGTCCTATGTTGTCCAACTTTTCAAACACCCTGTACATTGTCCATTTAACCCTCAAAGCAAGTATGGTTGCTGAGGTCAGGGAGGTTACACAAGTTGCCCAAGGTCTCCCAAAGACTCAGTAGCAGAACCATGATTTAAACTTCACATATCTGAGGCCCAAGCTCACCTGCTTTCTCCTTCAGGGCATCACCTCTGAGCTCAGACCACCATACAGTGTTATTGTAAGACCACAGTACCTTCCTGACACCTTGATTGCAGCCTGATTCTATTCAGCAACAGGCTCATCTCTTAACATTGTGGGCTTCAGGAACCTTTTTGAGACACGAATGAAAGTTATGGACTCCTCTCTAGACAATTGGAATTTTGTGTTCCATAGTAAGGCATACACAAGACCCCAAAATCTAACCCTAGGCCCCTTTGGGGATTACAGACCCAGGTAAAGAATCATTTCTTTTGGCTGTAGAGTTCTGAAAGACAAAGTCTAGACCTTATGTTCAGGTGCCTTAGAAACTGTTGGAGGGAATGTAAGGAGCCAGTGAAGCAGAGAGGAAGGAAGGGAAAACCCTTCCAATAATAAGGATGCTATGGAACATCATAAGGCTCAAGCAATGATATTAATAGTTCTCTTTCCTTTCAGCAGAGCCATGTAATTATAAAGGACACTCATGAGGCAGTAGCTGTCGGTGCTCCACTTCTTATCTGTGTTGCTACCACAGCCTGTGAGCACATGAATGTGTACCCATACATGCACTCCAACCTGAACCTTTCTTGGAGTTAGAGACACAAGGAAGGACAGCAACATATGCATTTGGGTCTGTTCCATGGGATACCCAGGAGGCTTAAAAGCTATTTTCTACCTCCTATGTAAATAGAAACTGACCCCTTCTTTGAGGTGCTGGCCATATTTGATGTCAGAATTTTTTCATATTGCTGAGAATCAGAATGATCTATCATTATGTATAATTTCCTAGGAAAGGGTTGCAATATTATACCAAGCTTCAAAGCACTTTTGAGTATAGAATGTTCACTCCCTTCAAGCCCAAGAAAGATGTTGGGAATGAATTAGTTTCCCTCAAATTTTCCTCCTGGGCACTCCTTTTCCCTCTCTCCCTCCTACCACCACCTGGCATCCCCTGCCATGCCCTACGCACCCCATTCTGATGGCTGTATTGCCCCTCTGGGAAGCATTTCTTACAAACAAAAATAAGCAAAGCACTCAGCTCATACAACATCTTCCATCCTTGCGTAAGGTTCTCATTCACTAATGAATGCCTCCCTGGGGCTTCACGGGTTGTGAAGGCAAACATAGGCCTGGGGACCAAAAAGTGAATTATTGATCACTTGTGCACAAGCATCTTAATGAAGTGAGAACAAGCAATGAGCCCAACCCTTGGAAAGTCATTTCCAAGCTGTATTGTCTGCCTTTTTAGTAAATGTGTTCTGTCCTTTGCCAGGTAAAGTAGACAGCTGCCCACAGAAAGAGATTTCTTGAGACACAAGGAGTGCATTCATTCATTCATTCAATAACTATGAGGACTTATTATGTAGTAGGTACTATGCAAAATGTGGTGGATGCCATGAGCTTATCATTTAATAGGAGACACTTATGAGTGTCTGTACTAAAGGGAAACATAGGGGTCCTGGATGCAGGACTGCTTCCAGGCAAGATGCCAACAGTTGGGCCAGGGGTTGAAGACCTGTAGGAATTACCTGGAAGTGTCTGTGGGGAAGTAGAGGGCCTTAGAGAGGTCCTTCTAGGCAGAAAGAACAGAATAGGTGAAGACTTCAGAGGCAGAGGTGTGCCGAAGCCTGTTCGCACTGATGGGAAAAGGGGATTGTGGCCTTTCCTCCCAACTCCGCATTCATGGATGTCACATTACTAGCTGGAAATCAGTCATGATGAGGGTATTTACACAACAGAAATTGGCAAATATTGTCAGGGCATTTTTTTGCCCCTGAAGAGCGAGTTGATAAACACTTACCAACACCACTGCCCAGAGGTGAGGTGACCAAAAGCACGGTAGCCTGGGGCAAACTGCCAGAAGGTCATCATGTCTGCTGTTTAATACCGAGAGTGGTTAGCAGAGACAGGGTGGCTGGGTGTGTCAACAGGGAGCAAGTCATGAAATGCCTCATAGCCACACAAAGGAATTTGGGAGTGATACTATCTTGCCAAGTTTGTTGTTTTTGTTTTTGTTGTTGTTGTTGTGATGGAGTTTTGCTCTTGTTGCCCAGGCTGGAGTGCAACAGTGCTATCTTGACTCACCGCAACCTGCACCTCCAGGGTTCAAGCGATTCTCCTGCCTCAGACTCCTGAGTAGCTGGGATTACAGGTATGTGCCACCGTGTCCAGCTAATTTTGTATTTTTAGTAGAGACGGGTTTTCTCCACGTTGGTCAGGCTGGTCTTGAACTCCCAACCTCAGGTGATCTGCCCTCTTCGGCCTCCCAAAATGCTGGGATTACAGGCGTGAGCCACCGCACCCAGCTATCTTGCCAAGTTTTTGTGGTGGATATTTGTTGTTTATTCTTGACCAGCATCTATACCTCTTTCTTCTGGTATAAGCAGTCCAGTTTTCCTCTAAGGAACCATCCCCTTCTACTTTTAGGTCTTATGGTTTCAGGGGTAGGTTTATAGCACAACTTTCGGTAATCTAGAAACTGTCTTATCTATAGTCACAGAGGTGCAATGCGAGCCAGCCTTGGGATTTGTGCTGGGGCTACAAGGAAAGAGACATGATTTTTCCACTGGGATGGCTAAATCTGGAACTGTTGGTGACCATCTTACCACCTTGAGCTAAGAGCCTACCTGGGACTGAAGCCAATAGTAAAGAAAGAACACCTGAGAGACTGAAAGAGACACATTCCTGATGATATTATTTGAGCACCTTGATTTAGTTGTACTCTAACTGGACTTCATTATACGAGACTAATATATTTTCTTTTCTGCTTCCGCTGGTTTGAGTTGGATTGCAGTCTTCTGAAACTGAAAAAGTCCTAAGGTAGTATCTGAAGTCCCAATCCTACTCCTCCCAATTCCTGCACTTTTTTTTATTAAACATTATCTCTCTAGGAAGTGCCTCTTAAAATACAATTACATTATGGGCTTGGTGGTGTGCACCTTAGTCCCAGCTACTCAGGAGGCTGAGGTGGGAGGATTGCCTGAGCTCAGGAAGTCAAGACTGCAGTGAACTAAGACCATACCACTGCATTCCAGCCTTGTGGAGCAAGAAAAGAAAAGAAAAAAGAAAGAAATCAAAATTTAAAAAAAAAAAAAGTTTAAAATACAATTACATTAAAAGAATAAAATAATAAGAATATTATTTTAGCATAGATTGGCTAATGAGCAGAAAGCATGTGTGATAAACACACACACACTCACACACACAAGAACACAAATGCATCCAAATCTGAATTAGCAGACTCTAGCATGAATAACCGAATAAATGACAATGACAAGGAAATTACTGCGTTCTTTTATTAAGAATCTTTGTTTGGTGTCTATGCACACCTAAGATAATTACCTAGCTTCAGCATTAAGTGAAGCACACACAACCTTATAATAGTTCCTTGGGCCTCAAGAGTGACAAACGGCAAGTTTCTGTGACAGCGACTTTAAGGGAAGAGAAAAGGCTTCCAGGAGACGGCTGGCACAGCCAAGAAGCCATTTCTGCCATTCTCCAAAGAGAAGCTGCCTGTCTTCATTAGAAACAATCAAACAATCTGCTTAGCTTTGGAATCAGGGCCACACAGGCACGGACACCACAGCACATAATTCTTGCAGTAAAAAATAACGGAGCTCTGTTGACACCCCAACAATCAGAGGTCTTGGGACTGAAAACTGCACCAAGACCCAAAGTGACTTAAGTTGCATAATATATTTGTAAGATAAATCAGCAATCACAAAGCTCTAGGTAGAGGAAAGCTGTGGATAGGGGCTGCGTTCTAATCTGAGCCCTAATGAGCTGTGGGTCACTGCATGGGTCAGGACCTTAGTTCCCTACCTATAAAATTCTATTTGATTTTTACTCAGTTGGTTCTTCAGTTTCCTCACCTGTAACCCAAAGGGGTGGATCTCACTCTAAGATTTCTGAGGATCTTTTGATTCTAACATATATAATATATACACACACATATGTATATATATATACACACACACATATATATATATAATGCTGTCTTTCTCAGCATGGTAGTCAGGGTCCCACAGGAAATAGAAGGCATGCTCTGGGAATTTGAAGAGATGTGGGTATAGTTAAGGGAACTAGCAAGGGACGTTGAGTGTATCAGTTATCTATAGCCACCTAACCAACTACACCAAAACTTAGTGGTATATGACTTCTCATGGCTCAGGAGGTTGAATGGGTTCAGCAGGGTAGTTCTCACCAGGGTGTCTCATGCATTTGTAGTCAGACATTGGCTAGAACAAGAATCATCGGAAGGCCACCTATTCATATATCTGCACCTAGACGGGGAGGCTCACACAGGTGGAGCTGCAACAACCAGCGTCCTCAGACAGAGCTCTCTCTCTATGTGGTCTCTCCATATGGTCTCTTGTCAGGGTAACTAGACTTCTTACATGGTGGCTGAAGGCTCTAAATGTGCATGTCCCAAGAGAGCTAGGAGAAAGGTTTACCTAAAGGAGATGACCTAGCCTTGGAAGCTACATTGCGTCCCTGCTATTGATTCTATTTGTCAAGGCCAACACAAAAGCCATCCCAGGTTCAAGGGGGGTGGAGGGGACAAAGATTCCACCTTTTGATGCAGCGATGTCAAGGTTCTTTAAGAGCAAGTAGGAGAAGAAATTCTATGGTTGTTCTTTTGGAAGAAACAATCTGCCACATTGAGGCACCCAGGGCCTAGCAAGAGTGGAATGCTGTTATCACACCCAGCTTGGCCTGAAGGCCAAGGAGAGGAAATAGTGACAGCTGAACCAATGAAAGAGAGCAAACTGATAGGAGCTATAATCCTGAAGGTAAAGCCACTGGCTGACCACAGTATCAAGGGCAGGGAGAATGTGGGGTAAGAAATACTCCAACATCTCTATTCTCTGACTCTGATCTCCTGTAGATGCCTTCCATCAAGAAACTATAGGACAAAATGGGCTTCATGAGGTGGTGTATATGGGTGTACCTCCCCCCAATCCAGGGTGCAGAGAAGGGCAGTGAAGGGTGGAGAACAGATGGAGGAAGGGTACAGATTAACCACCATATTTGCTGATGCCCTGAAATGACCACACATACTCACCTGAGAATTTTAAAATACAGCTAACTGATAAAAGCAACAACTCTTACTCTGTGGCTAATAATTCAAGGACAATTTGAAAAGTGCTATAAGATTCCATCTAAGACTTGCTCCAGACAATAAAAAATAAAGTGTTTCTCTAGAACTTCCTTAAGTAAGAAAGAAACCATACACCAAAGGAAAATCAGAGCATAAGCCACTAGTTTGATTACTGCATGGAAGGAACAGTAAAGGGTTGGAACTGAAGAGGAGGTTAAAGGTAAGAGGCACAAATTTATTTACCCAGCATATTTATATGGTGCCAACAATATACTTCATATTCTGAATGTATTTATTAAAGATGTCAGTATGGCACAGAAATAACAATTCAAAGCAAAAAATGGAATCTGGATCTAAAAATGAAAAAAAAAAGTCTTTGAAGTAAGTATTAGTATTCTTTTAACTGCCAAGGGCAGAAAACAACCCTCTGGTTTTAACAAAAAGAGTATCATTGGCCCATGTTTCTGGAAAGTTCTGGTTAAGGCTGGCTTTAAGTATTGCTCAAAGGATATCACCAACTCCCAGATCTCTGTTTTTCTCTTGAAGGGATAAATGTGCAGCCCCTAGGATCTGAATATGTGGGAACACAGCCCAACTTTATCACTTAGTATCTGTTATCAACATGGGTAGATCAGTTAACTTTTCTGTGCCTTGGTTTCTCCCTCTATTAAGTGGGAATCATAAGCATACCCTCCTCATGGAGGGTTGTGAGGATTATCTGCCATAAAGGCTTTTCCCCCACTTTTCAATAAGTTATGTTATTTTATAAAATAGCTCAAAAGAATTACATGAGGATATTCTAGGTAAATAAGCATTTCAATTATGGTAGAAGAAAAAAATACATCTTAACATAAAGTCTTAAATTAGGTCTGCTAGTCAATATGGCAGGTTCAGAAACTCATCAATTGCTCTGAGAGAGGGTTCCAAGCAATGTAGCTTGCTGGGACTGGAAGAGGATTTGTTACTTTTGATTTGATCACTACTTTCTGATCTAACTGGGGGCAACAGACTGGTTGATGGCACCTAGTTCATGAACAGTCCTTGGTGACAAATGGAATAAGCTCTAATCATCCAAGTGTTGGCTTCCCCTGTGATTCTGTGTTTGTATTTGTATTGATTGGGTGGGGAATTACAAATTGAAGATCTTACAAGTTCACCCACAGCAGTGTTTATCAAAATGTTGGACCAGGCTGGGCGCGGTGGGTCACGCCTGTAATCCCAGCACTTTGGGAGGCCGAGGCAGGTGGATCACCTGAGGCCGGAAGTTCGAGACCAGCCTGACCAATATGGAGAAAACCTGTCTCTACTAAAAATACAAAATTGGTGGGGCATGGTGGCACATACCTGTAATCCCAGCTACTCAGGAGGCTGAGACAGGAGAATCACTTGAACCCTAGAGGCGGAGGTTGTGGTGAGTCGAGATAGCGCCATTGTATTCCAGCCTGGGCAACAAGAGTGAAACTCCGTCTCAAAAAAAAAAAGCTGGACCAATCACATCAGAATCACTCAGTGGTTGTTTACAGTGATGAATCCTGGTTTCCATCCTAGAAATACTTGATGAGAATATTTGCAAGGGATCTGTATTAATAAGTACCAGGTGATTCTTATGTACTCTAAAGTGGAAGATCTTAAGAATACATAGTATTTTTCTCTTGTGCATTCATCATCAACTACATTTATTTATTCATTTATTTAACAAATATTTATTTGTGTCAGTCACTGTCTGAGGTACTGAGGAATAATGTGGTCTGTAAGATCAACCAAGTCCCTGCTCTCAAGGGGCTTATACTCTGGGGGATGGAGGAGAAGAGAGGCAATACTTTATAAAACAAACAATATAATTTTGGCTAATAAGAACTATGGAGGAAATAAAGTGATGTGAGTTGGGGGCAACTGGCTCAGTGGTTTCTTTAGATCGAATAGTCAATAAAAGCTCAAGGTGGTGTAAACATTTCAGTTGAAAGACGTGCAGTATGATATTCTTTCCCCTGTTTATTCATGCTCAGGATAAAGTACACACACATATATATATACACATGAATTATAGTCCTGTTAGACAAACTGAATGAAAAAATTTAATATTAGTTTAATTAAAAGGATTTTTTTTTTTTTTTTGAGACGGAGTCTTGCTCTGTTACCCAGGCTGGAGTACAGTGGTGTGATCTTGGCTTACTACAACCTCCACCTCCTGGGTTCAAGCAATTCTCCTGCTTCAGTCTCCTGAGTAGCTTGGATTACAGGCACCCACCACCAAGCTCGGCTAATTTTTGTATTTTTAGAAGACATGGGGTTTCACCAAGTTGGCCAGGTGACCAACTCCTGACCTCAGGTGATCCGCACACCTCGGCCTCCCAAAGTGCTGGGACTACAGGCTTGCGCCACTGCACCTGGCCAAAAGGATATTTTAACTACATACTCACACATTTACATTAGACACGTCAACCATGGTGCCTACCATTATTAATAGGAACTGCCTCATTCATTGCCTCTAGGTAGGAGACTGCCCAAGACTGCCATGGGCTGAGCATGGTGGCTCATACCTGTAATCCCGGCACATTCAGAGGCCAAGGCAAGAGGATCTCTTGAGGCCAGGAGTTCAAGACCAGCCTGGGCAACATAGTGAGACCCTGTCTCTACTGAAAATTTTTTTTAAACATTAGCCATGTGTAGTGGTGTACACCTGTTATCCCAGCTACTGGAGAGGTTTAAGAGGGCGTATCACTTGAGCCCAGGAGTTGGAGCTTACAGTGAGCTATGAGCTTGCCACTGCACTCCAGCCTGAGCTACAGAAAGAGACTGGTTGTTAAAAAAAAAAAAAAAAAATAGAGACTGTCATGCTTTGAACCACATGACTTTATTCCTAGTTTACAACTGGCTGTACCCAAGGTCAATCAATCCTCAGGATGGCCAGCAGTATAGAAAAAGATAAACAGGACCATCAAATTCTCTCCCAGAAAAAGGATGAGAAGATACTTGGTGCTATGGTTGGAGATTGTTTGTTTGGTTCTGCCTAGTCCCATGGTGAAATTTGATCCCCAATGTTAGAGGTGGAGCCTGATGGGAAGTGTTTGGGTCATGGGGGCTGAACCCTCATGAATGGCTTGGTAATGAATACATTCTTGCTCTGTTGATTCCTGCCAGCACTGATTGTTAAAAGGAGCCTGGTGCCTTCCTCCCTCTCTCTTGTTCCCTCTCTCTTGACACATGACACACTGGCTCCCCTTTGCCTTCTGCCATGAAACAGTCTGAAGCCCTCACCAGAAGCAGATGCTGGTACTGTGCTTCTTGTGCAGTCTGCAGAACCATGAGCCAAATAAACCTCCGCTTTTTATAAATGACCCAGTCTCAGGTATTCCTTTATAGCAATGCAAATGGATTAAGATACTTGGTGAATGAGGCAGGGAGAAGCAAGCTCTGGGGCTGAAAGGGTATATTGAGAGAAATTGTGACACACAGTGGATCAACACGTGGCCAGAGAAGCTAAAGGGAAACAGAAACTCTGAGTAAGATGAGGAAGCAAAAACTATGAGAAAGCAAAAATAATGAGGTGGAAGCTCAGGCCCACCAAGCGTAGCTGGTTGTCACATGGATGGCAGCCTACATGTGCGGAGTTGGACAAATTCCTCTTCTCCCTTTTACCTGACTCTACTCCAGTTCCTGTTCTTCCTGTGGCTAGGATATGTGGCTTTTCCTGGGTTCCTAAATGTTTTAAATCACCAGCAGCAGGAGTAGGATAAGCACTGCTCTCAGCACACATTTTTTGAGATAACTTGAATGTGTCTCTGTCACTGAAACTATTTATAGTGTTGTTTTGAATGATGTAATTGTAGCAGGATTATAGCTTAAACACACACACAGACACACACTCCTTTTTTTGTGCCTGCTTCCTGCATGTGAGGGAAGTGAAGTGGTTGTTATGCTTATTCATTTACACATAACTTCTGGAATTCCACTCATACCCCCCAAATACAGGCCATGACTCAAAAGTGCCCCGGGCACATTCTTGCTTACTTTTCTCGCTAGCAAGTGAACAGGTGAACAGACTTATTTTGTGGGTCTGCAACAGCTTCAAGGGATTTGGAGTTCATTGATCCCAAATAACAAGAATACTTTGCAGTAACTGTCCTCCTAAGTTGATTTTATTCTGATGAACTCTTATCAGTGAGTGGTTTTTCCCTAAAAATAGTTTCTAAAAGGGCTTACACAGTGGCTACCTCCCTAGCAAGAAACAGAATGTATAAATGGAACATGCATCTAATTGTCAGACCCCATCCTCAGTTCTTTTGTGTAATATGAAAAAGAAATGTTTTAAAGCAGTCAAGATATTTAGCTCTAAAAATTAGCCAGTAAGAAGCTACTTGGATAAAGTTAAGTACGTTTTTTTTTTCTTTTTACAAACCTCCCTTTGAAATAAACCAGACAGAGGTTCCTTTCACTTCCATGGGAGTTTTCAGCAAAAGGAGAATGGAAGACTTCATAAGCTCTAAACAGCCTTGGAGGCCATTCATAGACTTCCTAGCATTCTCTGCCATTTCCCAGTGCTAACGGCCCTGAATGTAGCTTCTCACTATCGTTATTGTCCCTCTTGGGCACTAGCCTGGCAGCTGAGCTCTCTGAAGCTTATAGCCTTTGGAGTATGGGAAGAAGTTACCAACAGACACAGTCACAGGCTGCACAGAGAAGAGATGAGCCAGGAACTGGGGCAGTGGGAAGATGAAGAACATAGGGCTATTTTCACACCCTCCTGAATCCCATTTCCTGTTTCCTGCGCCTGCTGCTCCTATAGCAAGTCTGCAAAAAACCCCTGGGGTGAGGACACTCAGAAACCATCCAGACATGCACAGATTTCTCTGCCTCTGCCTCCAGAAACAAGACCTACATAGCCTGCTGCTTCTTCAAAATGTCCTCCTCATACTCTGTTGCTGCTAGCATGGCACTGGCTTGGCTTCAAGAATCCTGTCTTTTAGGGGATCAGAGGCAGATTCTGATATCTGGCCAGTACTCCACATGCTAGTTTACTATTTCCTCTGCTAGAAAATCCTCATCCTCTTCAGGTTCCTATTTTCTCACAGGTATGATGGCATATTCTTTTCTAATTTCATTTCTCTCTTTGAAAGGGTAACAGGTATAGCTTTTGGAGTGCCCCACCACCATCTCCACCAAAACTTCCTTCATTGTTCTGCCAGCTCTGAGTGAATTTCCCAGATAACCTTTTTGGTAAGTGTTCAAAATAACTCAGGACAAAAGATCCTAAGAGTAATCCTAAAAAGATCCTAATTATATTATACCTAGGGAAATACCCTAAAAGTGGGATCTCAAGATGTCAATGCATAAGTCTCTTTAAGAACTTCAGTAATGTCCATCCCTGATTAACTCTATTATAATAGCTGAACAAATCCACACAGATCCAGAGGGAAGTCCCCATTCTTTGCCTGTCTTCTCTTCCCCATAATATGGCCCCCAATCTCAGATCTCTGTGCTATTTGAGATTAGAGCTAGGATGGGCTTTATAAGTAGGCTTATTTGAAAAACAAACAAACAAAAAAACCAAAAAGATGGGTTTTTTTTTTCATCAACTACAAATTATAATCTGGGAAACTTTGAAAAGACAGCTACATTTGCAATATATTGCCCTCCCTGTATTAGCTAGGAATGCTTTTGAATACAAATCACAGAGATATAATTGTAGTTTAAACCATTATTATTAAAGAGAGGCAGGTCCAGGGTTCAATCAGTGGCTCAGTGATGTCACAGAAATAGACACTGTCTACTATTCTGCTCAGACATCCTCAGGGAGTTGGTTTTTTTCCTCCCTGCCTGTTGCCTAATGGTCACATGGCATCATATCCTCAAATCAAAGTGGATGGACAGAAAAGGGCTCAAGAGCTTTCTTCTAATAGGAGTCTGTTTCTTTTATCTGAGAATGAAAGCCAGAATTCAGTCATATGTCCATCACCAGTCCAGTCACTGGTGGAGGAGACTCACATTCCTGTGACTGACTAGAGCAATCACTATCCATTCCTGGGGCTGTAAATTAGGGTTTGGCCCCACCTTCCTTGAAATCAAGGAGTCTAGTTCTTTCATGAGGGAAAAGGGGTAAAGGTGGCGGGGGGGGAGGGGGGATGAGGAATGGTTGTTGGGTAGGCAGCCAAAAATGTCTCCCATAACCACCAAACTTGCTGATACCTGGAATCCAATCCCATAATTTTTTTCACTGATGCTTTAACCCAACAGAGGCTCTGCCCCAGTGAAAGAACACTCCTTATATTTTTAAAGACATTTATATCCCCAAAATATTTAGTTCATCACATTTTTAGAACAATACCAAATAGGAAATTGAAAACCAAGAGCGAAACATACATTATCATGAGCAGTGGTGATGCGCTTGTAAATCTTTAGCCACTAGCTGGGGACGAACCCTGATTTATGACTGTTGATTTTTGTGGTGTAAATTTTCCCACCACAGTCGGTTTCAAGCTGCCAATGGTTTAGCAATTGGCTAGCAGAATTCCTGAAAATATAATAATCAGCCCTTGTGCATTCATACTAATCAACTCCAGCACAATATTGAGTGAGTCTACTCTATACTAACATGCCGTGCACTTGTTCTGTATACTTTTGTCTGTGTGATATCTCCTTTGTTCTGGCTCTTATAACTTACGAAGTAGGTACTATCACGTTTTACAGATAGGAAACCTGGGCTCAAAGAAGTTGAGTCTTTTGCTAGTTGTTGCAGATTACAACCCAGTTCTTCTGACTCTAGGTATAGAGGAAGCCAGTGGCAGCTCAAGGCTGAGACAGCCATACATGCTAGCAATTTTACCCAAGTACCAAACAAATACTTATTACTAGAATGGTGTGTACTGTCAACTATTAATGACCTTGGAGTAATAAGAACAAAGTCAAAGTGAAAGTCACCAGAAGCCTTTATTCTTGTTTTGAAGAAAAAGAAAAGAAAAATGTAAAGATCTCATCAGAAATATCCAAAACAGAATACCTTCTGTTCACATTGCGAATGTTCTACATTTGAAAGAAAGGTGAGATCCTTCTTGTTTTTCATGACATCAGAAAGAAAATTTTCTAAAAAGCGTTCATATTGGCATTCATTCCTATCTTTAGCTTTACACCAAGGAACAGCCTTGTGGCTTCAATATATGGGCAGCTTTTACAACTTGTATATTTCCTTATTTTAAAAATATTTCCTGGCTGGGCGGGGTGGCTGACACCTATAATCCCAGCACTTTGGGAGGCTGAGGCAGGCAGATCACGAGGTCAAGAGATGGAGACCATCCTGGCCAACATGGTGAAACCCCGTCTCTCCTAAAAATACAAAAATTAGCTGGGCGTGGTGGCAGGCACCTGTAGTCCCAGCTACTCAGGAGGCTGAGGCAGGAGAATCGCTTGAACCCAGGAGGTGGAGGTTGCAGTGAGCCAAGATCGTGCCATTGCACTCCAGCCTGGTGACAGAGCAAGACTCTGTCTCAAAAAGAAAAAAAAAATCCCAGCATTTCTTCAAGCTGTGAGGCTCACTTTTCCCGTTGCCTTCCTCATTTGGTTGTAGTGAGGTACAACTATGGTCATGTAAAATGTGAAAATGCTCCATAATGGTAAAGTGCTTTGTAAAATGCAAGGCACCATTCTTTTTGCTATAATGAGCAGCCTTGGCTTAGGTTGAGCTTTCTTCAATGAGCCTCTCCTCATGAGAAGAAAAACATTCTGGTTCTCTTTCCCTTTCTCCTGTTTCATAATCTTTTCCCTCTTGGCCATTGACACAGCAGATTAGGCACATTCTCTTGATTCCAACTCACCAGTCAGGGCTTCCAGCAGTGTCCATATCATCCATCATAGGGCAGGAACATGAGGTAGCTGCTGACCCATTTCTGAAATTCCATCACCATGTCCCCCTAAATGCCCTGCCTCTGCAGTCTCAGAGTGAGGCCTGCCAGTCAGTGACATTCGTCAGTGTTTCAGGCTCACTGGCCTGGTGCTACTGTGAGTTTTTGGTGGATACCTAAAATTCTCAGGGTGCAGTAAGTTCTGCCCAGCAGAACTCTGCCTGCACAATTTAGAGTCAGAGAAGATGCTAAAGAAACCCAGAAAATGTTGTTTTCCCTGACAACAGTCAAGCTGCATGGATGTGATGATTAATATAGCTTGTTCTCCTCTGTCTCCCATTTCATCCAGATTCTACCTCCATGGCCCCCTCAGCAAGGCTCCCCAAGCCTAGCGCCAGCCATGAAAATGCAACATCCTGGTTTGTTCAACATTACACATTAAAAGATGGGCTTACTCCTCTATTCACTGCTCTTGACTGTGAACACAGTATGCTTACAGAGAACTGTGCTCCACCCTGAGAACAACTCTATGGCTGCAACATTCTTTAAAGGTACTTTTCATTTTAAACATAAAACCTTGCCCCCAAATTAATAAAGCTTTCCTCACTCACAAAGTTGTCCTCTCCCAAATGTCATGAGGCATTTATTAATAGCCATGGAATGCTACCATCAGCACCCCAGAGAGAGAGAGATGTAGTGTAATTAGCCAGAAGTAAGAGCTCAAATCGGACTGGTGAGGAGTAGCCAAATTTCTGCCAAAAGGCAAATTCTGGTCTGTAAGACATCTCCTCCCTGAATTCCTCCCTCCTCCTCCTCCTTTTTCCCCTAAAAATCAAACTCATATTTCTGTGTATTCTGAGAAACAGGAACTTGTAGAAGCCAGCAAGACATACTGACCATGAAGATTGTTACTGAAGCATATCATAGGCAAAGTAAGGCAGAGTCTAGAATCAGCACAACTATAATGTGTTTCTACCCAGATACCGTATTACTTCATCATTCTCATGCTGCTAATAAAGACATACCCGAGACTGGGTAATTTATAAAGAAAAGAGGTTTAATTGACTCACAGTTCAGCATGGCTGGGGAGGCCTCAGGAAACTTACAACCATAGTGGAAGGGGAAGCAAAAAAGTCCTTGTTCACATGGTGGCAGGAGAGAGAAGAATGACAGCCAAGTGAAGGGGGAAGCCCCTTATAAAACCATCAGATCTTGTTAAAACTTACTATCATGAGAATAGCATGGGGGAACCACCCCCATGATTCAATTACCTCCCACCATGTCCCTCCCACAACACGTGGAGATTATGGGAACCAGGATTCAAGATGAGATTTGGGTGGGGACACCCAAACCATATAAGATACATTGTAACGAAAATTGCCAAACCATATCAGATACATTGTAACAAAAATTGCTTATCTTGTCTATAACTGAGTCTCTCCTCTCCCACATTGTTTTTCTTCTCCTGGTTCTGAAACCATTTTCCACTCTCAGACTTACATTGTTTTACAGGAGTATTGTCTGGTCACATGATACTAGAAGATGTGCCTAACTCAGTCAATGGTATTTTCCAAGTGACCAAATACATGACATTACAAAATTACACCTAGGTCCATTCAAAGTGCAAGATAGAGGAATGAACTTTAATGTAACAGTATAAAAATTTTCTTTATAGGGTTCCATATTTTATATTGAACTAGCCTATAAGAAACTACCAATTGTTAAATTTTGGTATAGTATCAGAATATCCACAATTATCTAAAAGGGCTATTAAAAAATACTTCTTTTTCCACCCACATATACCAATACTATATGTATATGCTATATGTGAGTATATATACATATATGTGTGTATATACATGTAGCAAATATATACACATATGTATGCTATAGGTATATATGTATAATATGTATACTTCAACCAAAACAATAAATGTTTTAAGATTCTCATTTTTAACTTTCAGCATAGTAAATATAAATAAATATAATTCTTATTACAAACTCTTTGAGGGTCGTCAATAATTTTTTTTTTTTTTTTGGAGACAGAGTCTCACTCTGTTGCCCAGGCTAGAGTGCAGTGGTGCAGTCTTGGCTCACTGCAACCTCCACCTCCCAGGTTCAAGTGATTCTCCTGCCTCAGCCTCCCGAGTAGCTGGGACTACAGGCGCCCACCACCATGCCCGGCTAATTTTTGTATTTTTAGTAGAGATGGGATTTCAAATGTTGGCCAGGCTGGTCTTGAACTCCTGACCTCAGAAGATTCACCCACCCCAGCTTCCCAAAGTGCTGGGATTACAGGCATGGGTCACTGTGCCCAGCCCTCAATAATTGTTAAAATTATAAACAGATCCTAAGTCCAAAAGGTTTGAGGACTCTAGGCTAAACAGGCACATTGAAACCCTAATTAGAAAGCAATAAAGTTATCTTGAACAGATGTGCTAGAACTTATGCAACCAATTGAGTCGCGCCCTGTAGACTGTACACTGCTTAGGACTGCTGACATTAGGCAGCCATCAGCACCCCTCTGCTGCAGGCCACACACGCATGATCTTACCACTTTATAATCACAAGGCATTTTGAACTGACGTTAGATTACCTGATTGTGACAAACTTGCTCATTGCAAATTGGACCTCAAAAGACTTTTATCTATAAATAAGTAAAACCTACCCTCAGAGGAAAAGAAGTTTGCCTTCTCAGCAATAAGCAAACAGTAAAAAGCATTTGCCACAGACTCAATAATTTAGATAGTATATGAAACTTTGCAAGGTTCTAAGATGAGAATACCAGAAGGGAGTCTATTCATTTATTTGTCTATTTGAAAGGTGTGATGTCTACTGTGGGTCAGTTGCTGAGATGAGTGTTGGAATATGGTGCTGAGCAAAACATACCCAGTCCCATCACTTGCAGAGCAAGACAAGACATTAGATAGTAAACATGCCAAGGAATATTTATTGAGATAAATGCAACGAAGGAGAAGAACAGGATGTATACAAACAGGAGAGACAGTCTAGGCCTCTATGAGTAGGACATATGGAAACAGACTTGAAGGGCGAGAAGGAGCCCATCATGTACAGCATGAGGGAAGGTGCTCCAGACCAGAAGGCATGGCTTATGTGAAGGTCCCGGGTCATCTCCTTTCTGGAGGATGAGACACATTCTGGGCACATGTAGCATAGTGGTCGAATCACAGGCTCAGAAGTCTGAATGCCTGGGTTCCAACCCCAGCTCCACCAGCAGGCTACCTGACCTTATGAAAGTCACTCAACCCTTGTCGTTCTTGGTATTTTCATCTATAAAACAGGAAAGGTAGTACTGTCTTACATATAGGTATGTTCACACGAGATAATTGATGCAAAGTGCTGGGCTTATAGGAAAAAATCCAATAAATATCAGTGATACAATATTGGTTTGCAGGAATTTGAGATAGTCGGCCTTGGCCAGGCTGATGTGCTCTTAACTTGGTTTAGCATCAGATCCCGGCAGCTTCTGGTTATGCTATAGGAATAGTATATATGCAGAGCCAAGATAGTGTCAAGAATTTCGAACAAGACTGGAAGAAATATATTGTTGAGAAAAGCAGTTATCACAACTTGGAATTCACACACATGCTAGGGCTAGAGTTTGCAGAAGGGGCTCATCAAAGGCACAAACACGTGGAGGCTGAGGTTATGAATGGGAAAGAGTGCCAAGCAGTGAGCAGGACAGATGGGAACATGGGCAACAGGCCCAGATCAGGACTCAAGAGATGATGGGACAGGCAGAAGCCAAGGCTTGATCTCAGACAGCAAGTACAGTCATCCCTAGTAGTCTTTGTTATCTTGAAAGGGAGTCTATTTGTAAGTGTGGCTGCCAACCCATTCCTTAATATTTGAGTCTATTAGTATGTTGAGCTGAGCTGTACTTCTTCGCCCATAAACCCTTCATATTACACTTGATGAAAGTGTTTTCTCTTCCTGGAAAATGGGGATGAGGGTAAAAGAGTTCACCTAGCCCTACATGCTAGCCTACAGAGGCTGGCATCTCTGAGTTCCCATGCTTTTTGTACTTTCCTCCTAGAAAAGGCTCTCTGTCCAGATGGCCATCTGTTCTTTGCTTCTGTAGCCTAAATTAAGGCTAGGATAACTTGGGGTCTCTATCCACTTTCTTCTTCAAATAAAATACTGGGATGCAACTTAAATCCTTTGTTAGGTGTTTTAGAAAATTCCAAAGGGAAAAGAATGTAATATTGAATGACACACAGTCAAACAACCTAACATTCCTTTTTACTCATCTATTGCCCCAAGGTCCCTCTCATCCTAACAGCAACTGCTTCTCTTACTCCCTCCCTCCCTGAAAAAAAAAACAAAAAAAAACAAAAAAACAAGGCTCAAACTTTCACTCATATCTCAGGCCATGGCTTTTTTTCTTTTTTTTTTAACTTCTGCCTCTTCTACTTCCTTCATAGCAAAATGAAAGAGAAGATTTATGATGGTATTGTGTGATCCTGTCACACCCCTAAAGGAGAGAGGTGGTGGTATAGTTAAGTTTTATTCCTTCAGTCTCTTTCCTGCAGCCATGCTCAAGAGTGTCACAGGGGGCTTGGAGGTTGGTGCTAGCCTAGTTTTTAGTCTGAGCCAATACAATGGCTAAGACTAAATTATCAAGTCTCTGAGACAGACATGTAGGATTTCTTTATGTTGCATCTACTTTATATACCATCTCCCAGTAAAAACACTATGTCCCAAATTCAATGCTATTTTACAAATTGTTGGTGTCAAGTCTGAAATAAGGTTGTGGTCCACCCTCTGAAAGTGGTACACAATGGACGTGCTGGATATTTTCTGCCACCCTCCCGTCTCCTGTTTCCATCCTTCTTCTCCTTTTCTTGGGCCCCCAAGGGACTCATCTTTGTGGACTGAATCAGCAGGCAATTTTGCCTGCTTCAGGACTTGATTGCTACCAATGAGGAGCAACAGCAGATGTGGGGGCCGGGGAGAGTGAAGAAGTTGGGCGTTGATTTATTTTCTGTGCTGTCTGACTGCCTGGTCACTGCATCCTTCTTCTGAAGGCCACAGCTCATTGCAGGCGGCCCACTTTATCTATATAGTTCATTCTCTCTCTCTCTCTCTCTCTCTCTCTCTCTCTCTCTCTCTCTCTCTCTCTCTCTCTCTCTCTCTGTCTCCCCCTCTCTCCCTCCCTCTCTCTTTCTCTCTCTCTCTCTCCCTCTCTCTCCCTCTCTCCTCCTGTCTCTCCCTCTCTCCCTCTCCCACCACACCCCGCCAGGCCTAGTGTTGGCCTCACTGTTACCAGACCCTAGATATGGCACAATCCTTGAGGTTTCTCGACATGCTCCCTAAACAAACCCATATCAAGCCTATCTTTTTCCTGCCCAGACCCAGCCCTGAAATAAACAAACAAATCAAAACAAAAACAATTTAGAGCAAGAAAACATGAACAATTTAAGACCCTTTATTTAGATGGTCTTGACAGCAGATAGATAAGTGGAAATACTTTAGTTCCTGTCTTGTTTACATCTTCATAAAGGAAAATCATCTGTTATTCATTCATTAAAGGAAAGATAAATTTTTGATTTTGTTTCAAATTTAGCCATGGATGCAGAATGTATCAGAAGCCAGGAGTAGATCCCACACATGCTCCCCTAGCTTCTCCTGGGTTCCCTTAAGGGCCACAGCTACTGCTACTGTCATTTTTTCATGCAGGTAGAGTCCTGCCATCTAAACATGGTATTGCAAAGTCCTTCCTGTAGTCTAGGCATTACATGAACCTCAGCTCCTTCTGGGTGGTAGCCTCCATGGCACAATTCTTGCAGATGCAAACATCTCTCTGTCTGTCTCTTCATTCCCCTATAGTGTCTCTTCAGAGACTTTCCTCCCACATTAGGTTCACAGCTGCTCTCCACTCTCTCGCAATTACATAGAAAGAATATTATCAAAAGCACCCATCCCTTTCAAACTATATTGCCCATGGCTCACACCTACATTTTCTTTGAATTTTTTAAAGTTTTGCCACTGAGGGAAGAGAATATACCACTTGTTTATGGCGTACCTATTATAAGTCAGATACTGTGCTAAGGACAGAGCACACAATAGTGAGCAAAACAGAGCCAGTTTCTACTTTCATAGAGCTTATAGCTTAGGAGAAAAACAATAAGCATGCTAATAACTGTGTAATTGCAAACCTTGATACATGCTATGAGGAAATGTTATACAATGTTATAAAAACATGTAATGAGATCCCAGCACTTTGGGGGGCCAAGGTCGGTGGATTGCTTGAGCTCAGTAGTTCAGGTGGATTGCTTGAGCTCCAGAGTTCAAGACCAGCCTGTGTAACATGGTGAGAGTCCATTTCTACAAAACAAAAAACAAACAAACAAACAAAATAGCAAGGGCTGGTGGCATGTACCTGTCATCCCAGCTACCTGGGATGCTGAGGTGGAAGGATGGCTTGAGCCCAGGAGGAAGAAGTTGCAGTGAGTCAAGATCACACCACTGTACTCCAACCTGGGTGAGAGAGATTCTGTCTCAAAATAAAAAAGGGAAAAAATATATAATGAGACATTAGATTTATTCTGAGGGGTCAAGGAAGGCTACCAGCAGGTGACGACATATTAGTTAAAATATGAAAGATGAGTAGGAATCAGTTAGGTCAGTGATTCTCAGCCAGTTATGATTTTTGTCCCTAGGGGGACATTTGACAATGTCTGGAGATATTTTTGGTTGTCACAACTTGGGGATGCTACTGGCATCTAGTGGGTAGAGGCAAGGGATTCTGCTAACATTGTAAGAAACACTGGAGAGCCCCCCAATGACAAAGCATTACGTGGCCCCATATGTCAATTGCACCAAGGTTGAGAAACCTCAACCGGGTAAATGATTCCAGCCAGAGAGAACAGAAGAACATGTGCAAAGATCTAGCCTCACACCTAGCCTGGCACAGAAAGGGCATCAAATATTTGACTAAATTTCTGGTTTAAATTGGTTGGGATATCATCTCTATTTTTCTTTTCTGTCATTACCTACATCAGATAAAATCCTGTTTTAAAAGGCAAGGGTAGGAATGAATATGGCAAAACCATTTCTCTTCAAAATGTATGTATAACTGAAAGCTTGACTCATGCAAGAGAGTGAAATATAGTTGCCGGATGTGAGGATTTTTCTTTTACTCTAGATGAATGTTGCTTGAAAACAGAAAATGACCTCTTCCACTCAATTGGTAAGGTGACTCCCTAAAAGTAGACATTTGTGGATGGGGTCCCCATAGGAGTTGAGCTGAAATGGAAATTAGGGTTCTTAAGAAATAAACGGAATAGGGGATAGGAGAAAGGGTGAAAGAGAACTAAGACTTGTGAAGTGCTTTGTAAAGTCAGGGCCTATAGCTACTCTATTTCTTCATTTAACAAGTATTTATTGGGCTCAACTGTCCTAGATATCAGGGCTTGGCAAAATAAAGACTCAGGATCTAGTGAGGAGACAGATAAGCAAACAAACAATGATAACACAATATGAATAATGCTCCCACAGAGTTAATTTTACATGAAGTGCTGAGAGTAGGCCTGAATCAATGATGACCAAGGTTGGGGGAGGATGAGAGGGCATCACTGTCAGGGAGTCTTAGCGGAGAAGCAGTTAATACAGACGAGATCTGACAGTGGGATAGGAGGATACCGAGCAGAAATTCCAGGGAATAGCATATGGAAAAAGAAGGAAATTGTGAAACAGCATGGTCTGCTTGGAGTGCAGTGGGTGTGTGCTATGATATAAAGGATGTGGATGTTGGGGCTTGGGTTGTGAGGGATGGAACAGTGGCAGGGGGTGAGGTTGTGGAGGGCTGTGCGCCATGCTAAGAAGCAAAGGAAAGGCAGAAACAGATTTACATGTTCAGAATGAGCACTCTGGTATCATTGTGGGAACTGGATGGGAGGAAGGAAGGCAAGACTGGGAAAGAGTATCTAGTTAGGAGACCACTGGATCTAGAGACGAGCAGTAGTCCAGGCAAAAGCGTGTAGACATGGAGAAATGGTGCCACAACCGACAGCAGTGAGTGGGTGGGCCACAGGAATGAAAAGGCTACCACATCACAAGGAGTTCATTTTGTCTTCATTTTGAATGGTTTTAATTTTGCAAATAATCCATTTTTAGTGGCAGCCCAAAAGTTTAGCATAAAATAAAAACCACCAGAAATTTAGAACTAATGAAAGTTAGACTTCTACTGAAGATTCTTTGAGACATTGTCTGGTATAAATATACTTATCTTTAATCAATTAAATTGTTTGATTCCCTGTGTGAAGAGGGAATTAATTTCAATCTGAAGTGACTAGTGGCTTCTGGGTCCTAGATCAGGACTGAGTTTATTCTTTAGGGATCAGTGGAGCTGGGAGGAGTGGCCTAGTGTGAGCCTAAGAGTAGTAGTTGTAAGAATAAGAAATCTGAAATAGTGGCCACCATATACAGGCCAGAGGACATACCTGTCAGAGTATAGGAGAAGAAAACAGGGAAACTTGAAGGCTGCACTTAAAACTGAATCTGTAGCAAATTGATTTAATGTGAGTTATGAGTGTGTAATTTACCAAATGTGTACACAGCTGGTATACTAGATTATATTACACTATGTAAAATAAGCAACCAGACTTCCCCTAGGAAGCAATGGGAAGTCTCAGAGCAGGACCTTGCTTGGTCTGATGCAGGTGACTTATTCAAACTCCTTAGCTTGATGTTCAAGCCTTCCATCATTGGGCTCCAACCTACCAATAAAAACACTATCCTCTTGTGTCTTCATTGGTTTGTGCTGCTATAACACATTGGTTTCGTTGGTTTGTGCTGCTAACACCTGAGACTTAGTAATTTATAAAAAGTAGAAATTTATTTCTCACATTTCTGGAGGTTGGGAAGTCCAAGATCAAAGTGCTGGCAGGTTTCATGTCTGGTGAGGGCTGCTGTCTGCTTCTAAGATGCCACTATGTTGCTGCATACTCTGGAGGGGACAAATTCTGTGTCCTCACATGGCAGAACAGACAGAAGGGAATGAATCCACCCTCTTAGGCCTTTTTATAAGGTTCTTAATTCCATCCATGAGGGCTGTACCCTCCTGACTTAATCATCCCCTAAATGCCCCACCCTTTAATACAATCACACTGGCAATGAAGATGTAACACACGAATTTTGAAGGACATTCAGATCATAGCAATATATATAGCTTTTTGTGGTTTATATAGCATTTTCACACACTTTACTATATCACATATTCACAATAACACTGTGGGATTGGCAGGTATTCTGTTATCTGCAACAATAAAAACTGAGAATGAGAGAAACTAAGTATTTTGACCATATAGCCATTAGTAGGCAAAACCAGAACTGGAAGCTTTGTTGATTACATCTTTGGATTCACTATGCTCCATCCTTTGGGTTCCTGATTCTGGAATGCATCCTATCCTTCCTCCCTTTGTGTGTTTGCTCACACATTTCTTTTTTTTTAAATTTATTCAATAGGTTTTGGGGGAACAGATGGTGTTTGTTACATGGATAAATTCTTTAGTGGTGATTTCTGAGATTCTGGTGCACCCATTACCTGAGCAGTGTACACTGTACCCAGTGTGTAGTCTTAAACCCTCGTCCCACTCCCACCCTTCCCCCAGAGTCCCCAGAGTCCACTGTATCATGTTTATGCCTTTGCATCCTCATAGCTTAGCTCCCACTTCTAAGTGAGTACGTATGATGTTTGGTTTTCCATTCCTGAGTTTTCATTTAGACTAATGGTCTCCAATTCCATCCAGGTTGCCGTTATTCATTCCTTTTTATAGCTGAATAGTATTCATATACATATCACAATTTCTTGATCCACTCATTGACTGATGGGCATTTGGGTGGTTCTGTGTTTTTGCAATTGCAGATTGTGCTGCGATAAACATGCAGGTGCAAGTGTCTTTTTTGTATAATGACTTTTCCTCTGGGCAGATACCCAGTAGCAGGATTCCTGGATCAAATGGTAGTTCTATTTTTAGTTCTTTAAGGAATCTTGACCTGTTTTCCATAGTGGTTGTACTAGTTTACATTTCCACCAGCAGTGTAGAAGTGTTTCCTTTTCACCATATCCATGCCAACATCTATTATTTTTTTATTTTTTAATTATGGCCATTCTTGCAGGAATAAGGTGGCATTGCATTGTAGTTTTAATTTGCATTTCCCTGATGATTAGTGATGTCGAGCCTTTTTTCATATGTCTGTTGGCCATTTGTATAGCTTCTTTTGAGAATTGTCTATTCATGTCCTTAGCCCATTTTTTGATGGGATTGTTTTTCTTTCTACCAAGAATGAACTTCTTGTCCCATTTCCACCTGTTCACATCTTTTTCAAGCACCAGGTAGTATTTCCTCCCTAGAGCTTTCTCTGACATATTCCCAAGCCCATCAGCCAGCTGTAATCTCTCCATAGTTTCTCTCCCCATAGCATTTTTTTGGTGTGGGTTTCTCTTAAGATAATTATCACTTTCTATGTTGCACCATAGTTAACTGTGTCCGTGTTTTGTCTCCTATGCTAGGCAGTATACACTGAGAATGGACACTTTCTCATCTTTAAACCCTCATAGCACTTAGTTGAAAGCCTACTTACTCAGTAGAAAGTGTGGTAGGCATTACTGAATGTTCGGACGGATGAAGTGAGAAAGGTGAAAGTCCCAGAGACATGATCTATGGAAAAGAAATGTTTGTAACACTTTCCTCTCTCCCCAATATCTCCTCTTTATTCCAGGGATGAGAGCAGACAAATACTCTAAAAAGTTCAAAATACTTAGCCAGTGTGCTTTCTGTTTAATTTTTATGGAGGAGTCACCCAATTTTTGACATAAATTCAACCAGGCATAGAGTCTCAAACTTGGGTCAAGATATCTGGTAAACCAGCCAGGCACAATGGCTTCATGCCTGTAATACCAGCACTTTGAGAGGCCAAGGCGAGAGGATCGCTTGAGCCCAGGAGTTCAAGACCAGCCCTGGCAACATAGAGAGACCCCATCTCTACAAAATAAAAAAAAATTTAGCCAGGCGCGGTGGCATAAGCCTGCAGTCCCAACTGCTTGGTAGGCAAAAGTGGGAGGATCACTGGAGCTTGGGAGGTTGAGGCTGCAATGAATTGTGATCATGCCACTGTACTCCAACCTGGGCGACAGAGTGAGACCTTGTCTAAAAAAAAAAATTAAAAAAATTAAAAAATTTAAAAAAGGCTGGTAAACCAGTGTTATGGTTAGTCATAACTTTTATCTTCTCTGATTAAGAACAATAACACTAGGGCCATGATGGGGAAAGTCTTTGATTGCATTTGCCAGGGTTCCTTTCCACCACTTCCTAGTTTCACCTTCCTCAGCACACAGGTGGAAGTTTCACTGAGAAGGCCTATCTGATACTTTGGAAAAGAAAGGTCCTCATTGACAATTGTCTCCTGGCTCTGACAGACAGAAAAAGAAAATATGTACATGGAGTGGGGCATGGAAATTGGGATCAGCTCCACAAAACACCAGAAAATTTATCTCCCATTTACACCTTGGTTTTGTTCTTTATGATTTTTAATGGGTGGTCCCTAAATTCATTTCCTGCTTTTTTACTGGTTACATTAAATATTCAAACAAAGCAATATAGAATTCAAGTTAATAACCACAAAAAAAATTAAAAATGGGCAAATGACTTGAATAGACATTTCTCCAAAGATATACAAATGGGCACCAAGCATACAAAAAGATGCTCAGTATTACTAATCATCAGGGAAATGCAAAACAAAACCACAATGAGATATCACCTCACACTGTTAGTGTGGCCACTATAAAATAACCACATAAAATTTCATGTTGGAGAAGAGGTACAGAGGTTGAAACGCTGTGCACTGTTGGTGTGAACGTAAAGCGGTACAGCTGCTATGGAAAACAGTCTAGCAGTTCCTCAAAAAATTAAAAATAGTATTATCATATGATCCAGCAATTTCACTTTGGGGTATATCTCAAAGAATTGAAACCAAGATCTCAGAGAGATATTTGCATACCCATGTTCATAGCAGCATTATTCACAATAGTCAAGAGGTAGAAGCAACCCAAGTGTTCACCGATAGATGAATGGATAAACAGAATGCAGAATTTTTTTTTTTTTTTTTTTTGAGACAGAGTCTCACTCTGTCGCTCAGGCTGGAGTGCAGTGGCGCGATCTTGGCTCACTGCAAGCTCCGCCTTCCAGGTTCATGCCATTCTCCTGCCTCAGCCTCCTGAGTAGCTGGGACTACAGGTGCCCACCACCATGCCCGGCTAATTTTGTTTTTGTATTTTTAGTAGAGACGGGGTTTCACCATGTTAGCCAGGATGGTCTCGATCTCCTGACCTCGTGATCCGCCCACCTCAGCCTACCAAAGTGCTGGGATTACAGGCGTGAGCCACTGCGCCTGGCCAGAAGGTAGAATATTAATCAGCTTTAAAAAGGAAGGAAATCTTGACACATTCTACAAATTGGATGAACTTGGAAAATATTATGCTAAGTAAAATAAGCCAGATACAAAATGACAAACACTGTATAATTCCACTTGTATGGGGTATCAAAGTAGTCAAATCATAGAAAATGAATAGGGGAAAATGGGGAGTTATTATTTAATGAGTATAGAGTTTTGGTTTTGCAAGATTAAAAAAATCTGGAGATTGGTTGCACGACGTGAACATACGTAATGATACTGAACTATACGCTTAAAAATGGTTAAGATGGTAAATTTTATGTTACGTGTATTTGACCAAAAAAAAAAAAAAAAAAAAAAAAAAAAAAACCTAGTATTGAACTCTATGAAATCCAAGGAAATTTCAGGCTGTTGTTAAATTTTCTGATTAAGTTCTCTGTCTGGGTAGATGGGACAAGTGAGAGCCTAATATTAATTTAGTTAATTGAGTACAGGAAGTAATACCTGCTTTGTAGGATGGAAAAGGAAAGGTATGTTTATATCTTGCAAGGGGTAAGAGGAAACTTTTTTTTTTTTTGAGACAGAGTCTCACTCTGTCGCCCAGGCTGGAGTGCTCAGCTCACTGCAACCTCCACCTCCTGGGTTCAAGCATTTCTCCCACCTCAGCCTCCCAAGTAGCTGTGACTACAGGCATGTGCCGCCACACTTGGCTAATTTTTGAATTTTTAGTAGAGATGGGATTTCACCATGTTGGCCAGGCTGATCTCGAATTCCTGACTTCAAGTGATCCACGAGCCTCGGCCTCCCAAAGTGCTGGGATTACAGATGAGAGTCACCACACTGGGCCAGAGGAAACGTTGTAAACTTCATTAGTTGCAATAAAATACCAAGTAACCTGTGCAAAGAACATAGGTCAATAATAATGGATTGTTAAAGATTGTTACTGGATTAAGTGAAGGCAACATCCATGTCTTTCTTACTCCCCATTCCATGCTCAGCTCTTAGGTTAGGCATAGCAAGTATTTAATAATTATTTGTTAAATGAATTAGAAGAGTCTAGTATAGTGCCTGGTGATGAGATTGTGCCCTGAGTGTCAGTTCTCTTCCCCACTGCTCCCTGTGATTTTTCTGTCCCAAGAGCCCTGTATGTCTTAATTCTATATCATAGTCTCATCTTTTTTATAAGCGTTCAGAAAATAATTAAAAATATTTTTTTCTCACGTTATTCAAAGGGCATCAAAATATGGGTTGTGGTAATAATAAACTGATAATTTAACCCATTCAAAGTGTTTAATTTCTGGTACTTTCTTTAAAAGATAGTCAAGATTTATACATATATATTTGAAACAAAGGCTCACTCTGTTGCCCAGTCTGGAGTGCAGTGGTACGATCTTGGCTCACTGCAACCTCCACCTACCAGGTTCAAGCAATTCTTCCTCAGCCTCCCTAATAGCTGGGATTACAGGCATGCGCTATCATGCCTGGCTAATTTTTGTATTTTTAGTAGAGATGGGGTTTCACCATGTCAGCCAGGCTGGTCTTGAACTCCTGACCTCAAGTGATCTGCTGCCTCAGCCTGCCAAAGTGCTGGGATTACAGGCATGAGCCACTGCGCCCAGCCTAGACAAAAATATATTCTTAATAATAAAGAAATTTAAGAAGCCAGTATTTAAGAAGCCAATTTAAAACATTAACCTCTTCTTAAGTTTATATTTTACCATGCAGACTACTTTTGATTATGGTCTAACAGAAACAGTAGGAAATTTGGCAGCCTTTATATTTTGACTCTAGTTAAGATACTGCTTGTTTCAATTTTTTTTAAAGGACAAAAAGTCACCTATTCTGGACGCTGAAAACTTATCACTCACATCTGGCCCTGTTTATCTTGAAGCAGTACAGAAGAGTAATATGACTTCTTTTGATTCTGTATAATTTTAGAACTAAAATGAACATTGTAGATAACCCCTCACTTTAACGGTTGAGGACAATGCTACTGGAGAGTTTGCATAACCTAAGATCACAAGATTGACTAATGCCAGGGCCAGATGTGGATCCAGGTTTCCTTGCCTCCTGAATTAGGGTTTTTCGAACCATATTGCTGCACCCATGTTCAGTAAATAGCCCATGACAGAAAACAACAAAAGCAAAAGGCCCATAAATAGATGGAGATTGGGGTCAAGGGCAGAGGGAAGAGATGAGAGCTGGAACTTCAATATTTACAAAGACCATTGGTGGGATTCTATGACAATAGCTGCTCCAATCCCAGGTTTGCCATAAGAATTTTAAATGCAGCATATTTTAGTTGGTGGAGACAAACTTGGACAATTGCAAGTTCCATTTAAGATCTCTGCCCATCTTCTCTTGACTCTGATGACCTCCATCTGTAACCATGACTAGAAAATTAGGTGGCATGATCCATGTGCTACAATTAAAGAGGCACAGGGAATACACAGAGACCTTGTACTGTTTTGGAACATGGCTTGAGGCTTATGAAATTGGCAGGATTTGCTTTCTCCTCTTTTATTCACAACTGTCCAACCAACCTTCCCATCCCTGTCACCACCCCTCCCCCAGCATCTTCCTACCCATACCTAGAAAAAAACAGAAAAAAAAAAAAAAAAAATGGAGGAGGATAGAGCCAAAGACAGAAAGGAGACAAGAAACATAAGGAGAAGAAGAGAAAGATGAAAATTAGACGGAAAAAAAAGATGAAGAAGAAAAAAGGAACCAATGAGATGAAGCTGTGTAAAATATTCTGATGAAGAATCACCTGGTATATTTGTTAAATGTATATTTCTGGGCCACATTCCAGATCAGCCAAATTGGAGTCTATGGGAGTAGCATCATTTAAAAATAAATGAAAAGCTTTTTGATATAATAATTACTCCCTTTTTGTTAATTTGATTTCAAATTTTGTTATTTTGATTTCAAATTTGCAAATCCAGTTGCTTCTTTAAAGCTGGCAAAAAAGAAATACTTCATTTATTTTCCTAAAAGTCTTTTCTTTTGTATTGTACATAACAGTTGATAATGTTACTATACATAAAAAAGTTAGTGTATTTTCACACACATCAAAGCAGCACAGAGACGTACCACCTTCCATCAAAAGGATCTGCTCTAATGAGAGTAGCAGGATAATGTCAAATGCGTTCTTTTCTGCCACAGGCACTGGTGGTGTGGATGCAGGAAAATCCACACTCAACATAAGCAGTGTGCTCTTTGTCTTTTTCTTCAGGTCCATTTGTTGTGATGTTTTGTAAATTACAGATCTTTTGCTCATCATTAGGCTCTTTCGTATTGGCACTTGGCTAAAGATAGAATATTGCCTGCCATGTTAGCAGTCCCATTGGGAGGTCCTATCAGAGCTTGTCTGCAAAGCCAAATCTGTTTCTGCTATGTCTGTGGTCAAATTTTTCTATGGCAGAGCCTGCTGTGCTAAACGACCTTCTGCAGAGTATCTACACCTGAGTGCACACGTGGAGTTAGGTATAATATAATGTGTCCCCAACAAGCTGTTCTTGCAGGGATGGTGGTTGCATTTCAGTTGCATGCAAGGTGCCTGGTATATTAGTCATGGCCATGTTAGACATCCATACTGAAAAGGGCTTGCTGTGTAGTGATCATGTTGTCTAACCATATTGAACGGTGCCTACTGGGTAAGTGATCATGTTGTGTATCCATATCTAGCTGGGCCTGCTGTGATAGTGATCACATTGTGTGTAATTGCATGGCCACCCTGGGAATTTATTGCTATAGATCAGGCTAGAGGGCAGAAGAGAAGCCAATAATTGTGCTTGCTCTGGGCCGTTAGCTGTACTATTGAGAGCAGGCATCAACTTCTAGGGTGGGAAACAAATCTTTGATTGGGGGATGAAAACAAAGTTTACATTTTCAATTCTAAGCATTTGGGGGTTATTGCCTCTTTTCTATTTCACGTAATGGCAAACTATTTGTAATTTGGGTAAGATTACTCTATAAGTGATAAAATCTGTACACTTAAAGGTTATATTAAAGTTAACATACAAGCCAGGTGCAGTGGCTCATGCCTATAATCCTAGAGCCTTGGGAGGCTGAGGTGGGAGGATTGCTTGAGGTCAGAAGTTCAAGACCAGCCTAGGCCACGTGGTGAGACCCCCCCCCCAACCCCCGTCTCTAAATAAATAAATAAATAAGCAAGCTGTGTTTGGTGGTGAGCACCTGTAGTCCTGTAGTCCTAGCTATTTAGGAGGCTAAGGTGGGAGGATTGCTTGAGCCCAGGAGTTCCAGGTTACAGTGAGCCATGATCCTACTGCACTCCAGCTTGGGTGACAGAGCAAGACCCTGTCTCTAAAAATAAATAAGTAAAAAAAAAAAAATTAAATTAACATATGAAAAATCAAGCTTGATTTAAGCTTATTCACATAGAATGCCTTCAGAACTGTTCATAAATTCATAAAACTAACAAAGAACAAAATATCCTGCCAGAGAACACAAAGCCAAGCCGGATATTTATTATTGTATTTTGGCTAATCTCTTGTTTGGAGAATTTTCTCACCTCTCAGGAGTCAGGAAAGGTTAGTAAAACCAAGGCTACCAGCCTTATGTTCCAATATTTTTCTTCTTAATTAAATTATATCAGTGGATAATAAAAATGAGAGAAGGTCAGTAAGTGATGGACCTGGTTTAGTAAGCACAGCAATATACACACATCTAGATCAGTATGCTCCTTCAAAGCAGAGACTTGGGCAAACATACCGCATTTTGGGAACTTTTCTTTTGGAAAGACTTTCAGAGTTAGTTTACAAATCATATAAGCAAACCAGTGTCATTATCTCCTTCATTACCAAAAAAAATAAAGAAAGAAAAGAAAAAAAGAAGAGCATGTACTCAAATGGCTCTGGCTCACTCAAATTTGACTCTGAGAGATGTTGACTTTTAAACCAATGTGGATATGTAGATGGGGACACATTAGGATAAATATAATCAGACAGATTTGTTGAAAACAATCAGACAAGCATTTTCAAACATCATTTGTAAATTCTTTTGGAAATTGTCCCACTGTGTTATAGATGTTATATAATGACTCCTGCTAATATCCCTTGTGAACACGGTAGCCTTATTTTGCAGGTGAACATAAACTCAGACACAGCCAGCCCATGGATTATGGGGGGATTTTTTCATGGGTAAGTAGCCTAGCTCTTTCTGATTTCGAATACGAGCTAACCATGTTGCTGTTCAGACAGAAATTTGGACTTTTAAAATTATCTTTAGAATTTCATAAATTAAGAGGAGGACAGAGGGAAGGAAGAAATGGCGAAGGAGAGAGGGTAAAAGGGAAGGCAGAAGAAAAAGCAGACTACCTCCCCTCAAATCCAGTCTTAAGGTCATGTGATTCATCTCATAGTTATTGAAGAGAACTTTTGCACAATGAGAAACAAGTCTGACTTTTCAGAGTCCGATTAAGTATTTAGACATAAATGTGTCTCTCCAACAAAGATATGATCTTCCCACTTTGAAGGCTCTAATGTCATCTTTTTGGCAGGGCCCTATGGCCATGACGATTTGAATAATAGTTCCACTCTGTTCTTGGGTAGTTGATGAGCCCTAAACGAGGCTAGGGAATAAAGTGTCAACTGGGAGTGGGGAGGGGTGGGAGGGTGTATGTTCAGTTTACTCTAGTTTTGAAGAATTTAAAACGAACCATAAACTGGAGTAGAAACTCAAGATTTCATTTTTTCTATGTGCTACAGTTCTAATTTTATCTAATTTTAATCACCTCAAGCCATGTAAATAAAAAGACAGAGGGAAAGGAATAGAAACAGTAGCTTTAATATTGATTGGGCCTGTGTGCCTGGCACTGTGTTAGCCAATTTGTATCATGTTACTTCATCTACTTCTCATAAGAAGCTGGTGAGATAGGCACATTATACCCATTTCACAAAGTCACAGAGGTTCACAGAGGTGCAGCAATTTAACAAGGGTCATAGAATACAGGGAGACCAGCTTTGTCTCTCTCCAAAGCCCAAGCAGGTTCTATTACCAGATTGTAATTCTTTTATTTTTTTATTTTTTTGAGACAGAGTCTTGCTCTGTCGCCCAGACTGGAGTACAGTGGCGCTATCTCGGCTCACTGCAAGCTCTGCCTCCTGGGTTCATGCCATTCTCCTGCCTCAGCCTCCCGAGTAGCTGGGACTACAGGTGCCCGCCACCACACCTGGCTAATCTTTTTGTATTTTTAGTAGAGACGGGGTTTCATTGTGTTAGCCAGGATGGTCTCAATCTCCTGACCTCGTGATCCGCCCACCTCGGCCTCCCAAAGTGCTGGGACTACAGGCGTGAGCCACCACGCCTGGCCTACTAGATTGGAATTCTTTAAAATGAGTTTTTAAAACCATCTATCTAGAATAATAACAGAGAGGTTTATAAAGTAAAAAGTATTTCTCTTTACCATCATCCTTTCCTTGCAATCTCATTTCTCTCACTAAGGGGAATATTTTGGTAAAATATTCCAGACTTATCTCTATACCTAAAATAGGTTTCAAATGTTGTTTTCTTTGTTAGTCACTCAGGCACATTTTAAATGACTGGCGTCACTTCATACATGGCCTGGCACATGCTATTTAAGCCATTTCATTCCCATGAAGTAGGGAAGTTGTAGGAGAAAAGACCATAAAAGTAGGGCCTTCAGGCACCAAGCTCCAGACCAAGCTATAACCACCTTCAAACCTAGTAGAAGGCATCAATGGTGAAAATTGGTTCTCAAACTGACATCCACTTCTGGAGTCCCTTTGCCCATGCAGATCCCCCAAGATATTTCTAAAATGGCAAGTCTGCATCATCGGTTGGTATGGGCCTATGTACCAGCCCTAGAGGGGAATGCACAGTGCTAGAAGAACTACTGGACTAGTAAGCGTGAAAAATGGGGACTTGGTACATAAGTGTCCCTTGTATGGCTGAGTAAGAGGACCTAATGTCCTCCTTTAACAGAGGACACTCTGAAACTCAGTTTCCTTCAAAACAAGCCTTGCACAGTCTGCTGGGCTACAAAAGCTGCCCTAGAGAAGTAGCAGTTACAGATGGGGCGGCTCTCTTTCTAAGTAAGTAAAGGCACAATGTAAGCATTGGAAGCAGAGTCCACAGCTAGAAAACAAAGCTTGCAAACAACAGCTACACCAACTACAGGACAACCTTCACATGGATGCAGTGTGCAAGAACAACCTTTCCCTACCTCCCCACCCCCTGATGCCATCTAACCTGAGATAGGAATGCACACCTTATTTATGCAAAGGTCAGACTACCTCTTGGCTTTGCCAGTGGATACACCCTTAGCTCATTGCAAGAGCGGGAGGAGAGCTTTCTATTCAGGCACTGGTTCTTGTTAAGCTTCTTTCTTTCCAGAAAATATCCTCCACAACATGGTCATTTAAGGCGTGTGGGCCTGCCCTTAATTGGGCATTTAGAAGAGCTGCACTTCAGGCAATTGTAATAGTGCACAATTTTGAGCTCTCAGCAGGACAGTTTATCAGGAGACAGTTGAGAGAAAAAGAATCTTCAGGCAGGATTGCCTGGGGGCCGTAGGGTCCATTCATACTCCCAGATCTGTATGGGGTGGGGCTCATGGCTTCAGACATCCAGCTCCATTCTAACCTCTGCAGAATTGGTTGTGCTGGATTGCGTATAATGCCGTCAGTGTATATGGAGGGTCACTATAAGAAACAGCCCTTAGATGCCCCTTTTGTATCTATTGTAAGATTACTGTTGAAATATCTGTTATATCACCTAGTTGCTCTATTTATAAAGACTCTTGGACATTGCAATGAGTACCAGGAACAACTGTAACTCTCCTGAGCAGTCATTTTATCTAATGGATATTGTGAGCTGTGAAGCTGACAAAGTTTCCTAATTTCGTGTTACTAGGAAATTTAGAACCCAAATGCTATCCTAGCATATTTTAGCAACTCTTAAAAGCCACTTGAAATCCTTTCTGAAACAAGGTGAGAGGTATGGGTGAGTCAGTAAATTTCTAAGTAATTAGTGTGTTTTATTTCAGTGGTCTCTGTTTCTTTCCCTGCCAAAGTCACCTTTAATAGCTGAGGAAAGACAAGTAAATCTGTCTTCTAATTTGGAGAAAACAAAGTGGCTTTCCTTTCTACCTCCTAACAAGTCACTGTGGAATTTAAGGGGCTCTCAGTATGCTACTATCAGAACCTTTTTCTTAGGAAACAGGTTATTTTGTTCTAGGGGACAACAAAAGATCAGATCAGTAAGGCATGGCTGTTAATAAATCAATTCACCGATTTTCTTCAATTCAGGATTCCAGCTGCATACGCCATTCACAAATCTGTGGTTATAAACATTTAATCTTTTGTTGGTGGTAGAGATTTAAAAAAATAGGTGAGAGGAACCATGTTTAGACGAGCAACCCAAGTTTCCTAACAATGGACTCCTCTTAGCTAACACTTGGACCCCAGTGAGCTTGGTGCTCTGAGCCTGCTTGTTGTCTGAGATGGGCCAGCAAAGTCAGTGAGACTGAACTGCCTTCACAGGGATTGAAACAACCTTCCAAGTTACCTTTCAGAGGTGCCTCAGGAGAACAGGATGCACCAATGGAGACAGAAACTGTGAAGAATATACATTTCAGGAGCCCTAAACCAACAGTGGGTGTGCATCTGTAGCCCCCAAAGCCCCAGGATCTCCACTCCAACACCCTTATGAAAATAATATGAATCATCCAGCTAGTTCCATGAATGTAATAGTGTCTTCAGCTGAATGACAGCTGTGCTGAATTTAGAGTGGGTTTCCTCCAAGTGTGGAATTTCTCAAGGGCAAGGTAGCTGGATTGGAAAGGATCCTATTTTTTAACCTCCCGTGGCCTTGCTCCAACAATTGTATTTCTGTTCCAAACTCGGTCATTTTTAAAACCTCACTATCATCCAATTTTATTAAAATAAGTACTTATTTTTAAAAATAATTATTTTACTTATTTTATTAAAACAAGTAGGCTCATATTCATCAGCTCAATGGAACCTAGTGCCTCTCAAAAATCCAAAGTCCAGGCCAGGTACGGTGGCTCACTCCTGTAATCCCAGCACTTTGGGAGGCTGAGGCAGGCAGATCATGAGGTCAGGAGTTCAAGACCAGCCTGACCAACATGGCAAAACCCTGTCTCTACTAAAAATACAAAAATTAGCCAGGCGTGGTGGCATGTGCCTGTAATCTCAGCTACTCAGGAGGCTGAGGCAGGAGAATTGCTTGAACCCAGGAAGCAGAGGTTGCAGTGAGCCAAGATTGCACCACTGCACTCCAGCCTGGGTGACAGAGACTCCATCTCAAAAAAAAAAAAAAAAAAAAGAAAGAAAAAAAAAATCCTGAAATTACATCTACATAGCTTGCTTGCTGTTTGGACACACATAACTGTCCAAGTCAGATTTGTTAGCTTCATCACAAGAGCTTTACTTATTTCTCTTATCCCCATCCAAAAGCCTGAGTGAGCAGCGTCAATCTATTCCAAATGTGGAGCACTGGTTGTGTTTTACGGTCCGGGTGGGGCAACAAATGAGACAGGCTGTCAGTGCAATTCAAAATTGGGTGTTGTGGACCCTCTGGAGCTGTGTGTTTTCAAATCTGTTTCTTTTTTTTTTAGTTACCAAAATGCAGAGCTTTCAGGCTGATTATTTTGGAGTCTATTTGGATCCTTTGTGGAGCTGGGAAGTAAATCGTCAGCTTATACACAAGGTGGCACCCTGTGATTCCAACCAGGTCTGAGAGGAGCGATGCTGCTAAGAAACTGAGCCACAGTCACAAATTTTTATTTACCATCTGCTATTCCCACGGTGGCAAATGCAGAGGTAGAAGTAGATGTTTGGCAGGTCACCTCTCAGTGTAGTCTCTGTCCCTATGTCTCAAAGATGCAGAGCTGCCTCAGAAAAGGGCACTGGAACCACAGAACTGATTCCAGTTGATTGTAATGAATGCAGACCCCACATTCAGATTACATATGGAAAACAACGAAGCTTTATTAGTACTAGGCTCATTCCTGGGAACATAAGGGGGAGGGGTGGAGATGCAGTTCACATACTAACCCAATTAACTTTCAAATGGTTTTGCTGAAACCAGGAGCCAATTAGAAAGAACGTGACATTTGCAAAACTCTGAAATAGTTGAATAGCAACTGTGTTTACTAGTTTTAAGATTCCTTTCAAAAAGTAATTTGTCCATTATTTGGAAGCTGCCTGCCTTGATTATAGTACTGGGAGATGGACACTGGAATGTAATCCTAATTCTAACAGTTATTTGACATTTATTCTAATTTAGACTACATTTAGACAGTGATTTTATTTTGATATGGCTTTAAACTGGTTTTAATTCTTGGGTGCTTATATATTATGCTTGCTGGGCTAAATGCATGTCATTTGGAATTGGTCTAGAGCATATCTGAAGTGGACTGATTTTAGAATGACTATACTTAGCGCATTGTATGTGGAAATTAAAATAGGCTATTAGGCTGCACACCCATTTGAGGCAGGTCTTGATAAAAATATTTCATGAGAGAATTTTTTATTTTATAAGAAGATATTTTTTGCTTTTAGCACTAACAATTATATGAGTATTCAACAAATCAATCAGAAATAAACTTTATGAAAAGTAATATTTATATACAAATAAAAGTTACTTTCCAAAAGTGAACAGTGGCATTCCGGTTTGGGCACTGAATTGGAAGCCAAGAAAACACAGGCTGTGTCTCCGTTGAAAAGTATATTGTGTTATTTGCCTTAAATGGTTTTATTCCCAGCTCTATAATCATTGCCTACAGGGTGAGAAGAAAATGGAGATTTGGGGAAGAAATCTTTTACATGGTCAAAGTAAAAGAACAACAAAGAAACAACCACAACAGCAAAAATCCCTTCCTATAAATTCCAGGTTTCAAAAAGGTGTTTTTGAATAACATTAATTGGTTCTAAAATCTCTATGCACAAAGGTACAAAGCTGGACAACAGGGTAGGCCACAGTAAGAACAAATATTGGCAGCAATAGCTAGGTCAGGTGACAGGCCAGTGAGGTATGTGAACTATAAACTAGAGTGGCATGGGGTCAGTATCAGTGAATTTCTTCATGGAATATCAGTCAACAAATATACTTTAGATGCCTGCCATATGTGAGGCATGGAACTGGGGATACAGTGATTGACAGACAGATGTTGTTCCTGCCCTCCTTGGTCTACTGCAACTTTAGGCTCTGGCTTATGCGCTCCCTTGGCCGTTGGTTGGAAGGTCTTAGTAACTAATTTTGAATTAGCAGCTTTAGAATGCTGACTGGTCAATAAGCTGAAGAGCTTGGATAGCAGGGTAGCACCACTGAGAAAACCAGAGTTTTGGAGTCAGGTCAGACCTGAATTTGAGCCCAGTTCTGCAAGTTGTTGGAATTGAAATTTGGCAAATTATCTGATGCTCAGTTTTCTTATTGGTAAAATTATATTTTTTCATAAAATTATAATAAGAATTAAGTGGAATTCAACTAGTTGAGATAATATATATAACATGTTACTACAATGGATGGTATATTACACATACTTGATATTTCCTTTTCTGAGAGAAACAGTAAAACTAAACATAGGGACTAGAAGAAAGCTATCCTTTCTGAACCTGAGGAGGGCTGGGCATCCAGATGAAAGCTCTGGATGACTCATTTCTTCAACTATTGCTTTTTTCTTCCCTTTCAGGCTTGAACCCAGTGCTGACCCCCTCCCAAGAACTTCTTGTTCTTGCTTCCAGAGGATTGGAACTGTTCCAGGGGTAGCACTTAGAGAGCAGGACATGCCCATAAGCTTGAGGAAGGTACTGCTTACAAGAAATGAGTCACAGCAACTCCATTGCTTCCAACAACAAAGTGGATGAAAAACACTCAAGCCCCACTAAACAATACTCGGAGTTTTGCTGCGACAGACTGGTTAGACTATTTGGACACTACCATGAAGACTATATCCACCATTCTGCCTTCAAAGGAGGAGACTGCAGAGAGAAAAGGGGAAGAGGAACAGGAGGAAAAAGGGGGAGGGGAGGAAGTGGAGGAGGGGAAGAAGGACGTAATAGAGGAAGAGATATAGTTTTATTGTCACATAGAAATGACAGTAGGAATCAATTTTTTCACTGTTGGTCTTTAGGAAATCATCTGACTTTCTCTGAGTTAGAGTATGATCGATTATTAGAAAATGGTAAAATGTGTTAAAAACTCTCTTTGTACGGTTTTGTGAGAAATGTGTAATGCTTAAAGACTAACCAAGAGCCTCTTGGCTAAACCAGGTTGATGTCAACAATAGCTAGTACTTATTTGAGTCACCTTGATTTTCCCTCCTCTTGAGAACTTTCTCTAACCAGTTTAGGCTGCAGTCATGCCTCCTTTCCTTTCTCTGAACTCTCACAATTATTGCCTAGATCTCGTTTGGTAATTAATCATGTGCTACTTACTGCCTGTGTCATCTCTTGTATTGTTTTCTTAAAATATTTACACTTTTTTTTCGGTTGTCACTTATCTTTCCAGCTGTCATTTTCTTCAACTATTTACGTCTCTGTTACTCATCTTTCCAGCCATCCTGGCATCCCATTAAGGTGAAAGCTCTCTGAGGCAGGAACCTTTTCTCAGATTTCTTCGAGTCTTCCACAGCACCCCACATTTGACACACATCTGCTACTTCGCAAATGTGTGCTGCCTTGGCTAAATTTTTAGAAGCTGAACTTTTAGGAAAGCTACTATTTTTGAACTCAGAAAAATACCTACCATCCACTAAACAGCTGTACCGAAGTTTGGGTGACAGGGAACCTAAGTTCACTTGTTGCATCTGGCAGCCTCAAACCATGAACCCTCACTGCAAAGCGAGGATGAACGCGCTGCTGCACCTTGGAGAGCTCTTTCGGACAGGTACGGAGGGGAGGGCGTAGAAGAGGGCTGGCACCAGCAGCGCGGTCCAGTCCTCCGAACGGACTGATGGGACTGATGGGAGAGACCTCTTGCACCTCTCGGGGATGTGCGCCTCGGAGGATGCGAATTAGCTTGCGCACAGGGCGCCTTGGGGATAGCGCTGTCCAAGTACAGGCTTGGGTGATGGCTGGTGGGGTCCGGGTCGACATTTTCCCTTCCCGCTCCCGGACTTCTGCACACACGCGCTGCTCGGCGCAGCCGTCTTTGCCCGGCGCCTTCCTCCGGGACACCCAGCGAGAGGGGTGACCGGGCGGCGGCGGGAGAGGCGCACGCTCCCGGGCGCGGGCGAACTTGCGCACCTGGCACCTGCCACACAGCGAAAGCACCGGCCAGCGAGCGGAGGGGCGCCGCCCCCGCCCCCTCTCCCCGGAGCGGACCGAGACCGAGCACGCTCCCGCGGGCCGGCAGCGCCGCGGAGAGAGTGGGTGGGCAGGCGAGGGAGGGGAAGGGAGAGGAAGGAGGGAGGGAGGGAGAGGGCGAGGCGCGTTCCCGCGACGGGGGCGCGCTCTCGCGCGGGCTGCCGGGATCGCTCGCCGCCGCTGTGGTAATGTCCGCCATGTTGGCCATGGCGCAGGGAGCGGATCGGGCGGGCGAGCGGCGGATCTAGTGTGTGGAGGCGGCCGCGGGCGCGGGGGGCTGTTTTCGGGCGGGGTGGGCGCCCATGCTGTGGCCGGGGGCAGTGAGGAGGAGGAGGAGCGGGCCGGCCGCGCTGCACTGAGGAAGGAGGTGGAGGAGGCGGCGGGAGTCCTCCCCCCCTCCCCGCCCGCCCCGCCGCCGCCGCCCGGGCTGTTCCTGTAAGGCGGGGAGACAATGAGTAAACTCTCCTTCCGAGCGCGGGCGCTGGACGCCGCCAAGCCGCTGCCTATCTACCGCGGCAAGGACATGCCTGATCTCAACGACTGCGTCTCCATCAACCGGGCCGTGCCCCAGATGCCCACCGGGATGGAGAAGGAGGAGGAATCGGTAGGGACTCGAGTGTTTATTACCCCCCCTTCCCTCCTCCCCCCTCCCCTTTGTCAGTCGGGCCTCGCCATTCACAGAGCGCTTTACGCTCGCTGGAGGGCGCCGCTGCCGCTCTAACGCACGGGACTCTACGCCGGCGGAGTAGCGTAAACCCTCTCGGCCGGCGTAGCGCCCGCCCGCGGCCGCCATGTTGTTGCGTCCCAGTGTTGTGATTAGCTCGCAGCGCTGCTTACGCTGCCGTAAGGGGGCCTTGCCGTAAGCGGCGGCCGGGAATGGCGCAGGGGATGCGCTGGCCGCTCTTGGCGTACGGTCTCTGTTTACCTTTCCACCTCCCTCTCTCAGGCGCGGGGCTAATTAATGGCGTGGTATTATTTGGCTAGGCAAGATTATTATTTTTTCCACTTTTAACTTTGGCTTTGTATTGAGTTCTCTTTGAAATGACTGTGGAAGGGTGCTTTCAAAACAAACATCTTCCTCCCAGCAATGTAATCATCCTGGCTCCCCCGCCCGCGAAGGTGCAGCGGGATGAGGCGGTGCAGCACTGCGGCGGGGGAGGGCGGGGGCCACGACTACCGAGCGGGTCGTAGCGTCCGAGGGCCGCCCGCCGGCCAGTTCTGCCGACCCGAGCCGGGCGCGGGGCGGACGGGCTCTGCCTGCTCCGCCTGGACGGCCGTGCTCCGTGCGCAACGTTAGAGAGGAGCCGGGGATGCCCGGAAGCGAGCCGCCGGCGTTGCGTTGTCCTCGAGAATTGTCATTGCGAGGTGGTCCTTAGAAGTTGAGGACCTAGTGCATCTAAATTGGCAGTTGTAATTTTGATAATACAGCACCTTTTGGGAAAATTGCTGCTTTTCCTCCGATGGGTTAAATTTTGCAGACGGTTGGATTTCATCTGGCTTGACAGAGAGTGTTTATGACTCGAGTGGTGTTACTTGCGTGCGAAGTTCATAGTAACTGCACCCTCAAGAATTTCTTCAATGAACCTACAGTCCCGCCTTATTGTCAACCTCGGGTGTGTGTGGATTGGTTCTCTTGCTTCAGTGACTGTCAAAAGGAAGCTCGAGGTTTCAGTGATTGGTTTTCTCTTTTGACTATTAATATTGCAGGAAATGCTTTTATGCCTTCGATTGGCTGGTTGAGTTCTGACCTCATTATGTTACCCTGTTAATACTACTTTGCTCTTATTTAATCACATTTCTCTTTGATGTATAGTTACTTGAAAGTCTTACATTTTCAGTAGAAAATGCATATGGCCGTAGCATCGGGATGAACTTAACTGTGTGTGTACACACACAAATATGTAATAGATATATATACACGCACATACACATATATATTTGTGTGTGCATATATATAAATATGTTTATAATCAAAACCCAGCATTTATCCCTAAGGTTTAGAGCTGTGAGAACTTTTTTTTTTGTATGTGAGAACTTTTTTTTTTAATTTGTTTCTAACGACTCAGTTTTCCATGGGAAGGAAAATTAAAATAAAATCATATTATATACAATAGTTAATTACATTGAACCCTAATAAGCACAACTTTGGATATTTTTGCTATTTTGTGGGTCTTGATCCAAAGAAAGATGGCCTTAAAAGTACCAGTATTGTGTGTAATTACTTTGATCCTATTATTTTAGAACTTGAGTCAAATCTGTTCTAGGCCGGGCACGGTGGGTCACGCCTGTAATCCCAGCACTTTGGAAGGCCGAGGTGGGCGGATCATGAGGTCAGGAGTTCGAGACCAGCCTGGCCAGTATGGTGAAACTCCGTCTCCACTAAAAATACAAAAATTAGCCGGGCCTGGTGGTGCGCGCCTGTAATACCAGCTACTCGGGAGGCTGAGGCAGAAGAATTGCTTGAACCCGGGAGAAAGAGGTTGCAGTGAGCAGAGATCGTGCCACTGCACTCCAGCCTGGGGGACAGAGCGAGACTCCGTCCCCCCCAACAACAAAAAAAAGGAAATCTGTTCTAGAGTGAACAGTTAACTCCTGGAAGGTATATTACTTTTTGCAATCACCAACATACGTGGTCCTTAGTATGCCACATATGTTTTGGTATTTTAATTTAGTAAGATAACTTAGAGTAATTTTTTCATGCTTCATTAAAAATAAAAGTGCTTAACTCGTGTTGCAATTTTTTGTTTATTTGTTTTTTGAGATGGAGTTTAGCTCTTGTCGCCCAGGCTTGATTGCAATGGCGCGATCTCGGCTCACTGCAACCTCCGCCTACCAGGTTCAGGTGATTTTCCTGCCTCAGCCTCCCGAGCAGCTGAGATTATAGGCGCCCACTACCTCGCCCAGCTAATTTTTGTATTTTTAGTAGAGTCGGGGTTTCACCATATTGGCCAGGCTGGTCTCAGACTCCTGACCTCAGGTGATCACCCGCCTCGGCCTCCCAAATTTCTGGGATTACAGGTGTGAGCCACTGCGCCTGGCCGCGCCTTGCAGACTTTTTTTTTTTTTTTTTTTTTTTTTTTAATTTATTACCGAGTCTAGCTCTGTCGCCAGGCTGGAGTGCAGTGGCGCGATCTCAGCTCACTGCAACCTTCGCCTCCCGGGTTCAAGTGATTCTCCTGCCTCAGCCTCTCAAGTAGTTGGGACTACAGGCACGTGCCACTATGCCCAGCTAATTTTTGTATTTTTAGTAGAGACGAGGTTTCACCGTGTTGGCCAAAATGATTTCGATCTCTTGACTCTTGCTCCACCTGCCTCGGCCTCCCGAAGTGCTGGGATTGCAGGCGTGAGCCACCGTGCCCTGCCGCGCCTTGCAATTTTTTTATTAGCTCTTTTAGAAAGAATTATTTTCAAACTAGAGCATGAGTGCTAAACTTGGATACTTTTCAGTAGCCTACTTCAATTGCCCAATTTTAAGGAAGAAGAAATCCAAATTCTGATAAAACTAGAGTTGAAACCCAGAACCTCTGATTCTTTGTCCTGTCCTTTCTGCCTCTTTAATACATGCTAAAAGTGGAGATTCTTAAAATCAAAATTAAGCAAACCGTAACAGTTAAGATTTATAGTCTGAAATCTTTTGCTTCCCAGAGTGTCCAATTGGAGTATTAGTTTTTCTTTTTCTTTCTTTTTTAAATATGTATGTCAGAAGACTTGTGTTTTCATGAGTGACAGCAAATTCATTTCTCTGGTCTTACAGGACTTCTGTTATTAAACAGAATTATGTATTTATAAAAATGGTTCTGCCTTGATAAATATTTCTAAGCAGCAGTAAAATGTCATACATTTCACAAATGTTTTGTGTTTCACTTGAATTGCATTTTAAGTAACTTTCAATATCTAGATGTCCTTAACTCCTTATTTTTATAAGATTTTTTTCTTTTAAATCAGTAGGCTTGTAACAAACAAACCAACCTTGGCTTACGGATTCACAATTGTTGCTGGGTGTCTCTGAACTGTGCTGTCCTGCTTGGTTGGCAAAATCTTTTGAAGCCTTCATGGATGGCTTTTTCCCATTCCCCCTCTATCCCCACCCACCCTTAAAATTAAGGCCTGTCTCTTCTGTGTAGCTATTGGACTATCATTAGACTTCGTTTATATAAACAAAGTCATTATTCAAGTTCGAGTTACATTCTGACTGAGTTACATTCTGACAATGCCTGGATGAGGTGATTTAGGTGTTCTTGGGCATTGGTAACATTGTATCATTGATAATCATGTCATCCTGTGTAGCCTCTTCTTTTGGACATCCAAACATCTTTTACTTCTTTTCTTCCCTATCCTTATTATCATTGTCCTCTGCTAAGAGCTGCCAGTTGGCATCCTCCTTTAACTTGGTCTTTGTAATGCTCCTCACGGCACTTGGTCTAGGTCAAGTACTGTACACTTATGTTTATTTAGAATTTAGACCAGAAAGATCAGGCAGCCAGCGGTTCTGCCGCCTCCCCATGAGTGTTGTATAGTGGTAGTTGATGTTTTTACTAATACTTGCCATTTACTGAATACTTCATATATCCGAGATACTGTGTTAAGGGCTTTACATATATTATTTCATTTAATCCTTTTTTTAAATAAACTTTTTTTGAAGTATACTTTACATACAAAAAAAGTACCTATATACAGTGTGGAGTTTGATGAATTTTGACAAATGCATACAAACATGAAAACAAGATATAGAACATTTCCAACATTGGAGAAGTTCCCTTGTGCTCCTTTGCAACCAGTCCCTTTCCACTCCTAGTCCAAGCAATTGTTGATTTGTTTTGTTTTACTGTAGATTAGGTTGCCTTTTCTACAATTTCATATAAATGGAATCATACATACTTTTTTATGTCTAGCTTCCTTTGTTCCGTACGATGCATTTAAGATTCATCCTTGTTGTATGAGTCTGTTCCTTTATATTGCTGAGTAGTATTCCAGTGAATTTGGTATGCTATCTTTATGCATCTCTCTGATTTTTTAGTTGTTTCCAGTTTTTGATTATCATTTAATTCTGGTAACAGCCCTGTGAGGTATTACCATTTCTGTTTTATAGAGGAAAAGCTGAAAGGTCTTGCTGCTAGTGCAGGGCTGAAATTCAGACCCTTGACATTGGTGTCACAAAAGCATATACTCATAGTCACCATGCTGCATATTCAGGGTTCTTACAGAATCCAGAGTTATCTTCTGAACTGTGATTAAGTTCATTATAGCTTTTGTAAATAATATTTTACTTTTTATAACTTTGGAAACCTTAGAAGTTGCCAATTTGGTTAGACTGTTAAATTATTAAGAAGTGTAGTTTTTTCATTACTTAATTTGGTCTGACTTTTGCTCTTGGGTTTTCAGATTTTCTTTCTTTTTTCTTAGCAGTTTGTGAACTTTGCTTTCCCCTGTATTGGCACCATTATATTTATCCCACTGTTTATGTTATCTTAAGCATATAAGAAATTTGTGGGAAACTGTCCCATTTTATTGTTTAGATTTTTCTCCTGCTAGGATATAATGTCTCTAAGGGCAAAGATCTTTGCTTATTTTGCTCATTAATATATTCCAAGTGCCTGGAACTGTGCCTGGCACATAATACATGCTTGCAAAATGTTTGTTGAGTGTTGAATGGGCTTCTATTTCTTTTTCTGTTCCAAGAGCTATATTTGTGTCTTTTCTCCCCCTCCCCCAATATCTATCTATATATAAAATTTATTAGCAGCATTTGATAAAGTCTTCTTCCAGGAATTCTTTTTGGTTGCTTACTTTGGTACTATGTATATCTAAATATTATATCCTCTTTTCCTCTTGAGTCAGAGGCCTCTTTAAATATAGAATCTTTTCACACGCCGATATGGTTGTAATGATAAATCTTTATCTTGTTTTAAGTAACTCTCATAGGTGTGTGTAGATTTCTGTGAGATACTTTTTCATACCAGAATGTACCAGTCTACATGAATCATGTGATTCACCTTATTTTTAAAGAAGATCCATGACTAATTTGAATTGCCATATCTCCTCTCATATGTTGTCTAATTTTTGCCGTTATGTTAATATTTTAAGTGATATTTTGAATTGATACAGTAGGAATATAATCCTGATTGATACCTTTTCAGAATTACTATTGGCACTAATATATTTCATGTTTCATAATGGAGAGGGTATAAAATGCAGTTTTGTAAGTTGATACTGTAAAAACATGAAGCATTTCTTCTTCTAACAAAAGCAAATGACATGCCAGGTATTATCTAAATGCCAGTTGTTATCTAAATAAGATATTGGGAAACTAAAGTGTTCTGTATAGGAAAAGTATGTGTAAGGCCGTGTACTGAAATGTTAGGAATAAAAGAAGATGCAGACTTCAATTTCATAGAACTTAAATGAACCATTAAGTCCAAAAACATGTATCTGGAAAGTTAGCAAAAACTACAGGGTTAAGACAACCTGACAGACATCAAAAGAGCATTAGAGAAAGTTAAATGTTAGTGTAGTTGAGAGGCATGAGGTGATTCATTGCATGTCATAAAGAAGGCTTCTTGGAGAGAGGCGTAACAATTTGGGCTTTCAGGTTTGGTTGTATGGTGTATGTTGAAGCAAATATTTGAGCATAAGAATATCTAAAGGAAGTTCTGAGGATGCTGAGTAGACCAAAGGAAGGTTCTTCCATGTTAGATGCTTTCTGTCAATCATTTCCTATTCTTCCTGCTAATAGAAACTTTAGGAGGATAGCACTCTGATGTTGCTGACCATATCATTCCCCTGTTTTCGTTCGGACATGCAGACATCTTTTGCTTCTGTCTTCCCCTTCATTTTATCCCTGTTACATCTTCAGCACTAAAAACCGTTTAAAACATAGAAGCACTCAGTAAATATTTGGTGAATGAAGGAGTAAAAATAGGGGTGGAGATTAGGTTGGAAAAAAGGTAGAATTAGACTAAATTATAGGCAGTTTTGAATGTTAGGCCTAGGAGTTTGTAGGGTGGTATAGATGAAAGACCACTGAAGTATGATTCTGGAGTTTTTGTTTCTAGTTCTGGTTGTCATGGATTAACCCATTTATGCCTAAGTGGGTTAAATGGCCATATAATTTGGAAGTTGCTTAGCTTTTCTGAGCCTCAGGTTGTTCATCACTACTATCTCAGCTAACATTTGAGTGTGTGTTGTTGAGTGTTTGAGCATGTGCCAGGCACTTTGTTAAACTTAATAGATGGTTTAGAGTTGATTTTAAGAGTAGGACATATAGGTGTTACTACTTCTTTTTCAGAGGAAGAAACTGAAACTTTAGAAATTAAGTAACTCGCCTAAGATCATCCGTCTAAAAAAGAACATGCTAGAGCCAGAATTTGCACTCAGGCTGATTGACTCTGGGGCTCTTGCTTCACCGTTGTACTGCTTCATCTGTAAAATGAATGGGTTGAGAACTAGAAGATATCTAAGGTCCTTTATAGCTTTACTGTTCTATCATTTATTTTCCCATTTAAAGTTCAAAATTCCAGATTCTTGAGATAGAGAGCGTTATTGGTCTGGCTTGCATCAGGTATCTACCTCTGAGTCTGCCATTCAAAGAGAAGGGGAAGTTAGTATACCTATGTTGAGAAGTGTTACCCTCTCAGCTGGAGAGCTGCCCTGAGAGATCTGCTACCGATGGTAATATAGCATGATCAAAAGTTAGGAAGTTAAAGTGTTAAATCATTTTAATCCATGATTTGTCCCAAGGTGAATTTGTATACTTAGTGTGTTTTTACAAACCATAAATTTGTAAGATGTTTTAATGAGCTTAGAATAATTTGTATGTGTTATGTTTTAAATGAAATTTGAATCAAAGACTGTAAAAGAAGTCTCCAGTGTCCTTTTAAAAAAAAGCAAACTCTTCACACTTATTAATTTTCAAAGTTGTAAGGGATGAGTTTTGTTTGACCGCGTAGAAATTATTTAACCTTCCTGGCCCTTAGTTTTCTCATTTGTGAAATAGAATTGGACTGAGTGACCTTTAAAGTACCTTTGACTCTAAAAATTACTTGAACCTCTGAAACCGCATGTCTATCTACTGGCATATTGTCCAGGATTATAATTAGATGAAAAGAACTAACAAATGTGACATTAAATATTGGGAAGAAATTAATGCTTAAGGTTTAACTCTTTAATACTGCTGAGATCCTGTCAATTTGGCTTATCGTTCTTTTATGAGGATCGATTATATTCGTCCTCTATCTAATATTAATTTTTCCTAGAGCCTAGTAGAGCAATCCATTCTGTGTATGTTTTGGTTATGATCATCTTGCTTTCATGAAATTTTCTTCACTTTACTAGGCTTACTCATTGCTGTAAGTATTCTGAAGTTCAGTAGTACTTTTAGTCTTTACCACTTGAGTTTATTTTAATTTTCTAGTATCATTTTTCTCACTTGAGTGTGTGTGTAATGGTGTGTGTGTGAATTTTATATATGTATGAAAAAGAGCATGTGCACGAGAGAGAGTAGACACTTATTTCCCCAACAAGACTAAATGTCTTGAGGGAAGGTATCATGTGTGTTTTATTCAGTACCCAAGACAGGCAGGATAGCAATCCAGGTACTTCTGTCACTTTCTGTCTTAAGTGATAAAAAGTTTGTAATACAGGCACTTAGCATGTTGCTGGTCACTTGGATTGAGTTTCGTTGTATTGGTAAACAATGCAGCTCTGCATCTTCATTTAGTTTTAAGTAGAGTTGAAGTAGAAAAACAGTAATGGGTGTGTAGAGACAGCATGAGGAGGAGAGGCTGATAGGAATAAGCCCTGAAGGAGACCAATGCAGATGGCAGAAGGTCCATCATGATTATTTGATTTTAACTTAAAGTTGATCATCGATTATTTGCCTTGTCTATACTATTTAAATGGGACAGAGCTTTAAATTTACATATTCTATCATGCAGAACCGCTTCTTACAGGGTTAACACTGTGGAGGAAGATGCCAGTCACTTCCAGTTTCTCCTCAGCAGTTTCATTGTATCTGTCTTCTTTTAGGTTTTTTGTTTTACTGTAAGCAGCTGTTGCTATAAAGTCAGAGGAATGCAGACTGGAGAGTCAGCCTATCTGCTACCTCTCTTAACTCCTATCTTTGCTTCCCTGCTTGCTTGCTTTTTTTTTTTTAAATGGGCTAAGGACGTGTCTCATGTCTTGGTTGGGGAGTCAACAAGCAGCATTCAGTTTTGCTGCTAATTTGGTGAAGTTGTTGGAACTTTGAAATTGTGATTTAGGTTCCAATCCTGGCCTCTGCCACTTGCCTTATGGGTGAGGTAAATTACTTAACCTCATTGAGCCCCATTTCCTCATCTGTTTAATAAGTATCTGAAAAGTTAGTTTTAAAGATTACTTTTTTTTTTGTTTTTTTTTTTTTTGGAGACAGGGTCTTGCTCTGTCACCCAGGCTGGAGTGCAATGGCGCGATCTTGGCTCACTGCAACCTCTGCCTCCCTGGTTCAAGTGATTCTCCTGCCTCAGCTTCCCAAGTAGCTTGGGACTATAGGCACACGCCACCACGCCCAGCTAATCTGTGTATTTTTAGTAGAGATGGGGTTTCACCATCTTGGCCAGAATGGTCTTGATCTCTTGACCTCGTGATCTGCCTGCTTCTGCCTCCCAAAGTGCTGGGATTACAGGTGTGAGCCACCATGCCCGGCCAAGATTACATTTTTTTGTAAAAACTTAAGTCTGTGTCTTATAGGCAACACTCATTTTTTTGGTAACAATTTTCACTTATACAGGATAACAAATATGAAGGTTGATGGAAGAGTAAAATGTAGAGTATTCCCATACATTATTCTGTGATAGAGTTTCACATTTTTTCTCATGCCAATTAAACATTTTTACAGCTTGAGGCCAGGAGTTTTGAGACCAGCTTGGGCAACATAGTATGGCTTCGTGTCTACAAAAAATAAAAACATCAGCTGGGTGGAGTGGCATGTACCTGTAGTCTCAGCTACTTAGGAGGCTGAAACTGGAGGATTCCTTGAGCCCGGGAATTCAAGGCTGCAGTGAACTGTGATAGCGCCACTGCACGCCAGCCTGGATGACAGAGTGAGACTGAGGCCCTGTCTCTTAGAAACAAACAAACAAAAAGAGAGAGCGCTTTCAAACATTACAAGTTAATATGTGTGTTTTCCTCCTTCCTTCTGTTTTCTGGCACAGCAGTTGACAAGCAAATTGATTTTAAAAACTAAAGACCTTGAAAATTTTTTGCTAAGAGAACTAAATCTTCACTTAATCCGTAGAGTAATAATTGGGCCCTGAATAATTAATAAATATTGTTTTTGTTCCTCAGAATGATTTTTTTTAGGTTAGATGATTAGTTAGTTATGGGAAAGATAAGTTTTAGTGATGAAAATCTATGCAGTGGGTGTTGTACACTAGAGAAGTGAATAGAGACATTCCAGTATACCATTGAATTCTTGGATGAACACTTTTGTTTGGAAACTTTCAAAAGTATGGTATTGATGAGGGTAGTCATGCCATTTATTTGATTCTTGAGATGTTTCTCAACTGGGGCACTATTAGCATTCAATTTGTAGTTGGTTGTATGAGACGGTCACTGGCAAAACAAGTTTATTACATCTATCTTCTGCCCATTAATTTCTGGAACTTTCTAGTTGGAATAACCCCAAAATGCTTCCTCCTTCAATTTCCAAGTGAAGGGTATTGGCATCTGATTTGAGAATTATGATCCAGGGCTTCTTAACCTTTTTTTGGTGACATGGACTCTTTTGGCAGTCTGTTGGAACTCCTCAGAATGATGCCATAAATGCATAAAATAAGGTCAGATAAATCAATTGTATTGAAATAAAGTTATCAAAATAAACAATTTTTAATATGTGTACTTTATTAGCACATTAAGTACAGAATCTACAGTTGGATCTAGTTATTGTAAATTCAAAATAATGATAAATATAAACGGTATTTTGACATAATTTGACGTGAAAAGATCTAGGATTTCTGTTGGTATTGCTAGTACTACTGTGGTCTGTTGTCTACATTAGGAATTGAAGGAAATGTTAAATTTGTTAGAAGTTTATGTTTTCTCATCCAAGTTCATGGACCCCTTAGTTCTTTCTATGGATGTTTTGGGAACCTACGACCTGAGGTTCAGAAATCTTCAGGAGAATTTCCATGGCCCAAATGGCAATCTCATTCCTGTGTCGTCCTTGTCTCAAAAGCATACAGGCTGCAGATTTTATTCCCATTACTATACAGGAGATGGTACTATAGACAGAATTGTCTTATTTTCACATTTAGCACATTTACTACTAGCTTTTTAAAATTGAAAAATAATAGATCCACATGATTTAAATATAAAAATTTAACAGCACAAAAGCATATACATAAAAAGTGTCTTTCCTTCCTCAAGTTCACAGACACGCTACAGAGGCAGCTGCTGTTAGCTGTGTGTGTGTGTGTGTGTGTGTGGGGGGGGGGGGGGTTATTCTAGAAAATTTCTAGACAAAGGCTTTTTTACTCGGTAAAGTAACCAAGTAATTCTCTTATACTCATTTTGTAAGTGAGTAATATGTGATCCTAAAGTTAGCTTTTTAATCTAGAGTTACAAGGTCAGGCAATTTTGATTTTCAATTCCTTCCCTTTAACATCTCTGAGGAATTGAGAATTAGCAGAATGTAGCTTTCTGTTGATTGTTTGTAGTTTGGATAGCAAACCTTAACCCGTCATTCCTAAGTGGCAGTTTGGTTGTCAGCAAAGCCTTGCATTGTGCATAGGACTTTATTTATTGCATTGTGCATAGTGCTTGTATTCCTATTTTTATACCAAAAAAGTCAGATTAATTATTAAAAATGTGACTTGTCAGTGTTTTTACTGTAATATTTATTTATGACCTCAAGTAGTAACTTGAGTCAGAAGAGCAACAATAATATACTCTTTTGAAGAAAGCCATCCTATTCAGGTATCATGTTGGCAAGCCAGATATTTCATATGGACTGCACTGTCTCCTACTGTCACTGTAGTTGTTTGTGATGTTTATTCATTCAGTAACTTAGCCTCATAAGCACAGGGACCTTTTCTTTGTTACCTTTGTATACTCCATCATTTGGTATAGATGGCATATTGGTATTTGCTCAGTAAATATTTGTGACTGAATGTACAGCACCTTCTATGTGCTTTAGACGCAGAAAGGAGTAAGATGTACCCATTCACAAGCAGCTTATTGCTTAGTAGGAGAGAAAGGAGTTTTACACAGATGAACACATTTTAAGGTGTTAATGTGGAAAATGAAAATGATACTGTGGAAATTTATATCATGAAGGACATGATTTGAACCAGAGTTTAAATATCAATTCATGTAATAGCTAATTGACTATAATGTACTATTGAATTAGTTTTTACAGATTAGTCTTGAAATGATTCCTGTATGCCAGAATGCCATGAGTTTTTTTTTAGATGCCTGTTGTTACGCTCATATAGGGAAGTGTATGACACCCAGTAGAGTTATTAAGAGAGTTGAAACAGTTTTGGGATCTAGTGTAGAGTCACCTTTTAGGACGGGCAAAATTGTATTATAAACAGTGCCTATTGAACGAATTTGGAAGAACAGAAACTGTTACGGAGGATGGACTAAAGAAACAGTGCTGCTTGATTATTAATCAAGTAATGCATAGATTTTACTTAATTTTGGCTTAAAGTGATGGGTCACTTTCTGTAAAAGCCAAGTACTTGGAAGAAGATTGTTTATACATTATAGGTGCTTGGTCAGTAGGAGTTTATTTGAAATAGCCTAGCCACCTTGCAAAATTCATCAAGGCTTTCAAAATACCTCCCACAAAAATTTCCAAAGATATAGGTCAGTGATTCTCAAGCTTTAGCATGCTTCAGAATCACCTAGAGGGCCTGTTAAAACAGAGATCAGTGGGTCTTATTCCTCTTAGTGTCTGATTAAGTCTAGAATAGGGCCTGGGAATTTGCATTTTTAAGAAGTTCCCAGGTGATCCTGGTGCTGCTTGTCCAAGGACCCAACTTTGAAAACCAGCAGTTTGAGAGGTAGTATTGTAGTTCTTATCTTGGCCACACACCAGAATATCTAGGATGCTTTTATAAAGTACACTTAAAAGCTTTATCCTAGATCTACCAACCAAATCACAAGTTAGGGGTGATTCTGGATTCAGTAGAATTGATTTGTCTAGGTAGAAAAAAGGGATTGGCGTGTGTGCCCATGATCCATGCCTTTCTGCCTTACCATTTTACCACACCTTTCAGGGCTTCTTTCCTTGTGGTCTAATTTATTGGCTTTCAAATGTTTTTTTGACTATCACTCATTTTGTGTGTGTGTGTGTGTGTGTGTAACTGAAATAAAGTGCACTTTGACAGACATATCTATATTACACATATACCAATACAGTTGATTTTCATTATTCGAGATAGTTATGTTCTGTTATGTTGCCATGAGCACGAATTATTTAATACCTAAGCCATTGCTCCAAGGGACATAATAGGGTTAAGTTCTCGCTAGACCCTGGTCACAACAGTTTCATCTGCTGATCAGTTTGTAACTTTGTTTTATGTATGTTTCTGTTTTTAAATTGTGTATTTAAAATACATTGTTGATTCATTGACATTGAACTCACAGCCGGCAGCATTGTAACTCATGTCTGAAGGAAGCTTATGTTACACATGTATTTTCTCCATGAGGCACATGACAGTCTTCTTGTGCTGAGGAACACCGGACTGCACTTCAGCACCATACTCGGGGGCACCTTTAGACAGTGAAATTACCCACAAAAGGCATAAAAATGTGAAAAACATGGTACAAGTAGAACATGAAAAGGATGCTTGTTTATAGTATGAGAGTTGAAACAAGATGTCAGAGTGTCACCTTGTTTGACCTCAGCTGGGAGTATATGTCAGGTGGGCAACTCAAATATTTCACTGTTCTGCACGTGTCTGCAAGTGACTGAGAAACTGTCACAAATAAAATTTAGCAAGTAGGCGAATTTGCAAATAGGGAATTTGCAAGTAATGAAGATTAGCTGTGTGTGTGTGTGTATATATATATATATATATATATATGCATTTTTCCCTTTTCAGTTCTATTTTGTTAAAAATAATTTTGGTCATGAGCTACTAGATTGATTTCATGATTCACTAGTGGTTCAACTCACAGTTTGAAAAACGCTGCTTTACTTAATTCAGCGACATGGGTTATATATTACTTACTACTTATGCAATGATAAGTGATAAATGATATTAAACTATATATGTATGTTATATAGTTTATTTTGTATGATTATTATAGTTTTATTATTAAAAGATATATATGTATATCTTTTCCCCCTTTGTGTAGTAAATATAGAGTTTAGTCTTGATGGGGAACTTGGGTTTTGCAGGGTATATCCTCAAGTTTGTATTTGTAATAGATCATTATTGGATGGACTGTGGAGGCAGTGCATGGGTGGTGGTGGTGGCAGAAAACTAGAGACAAAACTAGTTATGAGTTTACTGAACTGTGATTTCTGACTGCATTTTCAGCAAATTTATGGCAGAATAAAAACAATTCGGATACTTTGTGGATTAAGGAGTTTCATTTAAATCTTCATCTTATGTCAGGGTTTCTTAACTGAGGTCTTTGGTGCCTAGATAGACTTAATGGAGTCTGTGAACTTTCTGGGTTTGTTTTGTTTTGTTACCGCAGTTTCATATGGATGTTTACCACTTCCCTTCCAGAGAATCATCAGACCTAGAGTAAATGACCCTGATGACTCATTAAGGAGGTTAAGAATCACATTTTAGTTGATAATGCAGATTGCTTTTTTAAAAAAAAATAGTTAATCTTCATTGCATGTGAATCACAAAGGTTTAAATTTTCTGAGAAATCTGAGGAGGTATTTTAAAGTTTTAGACTGAATTTATACTGATGTGAAATGCAGAATTTTACTTATTGATACTTTGTTGTTTGTGGAAACATATTACTGATGAATAGAAATGTATTGAATATAAATAATATTATTACATTTAAGCACTAAAGTAAATCTAGATATTGTGACTAGGCACTCTGGCTTATGCTTGTAATCCCAGCCTTTTGGTAGACTGAGACAGGAAGATAACTTGAGGCCAGGAGTTTGAGACTAGCCCAGGCAACATAGCAAGTTTCTACACACAAAAATTAAAAAAAATCTAGATACCATTTGCCTGTATTGCAGTGGTATTGTGTTTAGAAACAGTGGCATAAATAAAAGTTGCCCTTTATTTACTGTTAGGACATTAACACAGCACAGGAAGGTGCTGATTCTGTAGAGTAATAAAACAGTACAGATGGTCGTTGGAAAGGTACTCAGCCACCTAAGCATATCTTGAGGTAGTTAATTTCTCTGTAAACTAGAAAAATGAAACCCCAGATTGTTTACATTATATTCTGTTTTTGGAAATACCTACTCTTCCATTATAACAATATCATGTGTGTTCATTTGTAAAAAAATTCAGAATATGCAGAAAAAGTGTGAAGAAGAAAACACAAATCCCTTAAATTTCCACATCTCTGAGATATCTCTGTGGTTGACCTTTGGGTGAATGTACATTCTTCCATACTTTTTTTCTATGTAATATATTTGTATGTGAATAGGTCTATGTGTGTAAGAGAGAGAAAGAGAAAGAGAGGTTTGTTTTTTAAAATCTATTTCAGATTGAAAAATTTCAGGAAAGAATTTCTTTAGCTCCTTTTGAGCCATCACTTCAGTTATTGGATTAGCTTTATTCACTGTAGCCTGAGACATGGGCGTTGTAAGAGAATGGCAGCTTGTATTGGGTCACTGGTCTAAAGGGAGCTTGAGAGGAAGGGATAGTCATTTTCCAAAACAAGAGAATTTTAAATATAGATATGGTCATTAAAGAAATTCTTGTGTGCTGAGCATCAATTCTTATTTGTTATTACTGTAACTAGTTAGTGGTCTGGTGTATATGTTGACTGTAATCTATTCAGTTCCATATTGAGGGAAATTGACATATCAGTCAGAGTTTTTTTTTTTTTAAGTCCTTAATAAAAAATGCTTTTGGTTTTTGAATTAAAGTTAAGTAGATTTCCCCCTTCAAGTTAATTACCTCATTTTTTCCTTAGAACTTTTGTAGTTTGTTCTAGTATACACTGCGTTGTAGATCAGTATATTCATTCAAGTGGATATCCAGTTGTCTAAACATCATTTAAAAAAATAATCTTTTCTCCCTGGTATGAGATGCTACCTCCATCCTATTTGAATTTTTTTTTTTAGCTCATTTGGTGTATATTTTAACTTTTAATTTTGTTCCCTTTAAATTTTCCTTCAGAATTTTTTTTGTGTGCAAGAAACTGTTTAAATCATTAATTGTTTTATCTTTTCAAAGATAAGATTATTAATTGTTTATTATCTTATCTTTTATCATTTATTTTTATATCTGGTAGAGCTAGTCACTTCCCCTTACTCATTATTCTACTTTTTCAGAGTTTACTGGCAATTGTTTCTTATTTTTTCATATGAACTTTATCATTGTTTTGTCTAACTCCCAAAAATAATGTTGGCAGTTTTACTGGGATTCACCATACATTTATAAATTAGCTTATAGAGAATTGACATCTTTATGATGTTGACTTCCTGTTTTGGAATGTGGTTTGTCTCTTCATTTGTCAAAGTCTACTTGTGTATCCTGTTGGAGGGTTGGTTTTGTGCATTTTTTGTTGAGCTTATGCCTAGGAATCTCATCTATTTGGTATTGTAAATGGAATCTTCTCTCTCATTATACCTTATAACTTGTTAAAGCTGTTGATTTCTATGTTAATTTTTATATCCTGCAACTTTATTAAATTGTTTGTCCTAGTTTTCTCTGATTCTCTTATGTAATTGAGTTAGATACCATATCACCACCTAATAGAGATAGTTCACCTCTCCTTTTCCAAATAGTATGCTTCTAATTACATTTCCCTGTTGTGTTTGCAAATACTTCCAATTCTGTGTTAAATAGTAGTGGAGATAATGGGCATTTTTGTTTTGTTTCTGAACTTGTGTCTCTAGTGTTTCTTTGTTAAATGCGATGTACATAATTTTGTATTGATTTACAGATGTAGAAAACAATATACATATTTATAATAGCATATAATACATATATTATGTAATACATAAAAGTACATAACATGTAAAAATTCTGTAGTGTATCTACCATGAATGAGTGTTGAATATTCTCAAATTTTTTTTGGCATCTGTGGAGATTACCATATGATTTTCCCCTTAGGTGTATTTATAATTAGTGATGAATAGTATAATACTGAACCATACTAGCTTTCCTAGAATGAACACCATTTGGTAATGAGGTGTTACTCTTTTCAAAAATGTCTTTAGTTTTGGGCTAATATCCAGAATCTACAATGAACTCAAACAAATTTACAAGAAAAAAACAACCCCATCAAAAAGTGGGCAAAGGATATGAACAGACACTTCTCAAAAGAAGACATTTATGCAGCCAAAAAACACATGAAAAAATGCTCATCATCACTGGCCATCAGAGAAATGCAAATCAAAACTACAGTGAGATACCATCTGACACCAGTTAGAATGACGATCATTAAAAAGTCAGGAAACAACAGGTGCTGGAGAGGATGTGGAGAAATAGGAACACTTTTACACTGTTGGTGGGAGTGTAAACTAGTTCAACCATTGTGGAAGTCAGTGTGGCGATTCCTCAGGGATCTAGAACTAGAAATACCATTTGACCCAGCCATCCCATTACTGGGTATATACCCAAAGGATTATAAATCATGCTGCTATAAAGACACATGGAGATGTATGTTTATTGCGGCACTTTTCACAATAGCAAAGACTTGGAACCAACCCAAACGTCCAACAACGATAGACTGGATTAAGAAAATGTGGCACATATACACCATGGAATACTATACAGCCATAAAAAATGATGAGTTCATGTCCTTTGTAGGGACATGGATGAAGCTGGAAACCATCATACTCAGCAAACTATCGCAAGGACAAAAAACCAAACACCGCGTGTTGTCACTCATAGGTGGGAATTGAACAATGAGAACACATGGACACAGGAAGGGGACCATAACACACCGGGGACTGTTGTGGGGTGGGGGGAGGCGGGAGGAATAGCATTAGGAGATATACCTAATCCTAAATGATGAGTTAATGGGTGCAGCACACCAACATGGCACGTACATACATACGTAACAAACCTTCACATTGTGCACATGTACCCTAAAACTTAAAATATAATAATAATAAAATTTTTTTAAAAACTCTTTAGTTTTATTATTTGCTTTCCTGCAAAAGGACTTCACAGAGCTTTCACATATTCTTGGCCAAAAGTGGCTACCTCAAAGCTTCTAATTTTATTTTTTATTTAAGCAGCCAGCTTTGGCTGAGAATAGTGATTCAGTCTCATTTTTAAATTTCCAGGAGATGGAATATGATTGGCCTAGTTCAGGTCAAACATCTAGCTCAATATAGTTAACTGTGGCTGCAAGTAGGGTGAGATGATTTACCAGCTTGGCTGATGGCAGCACACTCTTGTGGGAAAGAATGGGAGAGAATGGTAGAGTAGACAGTTGATACATGGGACAGATGCCTCAAAAGGTATCTACTGTGTTTTTGTATTATTATTATTATTATTATTATTATTATTATTATTATTATTATTTTGAGACAGAGTCTCTCGCCCAAGCTGGAAAGCAGTGGCGCTATCTTGGCTCACTGCAAGCTCCGTCTCCCAGGTTCACGCTATTCTCCTGCCTCAGCCTCCCGAGTAGCTGGGACCATAGGTGCCTGCCACCACACCTGACTAATTTTTTGTATTTTTAGTAGAGACAGGGTTTCACCATGTTAGCCAGGATGGTCTCAATCTCCTGACCTCGTGACCCACCCGCCTTGGCCTCCCAAAGTGCTGGGATTACAGGCGTGAGCCACTGCGCCCAGCCAAGTTTTTTGTATTATTTAATGCAAAATTTATAGCTGTAGCTAGCAAAATTCCAGTTTTACTATATAGATTAAGATTTTTTTTTTTTTTTTTTTTTTTTTTTTGGTAAGAATCTATCTTACCACTGAAGCCTGGATCATCACTGGCTTTCTTATTCACTCTATAGCAGTAGTCCCCAACCTTTTTGACACCAGGGACCAGTTTTGTGGAAGATAATTTTTCCATGGATGAGGGTGGGAGATGATGGTTTTGGTATGAAACTGTTCCATCTCAGATAATCAGGCATTAGATTTTCATAAGGAATGCACAACCTAGATCCCTTGCATGTGCAGTTCACAATAGGGTTCACACTCCTATGACAATCTAATGCTGCCACTGATCTAACAGGAGATGAAGCTCAGGGTAATGCTTGCTTGCCCTCTGCTCAACTCCTGCTGTGTGGTCCATGGTCCAGGAGTTGGAGACCCCTGCTATATAGTACATGTTTTCAGTGGTTACTTGGAACTAAGAAAGATCCTAAAGGACTCTGAGTCACCTACTACCCAATTCCCCAAAAGAGGAGTCTCTTACTCTTAGTATAGGCATACTGTTGTGTATTACATGGAATTTTCCAAGAATTAGAGCTTAATATTTTATATATAGTGACATTATTTTAGCCAGAATTTTGTGTTTGGAAGATATTGTTAAAAATAATTTATTAGGCTGGGCACAGTGGCTCACACCTGTAATCCCAGCAGTTTGGGAGGCCGAGGTGGGTGGATTGCTCGAGTCCAGGAGTTTGAGACCAGCCTGGGCAACATGGCTAAACCCTGTCTTCACTAAAAATAGAAAAATTAGCCAGGCAGGGTGCTGTGTGCTGTAGTCCCAGCTACTCGGGAGGCTGAGGTGCAAGGATCACTTGAGCCTTGGAGGTCAAGGCTGCAGTGAGTTGTGATCGCACCGCTGTCCTCCAGCCAGGGCGACAGAGTGAGTCAATGTCTCAAATAAATAAACGCAAACATTTATTGAGGTATAGTTGACATACAGACTGCACGTATTTCAAGTGTGCAATTTGTTGTGTTGATGTTTGTGTTACACCTGTTTTCATAGTCAAGATAATCAACAGATCTCATCCCCCAATCCCTCCACCTCCTGGTCTTCAGGCAAACGCTCATCTGCTTTCTGTTACTGTAGATTAGTGGTTTGCATTCTCTAGAATTTTATATAAATGGAATCACAGTATATACTCTTTTTCTTTGCTCTAGCTTCTTTCACTCAGCATACTTTTGTTTTAGATTAATACATATTGCAGCTTGTATAAATAGTTCACTCCATTTTGTTGCTGAATAGTATTTCAGTTTGTGGCTGTATCACAATTTGTTTATCTTTAGAGTGATTTTTGGCTTCGATCTGTTTTCCTTTGTTTGGGGTAAATACATACCTGAAGGTGAAATGCCTTCATCATATAGTAGTTACATTTAAAAGGTTTAACTTTAAAAAGGATCAAACCATTTTTCAGAGTGGTTCTACCATAAAGATACTTTGAGACATTTATCTAGTTTATAACTTTGCTACTTGAGTTTGGTCTGTAGCTACGCATTACCTGGGAGCTTGTTAAAATGCTGAACCTCAGGTTCCATCCTAGACCTGTGAAATCATTCTGTCTTTTTCACAACTTTGGATCTAATTCTTGGTTGTTTTCATATATAGGTATCTTGGAATTATCTGTATGGGTTATCTGTCTACCCTTAGTATTCAAGGAATGCAAAATAATTTTAGAAATGACTTTGTAAATCAGTAAGTAAATTAACTGAATATCAACTAATGTTTTTAAAAGTCAAATACCAGTAATTTATTCACCTACTGTTTGAATTTTTTTTACTACTGTCATTTCCAGTCTCGAGTGAATATTTAAGCTACATTGATGTTAGTGTCACCTTTCTAAGTTGATGTTGAAGACCGTGGTCTTACTTAGCATTAGGAAATTGTTGATTTAAAACAAGGTTTTCGAAAACCCAACAATTAGATATGGGAACAAAAGAGTAAACATTTGTTGCATTATCAAGTGGTACAAGTTAGCATTATACAACTTATAATTAAGTTTTCCAAAAGTTGATTTATAATTCAAATATTCTAGAATTATGATGTTTAGGATAACAGTTTTCTGCACAAGATTGTTTTCACTTTTATATTTCTGTTTAGGATATCAGTTACTCAGTCCGTTAAAGCCATCCACTCACACCTCTTCTTCATACCCCTCACAGGCAGTTAAGACAGAGCAACTATGAATGATTCAGTTCTTATTAATTTAAAATTTAATAACAGCTGTTTTTCAGGAGAAAAAAATCTTTATAATATAAAATTCTAAAAGGAATTTATAGTAAATGGGCACTTATCTGTTTAGGTGATAAATGTCTTTAAATATAGTTTTACAGAAAAAACAAACATCAATAATGCGACTGCTTATTTTATTGATTTTTAGCTAAAGCTGATGTGTTTCTTTGGGAGGCAAAGTTAATGAAACTTATGTAATGTTTCTACAAGCCAGTATTTAGAATATTAGTGAATTGGATGGATAGCATGTTCTTTAGGCCACGTTTTTCAAATTGTCTGTGGTGAAAGACCAGTTTTTGTGTTGTTGTTTTTATTTTTATTTTTTTGAAACAGGGTCTTGCTCTGGGTCAGCCCAGGTTTGAGTGCAATGGCATGATCATGGCTTACTGTGGGCTTCATCCCCTGAGCTCAAGCCATCTTCCTGCCTCAGCCTCCTGAGTAGCTGGGATTACAGCCATGCTTCACCATGCCTGGCTAATTTTTTGACTTTTTTTGTAGAGATGAGGGTCTTGCTGTGTGGCCCAGGTTGGTTTTGAACTCTGGAGTTCAAGTTATCCTCCTGCCTTGGCCTCCCAAAGTGCCGGGATTACGGGCATGGGCCACTGCACCAGGCCAGAGGACCAATTTAAAAAAAATTTTTAATTTATTGCATACCGATACTTTTGTCAGGTACAATAAAAATACAGAAAAATTAAAGATATAGAAAATACAAGTTCACACTTTTAAAATTATTAGTTTCAGCAGATAAAATTACTCTGTCTGATTGCTTTAAACTCCTAAATGCTTACACTGAATTTTGTGCTTCTAGAGAATTGCAGTCTGAGTAGCACTGCCTTAAACTGGTGGTTCTCAGAGTGTAGTCCCAAATGCACAGCATCATCAAACATCACCTGGGAACTTAGAAATGCCAGTTGTCTGGTTCCATCCCAGGCCTACTGAATCAGAAATTCTGGTGGTTTGGCTCAGCAGTGTGTTGAAACAAGACCTATAGGTGATTCTGAAGCTGAAGCACATGAAACTTTAATAAGCCATTGTTAGACTTTTTTTTTTTTTTTCCAGGCTCAGGAGGTATTTCCTTCTAAAATGCTGATTATCTGTGCTTTTTTGAGTAGGAGCTGGATAGCACTCTTATAAGTCTAAACTCTCTTAGAGTGCCAACTATGTAAATGAAAGACTGAAAGACATGATTGGTTATAAGTTAAATCTGTCACAGATTCTTAGAAAGGAAATAATATGTGTAACTGAGGATTGATATGGTTGAAAATATATGTGCTTAATGAAAAGGAAAATTCTGGTGTTTTAAGATACCAGTAGGATGGGCCACGTTATTAACATTCTGTTGATAGAATTGAGAAGCCTGTCTTGCTGTTCCGTAGATGAATGAAGACTTTGCCAATCAAAACTCTTCATCGTTGTAAGACCTCAGGGTCACATAGCAACTGAGTCAGACAGCCCCAAGTTGGATGTGTGGCAGGTTGTTTCAGTACAAAATAAAAGGAACTAGCACACTGTTATGTTTCAAACCAGTGGAGATTGAAATGGGATCTTTACAGAGATTGTCTGGAATCTGTTTTTTCACTTCAGTGTCCTGTTGTTTGTAACTAGTATATAGAATTACAGTAGATTTTTTTGTGTATATTGATTTTATATCCTTCAATATTACTAAACTCACTTATTCTAGTAGTTTTTTTTTGTAGATTCCATCAGATTTTCTGCATAGAGGATCATGTGGTCTGTGAATAAAGGCAGTTTTACTTCTTCCTCTCTCAGTCTGGATGTTTATTCACTCCGTTTTTTTGACTCCCCACTGCCTTTCTTTTGTCTGATGATTACACTGACTAGAAACTCCAGTACAATATTGAATAGAACAGTTGAGAATGGCCATCCTGAGAAAAATAGTATTTCACTTCTGTGTGATGTTAGTTGTAGTTTTTTTTGTAATGCCCTTTATCAGATTGAAGACATTCTTTTGTAGTTCTGGTTTTCTGTGAATTTTTGGAATGGATGTTGGCTTTTGTCAAATGCTTTTTCTGTATCTGTAGAGATGATCATACAGTTTTTGTTGTTGTTGTTGTTGTTGTTTTGAGACGGAGTCTCACTCTGTTGCCCAGGCTGGAGTGGTGCAGTGGCATGATCTCGGCTCACCACGACCTCTGCCTCCCAGGTTCAAGCGATTCTCCTGCTTCAGTCTCCCAAGTAGCTGGGACTACAGGCACACGCCACCATGCCTAGCTAATTTTTGTATTTTTAGTAGAGACAGTCTTTCACTATGTTGGCCAGGCTGGTCTCGAACTCCTGTCCGTGTGATCCACCTGCCTCGGCCTCCCAAAGTGCTGGGATTAAAGGTGTGAGCCACCACTCCTGGTCTCAGTTTTTTATTTTATTTATTTTTTAAAGCTTATTAATATGGTAAGTTACATTTATTTTGAATGTAAGTCAATCCTGCCTACCTGGAATAACCCCATTTGGTCATGTATTATCCTTTTAATGTATTATTGGATTCTATTTGCTACATTTTTGTTTAGAGTGATTGCATTTCAGTTCATAAATACGTATTTGTCTGTAGTTTTCTTTCCTTCCAATATCTTTTTCTGGTTTTAGGATCAGAATCATACTGGCCTCGTGGAATGAGTTGGGAAGTATTCCTCCCTCGTCAGTATTTTGGAAAAAATTGTGTAGAGTTGGTATTGTTTTTCTCCTTAAATATTTGGTAAAATTCACCAGTGAAACCATCTGTTTCTGGAGTTTTCTTTGTGTGAACTTTTAAAGTTCAGTTTCTTTAATACGTATAAGGCTAACAGTTTCTTCCCAAGTGAGCTTTGATTACTTCTTTCAAGGAATTTGTCCTTTTCAGCTAGTTGTTGAATTTATTGTCATGAAGTTCAGATATTCTCTGGAGTGATATTACCTCTTGTTTGTGATATTGGTCATTTGTGTCTTCTCACTTTTTTTCCCCCCTAATCTGGCTAGAGGTTTATCAATTTTATGAATTTTCTTAAAGAATTAGCTTTTGGTTTTGTTGATCTTTCTCTGTGGATTTTCTGTTTTATATTTTATTGATTTCTACTATGATCTTATTTCCTTTCTTTCTTAGAGTTTATTTTGTTCTTCCAGGTTTTTAGGGTAAATGCTGAAACCTTTTTCTATTTTAATACAGGTGTTTAGTGCTGCAAATTTTTTTCCTGTGTGCTGCTTTATTACATCTTACATCCTGTTGTATTTTCATTTAGTTCAAAATAGTTTCTAATTTATTTCTCTTTTGATTTCTTCTTTGAGCCATAGGTTATTTAGAAGTGTGTTATTTGATTTTCATCTCTTGTGGTGTTTCAACCATTTACATTTAATATGATTTTTAGTAAGGTTAGGTTTGACTCTGTCATCTTACTAGTAGTTTCTTCTGGTTTTGTTCCCCTCTCCCTCTTTTTCTGCCACCTTTTGGATTGAATATTTTTAATGAGTCTCTTTTAATATCCATTGAATATTATACTGTTGGGTGCTGGATATTTTTGTATTCCTATAAATGTCCTTGAGCTTTGTTCTGGGATGCGGTTAAGTTACTTGTAAAGGCTGGGCACAGTGGTTCACACTTGTAATCCCAGCACTTTGAAAGGGCAAGGTGGGAGGATTGCTTGAGGTCAGGAGTTTGAGACCAGACTGGGCAACATGGCAAGACCCTGTCTCTACAAAAGAGAAATTTAAAAAATTAGCTAGGTGTGATGGTGTAAACCTGTTGTCCCAGTTACTCGTGAGGCTGAGGCAGGAGGATCACTTGAGCCCAGGGGATCGAGGCTGCAGTGCGCAGTGTTGGCACCAAAACAATCATCCAAAAGAGTTTGAGGGACTAGTGCCTGTTCGTAGCAAGACTGGAAAAACCTCAAAATTTGTAAAGTTACTTGTAAATAGTTTGATACCTTTAGGTTTTGCTCTTTTAATTTGTTAGGGAGTCTGAAGCACTGATCATTCTTGGGTTAATTATTCTCCACTACTGAATCAGTATTTTTTGCTGAGTACTCTATCCAATGCCCTTTAAATTTTGAGGTTTTTCAGTCTTGTTAGGAACAGGCATTGTGTTCCCTCAGACTCTTTTGGATGGTTGTTTCTCCAGCCTCGGGTAGTTTCTTCACACAGCTGTGCTGATCAGTAGTACACTGCTAAGTACTCCAGGGAAGCCTCTTTAGAGCTCCTGGGTTCTTTCTCCGTGCAGTTCTTTTCCTCTTTGGTACTCTGTCCTATGAACCTTAGCTGCCTTGGTCTTCTGAACTCTGTCTCAACTCATGAAGTCTACTGAGCTTCATGAAGCCTTCTGCCTCAGTTTATTCTCTTGCTCCATACTCTGGGAACTAACTACTGAGGCAGCCATAGGGCTTACCTCATTTGTTTTCCTTCTCTTAAAGAGCACTGGCCTTCATTGCCTGATGTCCGTTGTCTTAAAACCCATTGTTTTATTACTTTGTCGGGGTATTTTGCTGGTTGCATCAGGTGGAAGGGTGAATTTGGTCCATGTTAACTCTTTTTTTTTTTTAAGTTTTAAAATTGAGAGACAATTCATATAATGTAAAATTCTGTATTTGAAAGTATTCAAGTAAGTGTTTTTTAGTATATTCACAATGTTGTACAACCATTACCACTATTTTGTTTCAAAACATTTCTATCAGCCCCAAAAGAAACCTCTTACCCGTTAATATGGGTTCATTTACAAGATAGGATTTATTTTTTGTTTCTTTTTGTATTCCCCGTTGGGTTCTTTCTTCCAAATCCCTGTTGATTTTAATTTTTTATTTTTTGAGCATGTCAAACGTGGTTCTAAAATTTGGAACTCTACAAACAGTATGCTTAGAAAAATTTCCTCTCCCCTCCTCTCCCTTGTCTATTCTCTCTCCTCTTCCCTGTCCCCTCCCTTCCCCTCGGTCTCACTCTGCTGCCCAGGCTAGAGTACAGTGGCAAGATTTCTGCAGCCTCAACTTCCAGGCTCAAGCAATCCTTCCACCTCAGCCTCCCAAGTAGCTGGCACGTGCCACCTATTTTTGTTTATTTTTTGTGGAGACTAGACATCAGTATGTTGCCCAGGCTTGTCTTGAACTCCTAGGCTAAGCAGTCTTCCTTTCTCATCTTCTGAAAGTGCTGGGATTACTGTGTGAGCCACTGCACCCAGCCCCTATTCTTTCTCATTCTTGACTAATACATGAACAATTTTTATGATGGTTTCTTGGGTACTTGGGAAGGAGGGGCCATTTGGGCATAAAGTCTGATATATAGGTTTAAGATCAACCTTATTAAGTTGCTTAGGTGTTCACTTGATTTGTTTTATGCTGATAGTGGTATATTAAAGTTTGCTGTTATTAGTGTGTTTTTATTTATTGGTACTTGCATATCTGGTAGCTTTTGCTTCATAAAATGTTTGCTTCATTACTTGCTGTAAAAATAATCATAAATGCTAAATCTCTATTGTGGATTGTGATTTTTTTTTTTTTTTTTTTTGTAGCATTAAAAAGTCATCTTTTTGGCTGGGCATGATGGCTCATGCCTGTAATCCCAGCACTTTGGGAGGCCGAGGCAGGCGGATCACTTGAGATCAGGAGTTTGAGACTGGCCTGGCCAACATGGTGAAACCCTGTCTCTACTAAAAATATAAAAATTAGTCAGGCATGGTGGTGTGCACCTGTAATCCCAGCTGCTCGGGAGGCTGAGGCAGGAGAATTGCCTGAACCTGGGAGGTGGGGGTTTCAGCGAGCTGAGATTGTGCCACTGCATTCCAGCCTGGGCAACAGAGCAAGACCCCATCCCCCCAAAAAAAGTCATCTTTTCTATGGTCATATTTAATTTTCTTTGGCTTGAATTCTACTTGTATTAGGATCTGCTTGCATTTCTTATTGTCTCCATTTACCTGGTAAACTTTTGTCCGTCCCTTTATTTTTACCCTTTCTTAACCATCTTTGAGTAAGCTCACAAAAATTCAGCTTATTCTATTTTTTCCTCTTCCTCCTTGCATTTTTAGTTGCATTATTTTCATTTAGAGGAGGAATTTTTTTTTTTGGTGTACAGTGTATAGTTGAGCCTTGGATTACAAGCCAAATTGAAAACCTTTTTGTTTTAGTAGGTGAGTTAAATTCATTCACATTTGTTGATATGCCTGAATATGTATGGGATATTGGCCTATAGTTTTCTTAAAGTATCTTTGAGTTTGAGAAGGATTTGTGTCCATCCTTCTTGAAATGTTTGGTAAAATTCTCCAGTGAAGCCATCTGGTCCTAGGCTTTTCTTTGTTGAGAGGTGTTTTGATTACTGACTCAGTCTTCTTAATTATAAGAAGTACTTAAAAGTAAGTCTTATAATTGTTATATATTACTGGTGAATTAACTCATTTGTCTTTATGTATCTTTATGTCTTTGATGGTTTTTGACTAAAGTCTCTTTTGTCTGATAGAAGTATGGACATCTCTGCTTTCTTTTGGTTACCATTTACATGGAATATCTTTTTCCATCTTTTCACTTTCAGGCTATGTTTGTCCTTATGTCTAAAGTGAATCTCTTGTAGATAGCATGTGGTCGGAGTCTTTTTGTTTTTCACGCCATTCATCTACTCTATCTCTCACATGCTGACTTCCCTTTGTGCTTCGTTGATTTTGTTTTTTATAGTGACATACTTTTATTTCTTTCATTAATTTTCTTGAAGGTATTTGTGGTGTGATCATCATGGGGATTACATAAAACATCTTACAGTGGCAACAGTCTAAAAACTTAAAAGCAATTTATTTTTGTATACAAAAACTATGCCTTTTGCTCACCACCGCTTAATATTATAGTGTCAAAATTATATTTTTTGTGTTTTGTATGCATTAACATAGTTTTTTAAAAATGTTTTTGTCTTTTAAGTTGTATACCAGAAATTAAAATAATTTGCATACCACTATTACAGTAGTATAGGTTCTCTATTTGCCTATATATTTACTTTTACCTAAGTTTTATATTTTTGCGTGGTTTCTTGTTGTTGTCTAGCATCCTTTTGTTTCAACTTGAAGGACTCCCTTTAGCAATTTTTATAGGAAGGGTCAGTAGCGATGAACTCCCTCAGTTTTTACTTATCTGGGAGGTTTTTATTTGTCTTTCATTTTTGAAGAACATTTTGTCAGATATATCATTCTGTTCTGACAGTTTTTTTCTCTCAGTCCTTTGGATATATTACTCTGTTTCCTGAGCTGTAACGTTTCTGCTGAGAAATGCACTGATAAATCTATGAGCTCTCCCTTGTACATGACAAGTTGTTTTTCTCTTACTTTCAAGATTCTCTGTCTTTGACTTTTGATAACTTGATTATAATTATTATAATGTTTCTCAGTGTGTGTGTTGTTGGGCTATTCTAGTTGGAGTCCTTTGAGCTTCCTGAATTTGGATGTCCATTTCCTTAATTGGATTTGGGAAATTTTTGCCATTATTTCTTCAAATAAGCTCTCTGTCCCTTCTCTCTCTAACCTTCTTAAGCTCCTATAATGTGTATATTGGTCCGCTTGATTGTATCCCATAAGTCCCTTAGTGTTTCTTCACATTTCTTCATTCTTTATGTTCCTCTGACTCAAAAATTTCAAATGACTTGTATTTGAATTCACTGATGATTTGCTCTGTTTGATAAGTCTGCTGTTGAACCTCTCTAGTAATGTTTCCAATTAAGTTATCATATTCTTCAACTTCAGAAGTTCTGTTGGATCTTTTAAAAACTAATCTATGTCTTTATTTTCATTTTATACATTAATCATTTTTCTTATTTATTTATTTATTGAGACAGAGTCTCACTCTGTCACCCAGGCTGGAGTGCAGTGGTGCGATCTCGGCTCACTGCAGCCTCTGCCTCTTGGGTTCCAGTGATTCTCATGCCTCAGCCTCCCAAGTATCTGGGATTACAGGTGTGCCTCACCATGCCTGGCTAATATTTTTGTATTTTCAGTGGAGATGGGGTTTTGCCGTGTTGGTCAGGCTGGTCTCAAACTCCTGACCTCAAGTGATCTGCTGGCCTTGGCCTCCCAAAGTGCTGGGATTACAGGCGTGAGCCACCACGCCTGGCTTTCTGATTTTATTTACTTGTCTATCATTGTTCTCTTATAGTACATTGATCCTCTTTAAGACAGTTATTTTGAATTTTTTATTAGATAATTCATAGATCTTTTGGGTTGTTTTCTTGATTTAGTTTCTTGCTTTATTGGGCTGTTTGCCTGCTTCTTTTTTTCTTATTTTTTGCCATGACTGGTGCATTTGAAAAAACAGGCATCTCTCCCAGTCTTTACAAACTGGTTTTGTCTAAGAGAAGACCTTTGCAGATCAGTCCAGCTAGAGATTCTGGAGATGCATCTTTGTTGTACTTGTATGTGTAATTTCCCAATTAGAGAGGTTTGCTAGTTTCTTTCTCAGGTGTTTGTACTCTCTTGCTCCCTCTTGTCTCTGTGTGTGGTACTGCAGATTCTCTGGTGCTGCAGCAAGCCACTGAGTTCTTTTGTTCTCTACAGTCTCCAGGTTTCCAAAGTATGTTGGTTAAGTCAGTGCTTCAAGTCAGGAAGACAGAATTAGTCCCTTCTACATTCCACCAGATGGTCAGAATATTGGATGCATTTTCCACTCTTCCATTTCCTTCCAAAGGGAAAAGCCATGAACTGGACACTTTTGCCTCATCACACCAAGTTGTGCTGTTTTCTACCTGCTGTGGTGCAGGTTCTCTGGTGCTACACAAAGTTGCTGAGCCCAATTCTGTTCTCAGTGGACCCCAGGTATCCAAAGTATACCAGTCCATCAGGCAGACTCCTGAAAAGCCAGAATGTTGGACATAGGTTTCACTCTTCTCTTTCTCTCCTGAGGAAGAAGCCATAAGTTGTGCTTTTTCTCCCAGTAGTGTTGATGTGTGCTGGCTTGGGGGAAGGGCTTATGGCCTTTTAAACCCATTTCAATGCACGTGTTCCTGGCTTTGATCTTGCCTGGGGTACTGCAATTTCTCAGCTGGTTTCTGGATTTCTCAAGGCTTTTTGGACTGTATATTGTACAGTCAGTATGTTTGTGTGGGAATGAGGTATGGGGCTTACTCATCCTCCATCTTGCTCCCTTTACTGGTTTGTAACTTCGTAGTCTTTTGTTCCTAGAAGGTTTTCTTGGAATATAGTTTTAAATATTAGTTCTGTTGCATTGTTTTGTTCTTTAGGAACTCTACATGACTGTCATTCCTTCCTTGCCTGTTGCACATTCTGCTTACCACCTTCTGTCTTACTCATTTTATTTCTCTATTTATCTAATTTTCATTCAATTGGGTATTTGACCAGCTTTATGCAGCACACTTAAAGGTTTTTTGGGACATAATTTTCATTGGGCTTCTAATAATTGTAGTCTTTATTTCTGAGATTTTTTTTTCCCTTTTCTTCCATTTATGAGTAAATTTCTTTCTAGGTCTTCCTACCTCTGCCTTTTATGTTCTTAGTTTTGGAGATTTTCAGATTTCAGGTGATTTTTAAAATTTTTCGTATCCCTAAATGCTACTTTTGAGTATATTAGGTTTGGAGCATTTTTCTTGAACATTTCTTTTTTCTCCCCTCCCCAGAGTGAGAGTTGTTCATCAGTAGAGATATAGCTGAATCTTGTCTTCTCGTTTTAAGATAATTGAATAGATTTATTACATTTTCTTCTGTTCATTTTTTTAGATTTGAGGTATTCACAACATTCTTAGTTTAATGGTACCCTCTTCTATCTGTATAAAATGATGGGCTTTCAACAAGTAGGCAAGGAAGTGCTTTTTTCATTCTAACTCTTTCTAGCTGGTGTTCATAAATCCCTATCATCTCTGATTTTCTGTGGGTCAGATGGGCCCAGTATCTATCCTCTCTCCTGCTCTTTTCAATTTTAGTTTCCCAGAATTTTACGGCACTCTTGTGCTGATGGCCTATCTCATTGTTTTTGTCATTGTGGTTTTATACGTTTTTTAGTCCATTACTAATAAGCTTACATTATAAGGTGGTAGAGTATATAAGTATAGGCATTCAGTCAGCTATCTTTAGTTGGGAGTTTTAAAATAGCAATGAATAATCTTTGGCTATGTGTGTAGCCTAATTCAGTGGATAAATCCTGAAAGCCAGGAAGTTGGGGCATGAACTTGGTAAGATGGAAAAGCGCCAGACAAGGATTCAAATTTCATTCTTGCTGATTTCTACCAGTGTGGCCATAGAACCTTAGTTCATTCGTCCCCAAAAGAAAAACAACAACAACAATAACATACTACTTCTCTGCATCTTGGTACTCATTGTGTATGACTAAAAGTCATGAATTACTTAGTTTTTTTTTTTTTAAAGTCTGCTTTATTTACCATGTAATTTCATGTTTTCAGGGGAAAATAAAAAGTAGAAAGTGTATAATGTCTTTACAGAAACTCAGAAAAATGCTCAAGCGTAATTATAGTAGGTTTCAAAAAGATTTTTCAGAATGTCAAAGTAGCTATAAGAAGTGATTTTGTGTATCTTGGTGGAGAGGTGTATCTAGGTTTCAAAAAGATTTTTCAGAATGTCAAAGTACCTATAAGAAGTGATTTTGTGTATCTTGGTGAAGAGATGTTTCAATTAAAATGCAATATTTTTATAACATTAAAAAACTTTATTTTATAACATTAATATAATTAAAAAGTAATACAGATTTACTACAGAAGATTTAGAAAATACAGAGGGCACACAGAAAAAAATAACAATCACTTAATTAGTTAGCATTTTGTGGTATATTCTATTCATCTAGGCTCCTTTCTCTACATATATATGTATTTATATTTGCTCATGTTATTTTATAACCTGCTTGTTTACTTCATATCCTAGTTTTTTTTTTAAGTGGAGATCTAAAGTTATGTTGTTTTTTTACTGCTGCCTAAGCAAGAGTTCAGTCTTATGTGTAATAGTGTAATTTACATAAGTAATTCCCTGTTTATTGACATTTAGGTGCTCTCTCTCTCTCTCTCTCTCTCTGTCTCTCTTTTTGTCTTATAAACAGTGCCATGATGACCATTTTTATATAGCCATTATTACCCACTTTTTTTGGGGGGGGGGTTGAATTCCATAAACAGAGTTGGTGGGTCAAAGGGATACCTTTTTAAAGGAAAGGAAATCACGTAGTGCCTGTGCTTGAGTTTAGTTATTTTTAAAAGCCTAGTAACCTACCAAAGTATAACGCAGCATGTAACAATGTAACAAGGAATTGATATTACCTCTGTCTACCCTTTCCCCAAAAAAGACAAACCAGAACTCTGGTACCTACTTCCAGGATTCTACATGTTTACAACTAGTCATGTTTATTATATGAAACACAGTCCTCTAAAAACGTTTACTGTATTTTCTTCTGGTTTTTTGGTTTGAGAGACTGTCTCATAATCTGGTGAAAGAAATGAAGATGAGATTTATTTTTAGAGCTAAATTTGGTCTGTAAGTTAAATTGAGGGAGGATGTCATGATCTGGCTCCTTAATTTCTGGATTCAGCTCTGTCATCTGCCAACTCTCTTAACAAGAAGAGAGTCATCTGTGATCTGTTTAAAAATTTTCTCATTTATGAAATTAAAATAAGGCCAGCATGCTGGCTCATGCTTGTAATCCCAACACTTTGGGAAGCTGAGGCAGGATAATTGCTTAAGGCCAGGAGTTCAAGACCAACTTGGGCAACATAGTGAGACTCCATCTCTATAAAAAATTTTAAAAATTATCTAGGTTTGGTGGTACGCACTTGTATTCCCAGCTACTTGAGAGGCTAAGGCAGTGTGTCCGGAATTGGTGGGTTCTTGGTCTCACTGACTTCAAGAATGAAGCCGTGGACCCTCGCGGTGAGTGTTACAGTTCTTAAAGGTGGTGTGTCCAGAGTTTGTTCCTTCTGATGTTCAGATGTGTTCGGAGTTTCTTCCTTCTGGTGGGTTCGTGGTCTCGCTGGCTCAGGAGTGAAGCTGCAGACCTTTGCAGTGAGTGTTACAGCTCTTAAGGCGGCGCATCTGGAGTTGTTTGTTCCTCCCGGTGGGCTTGTGGTCTCGCTGGCTTCAGGAGTGAAGCTGCAGACCTTCACGGTGAGTGTTATAGCTCATAAAGGCAGTGTGGACCCAAAGAGTGAGCAGTAGCAAGATTTATTGCAAAGAGCGAAAGAACAAAGCTTCCACAGTGTGGAAGGGGACCCGAGCGGGTTGCCACTGCTGGCTCCCGCAGCCTGCTTTTATTCTCTTATCTGGCCCCACCCACATCCTGCTGATTGGTAGAGCTGAGTGGTCTGTTTTGACAGGGCGCTGATTGGCGCATTTACAATCCCTGAGCTAGACACAAAGGTTCTCCACGGTCCCCACCAGAGTAGCTAGATACAGAGTGTTGATTGGTGCATTCACAAACCTTGAGCTAGACACAGGGTGCTGATTGGTGTGTTTACAAACCTTGAGCTAGATACAGAGTGCCGATTGGTGTATTTACAATCCCTGAGCTAGACACAAAGGTTCTCCACGTCCCCACCAGACTCAGGAGCCCAGCTGGCTTCACCCAGTGGATCCCGCACCAGGGCTGCAGATGGAGCTGCCGGCTAGTCCCACACATTGCACCCGCATTCCTCAGCCCTTGGGTGGTTGATGCGACTGGGTGCCGTGGAGCAGGGGGTGGCGCTTGTTGAGGAGGCTCGGGCTGCGCAGGAGCCCATGGAGGGAGTGGGAGGCTTAGGCATGGCGGGCTGCAGGTCCCGAGCCCTGCCACACGGGAAGGCAGCTAAGGCCCTGCGAGAAATCGAGCGCAGCACTGGTGGGCTGGCACTGCTGGGGGACCCAGTACAGCCTCCGCAGCCGCTGGCCCGGGTGCTAAGCCCCTCATTGCCTGGGGCCGGCTGCTCCGAGTGCAGGGCTGGCCAAGCCCACGCCCACCTGGAACTCCAGCTGGCCCGCAAGCGCTGCATGCAGCCCTGGTGCCCACTTGTGCCTCTCCCTCCACACCTCCGTGCAAGCTGAGGGAGCAGGTTCCAGCCTTGGCCAGCCCAGAAAGGGGCTCCCACAGTGCAGCGGTGGGCTGAAGGGCTCCTCAAGTGCCGCCAAAGTGGGAGCCCAGGCAGAGGAGGCGCCAAGAGCGAGCGAGGGCTGTGAGGACTGCCAGCACTCTGTCACCTCTCAGCGGGAAGACCACTTGAGCCTAGGAATTTGAAGTTACAATGCACTATGACCATGCCACAGCACCCCAGCCTGGGTGACAGAGTGCGACCCTGTCACTAAAACAAAATAATATTGAATCCTCATATATTAAAGATGTATTTTGATAACTGGATCTAAAAATGTTTTGTACTTTGGGGAAAGTGAAGTATGTATCCAAAGAATTGCTTTAAATACATATGCTGCCATTTAGCTCAGTTTCTTCTTATTTACCCATATCTGTAGATCATCAGCATTACTAGGACAGGTTTTTCATCTTTATACTAACACTCTTCTCTAGTAAGGATGGAGTAAAGAACCCTGGAATTAGTCTTGAAATTTGATTCTCTTGTAAAATGATGCCATAACTAAGAGCAAATCACCTGTTTCTTGAGTCTTATTTATAAAATAATATAAATATCTACCAATATATCCCAAGATTGTGAGGACCTAATAAGCACATGATTGCAGAGGCTCTCTGAGAACTGTAAAACATTACATAACTGCAAGGTGACATTGTATATTTCATCACTTTCTGTGACCAGCAAGGTGAGATGTAAGAAAAGTATAGGAGAACATGGGCTTAAATCGTTAGAAATTACTGATTCCAGCCTTGGCTTCCTAGTTCTTTGATGTTGTTTGTTGTTGTAGGTGTGTGGTTCTCACTGCCTTAGAGCAAAAGTTTGTTTTTTGAGAGAGAGAGGGTCTTGCTCTATCTCCCAGGCTGGAGTGCCGTGTTGCAGTCACAGCTCACTGCAGCCTCCCATTCCTGCGCTCAAGTGATCCTCCTGACTCAGCCTCCAAAATAACTAGGACCACTGATGTGAGCCACCACATCCAGCTAATTTTTATTTTTTTAATAGAGAATCATAGTCTCACCATGTTGCCCAGGGTGGTCTCGATCTCCTAAGCTGAAGCGATCCTCCTGTCTTGCCTCCCAAAGTGTTGGGATTATAGACATAAGCCACTGCGCCTGGCAAAAGTTTTTACTACTAATAGATTCTAACTAAATTTGTAGTAATACTTGAATGGGAAAATGTATTTGGTGTTCCAACTTGGGATTCTGCCCTATTAAGAAAAACATATTTCTGCCTGGCACTGGAAGCCCTTTTCTCAAGCCCCTTTTTTTTTTTTTTTAAATGTTTCTGGACCTTTGTTCATTTTGGACATAATGTTTTCTCTGCCTCGCTTATTTATTTCTTCTTTTGCCCTGCTAAATCCCTATTGATCCTAAAAGTCAATAGTTTAGATTTTACTTTCTTTGGGCATCTTTCCCTAACCTTCCAAGATGAGTGGTTTGACTAGTTGAGATTGGACATGCTTGTGAAGTTCAAACATGATTGCATACTTCATTATCTCTCTCTGACTAGGTGAGTTTCTTAATGGCAGAGACTGTTTCTCATTCAACAGTTCTCAATAACAGGATAATATCCGGTGTTTAATAGGTGTTCTCAAGTGTATAGAAATGATGCCTACTGATAAATAATTTTTAATTCATGCATTGTAGCATATTCAGCCATCTAGTTTCGTTTACTCTAGTGCACTTCTATATCTTGAGGCCGGATATTTATTTCGTTTGGAGGTTGATAAATGTTCACTTAGAAAGCCTCTGTGGTGCTTAAGGACCCTGAAATATTTGTTGAGCCAACTTGGTCACTATAAACATAGAATGAAGTTGACAGAGAAATTGATGGCATTGAGGTAAGATGAGTCATAGATTCTAGACCTGAGTGAAGAAATAAGAGCTATAAGGGAATCTGATGAAGAAAATGGAAAGGTCAAGAAGCTGGAGATTTTCATGAATTTGAAGACTAGGCATAGTGAGTGAGAAGATATGTGTGAACTCAGGGAATAGGAAGTAGAAATTGTATTCAGAAGAGGACCAGTATATAAAGAAACAAAAGCATAAAACAGTATGCTGTTACTGGGGAATAGCAAGAAGGTTGCTGTAATTTTAGAGAAGGATATTTGGGAGAGGTATGGTGCTAGAATGATAATAGGTTGGACTGCTTCAGATGAGACATGTTTGTCAAGCTCAAAAAATGAGACTTTATCCTGTAGATGGTGGGCAACTTGCCTTTTTCTTTAGTATGATGTAGAAGCTCCATGAGCTTATGGTGTGCCAGGCACTGGGGACAAAGTGGTAGATGCAAAACAGACACATTGTCTTGCCCCACAGTCCAGTGGAAGAAGGAGGCAGAAATCACATGGTTACAAAAACAGATATAAACGTCCACTTCTGAGAAGCCTATGCTGGAAAGGTGTGTGTTTCCGAGAACTGATAAAAGAGATTTTTTTTTTCCACTTAGGATGGTCAGATTTCACTGAAGACGTGACATTTTAAATGTGGACCAGAAGGGTTTATTTAGGAGAAGTAGGGGATTGTTATTGGGGGAGGGGGCTGTGTGGAGAATGGCAGGTAGGAGAAATAGTAATTCATGTTGCTGTTTCAGAGTTTACAAATCTCTCAAAGGCTACATTTGTTTAATTTTGTTACAGGCAGTAAGACCTTATCAAAACACAAATGGGTAGTTTGAATATATTAGGGTTTTCTTAAAAACAGTTTTGACTGCGATCGACAATAAAAAACATTTTACAAACGTATATGACTGAAATAACTTTTTACATTCAGTACTCTCTGATTTTTTTTCTTTTCCGTAAAAAAAAATTGCTGACTATGACCTATTAGTGGGTGCAGTTTGAAAAACATGGGGTAAAATGACTGGTTAGGTTTGTTTGTTTGTTTGTTTCTTTCTTTCTTTTTTAATTATACTTTAAGTTCTAGGGTACATGTGCACAACATGCAGGTTTGTTACATAGGTATACATGTGCCATGTTGGTTTGCTGCACCTATTAACTCGTCATTTACATTAGGTATTTCTCCTAATGCTATCCCTCCCCCTACCCCCTACCCGACAACAGGCCCCCGGGGTGTGATGTTCCCCACCTTGTGTCCAAGTGTTCTCATTATTCAGTTCCCACCTATGAGTGAGAACATGCGGTGTTTGGTTTTTTGTCCTTGTGATAGTTTGCTCAGAATGATGGTGTCCAGCTGCATCCATGTCCCAGCAAAGGAAATGAACTCATCCTTTTTTATGGCTGCGTAGTATTCTGTGGTGTATATGTGCCACATTTTCTTAATCCAGTCTGTCATTCATGGACATTTGGGTTGGTTCCAAGTCTTTGCTATTGTGAATAGTGCCGCAGTAAACATATGTGTGCATGTGTCTTTATAGTAGCATGATTTATAATCCTTTGGGTATATACCCAGTAATGGGATTGCTGGGTCGAATGGTATTTCTAGTTCTAGATCCTTGAGGAATCATCACACTGTCTTCCACAATGGTTGAACTAGTTTACACTCCCACCAACAGTGTAAAAGCATTCCTATTTCTCCACATCCTCTCTACCTTGTCATTTTATGTTTATAAAGTTATTATCAGTATTCATAAGCCTTTATCTCCACTAATTAATGAGTAGTGTTTTTGACCTGTGGTTACTGGGGTGCATTGAGTGCACACCAAAACCCTTGTTCAGTTTTAAAACTAAATATGTTTTGAAAACTCTCCAATACATAATCTTATTATTGTATAGAGTTTTTTTTGGGAGGAAAGTTGCAGAGAGTCGAGTTACTCATATACCTCAGTTTTGTGGTACGTTGTTACTGTTGGTTTCTACAAGGGCCTTCTCTTTTCCTCTCCTCCCCTCCTCTCACTGTATTTTCATTTTTATTATGGAATTATTAAACATACACAAGTATAATGAATCTCCATGTGGTCATCTTCTGCAGTTAATCACATATGGCCAATCGTGTTTTGTCTCTGACACTGTAGTCCAATACGGCCTGAATTTGAAAGGGTATTGCAAGACTCCTCTCTGGTTTCCTTTATTCTGTTCTCTCTCTGCTACTCCCATTCTTTTCTCTACCCTCTCAGGCAACCAACTAATATATTTAATGTGTCTCTTTTGGCAAAATCCATACTGTTTTATGTACATTTGCTTTTAATTTATAGAAATCACATGTTATATCTGATTCTATTTCTTACAAGTTTTCTGAATTAACACTGCTTTTTTTTTCCTTATTCACAAAATATATCACAAGGATCTTAAATTTTTTTTTTTTTAATTTCAATAGCTTTGGGGAAACAGGTGGTGTTTGCTTGCTTGGAAAAGTCCTTTAGTAGTGATTTCTGAGATTTTGGTGCACCCATCACCTGAGCAGTGTACACTGTACCCAGTGTCTAGTCTTTTATCCCTTAATCCCCTCTCATCCTTCCTGCCAAGTCTCCAAAGTCCATTATATCATTTTTTTTTTTTTGAGATGGAGTCTTGCTGTGTTGCCCAGGCTGGAGTGCAGTGGCATGATCTCGGCTCACTGCAACCTCCACCTCCCGGGTTCAAGCAATTCTCCTGCCTCAGCCTCCCAAGTAGCTGGGACTACAGTCATGCACCACCACTGCCGGCTAATTTTTGTAATTTTAGTAGAGACAGGGTTTCACCATGTTAGCCAGGATTGTCTCGATCTCCTGATCTCGTGATCCACCCACCTCGGCCTCCCAAAATACTGGGATTACAGCTGTGAGCCACCACACCTGGCCCATTATATCATTCTTATGCCTTTGCATCCTCATAGCTTAGCTCCCACTTATAAATAATAACGTGATGTTTGGTTTTCCATTCCCGAGTTACTTCATTTAGAATAATGGTCTTCAACTCTATCCAGGTTGCTGCAAATGCCATTATTTCATTCCTTTTTATGCCTGAGTAGTATTCCATGGTATATATACACCACATTCACTCCTTAGTTGATGAGCATTTAGGCTGGTTTCATATTTTTGCAATTGCAAATTGTACTGCTGTAAATGCGTGCAAGTGTCTTTTTCATATAATGATTTCTTTTCCTTTGGGTAGTTACCCGGTAGTGGGATTACTGGATCAAATCTACTTTTAGTTCTTTAAGGAATCTCCATACTGTTTTTCCATAGAGGTTGTACTAGTTTACATTCCCACCAGCAGTGTAAAAGTGTTCCTTTTTACCACATCCACACCAACATCATTACTTTTTAATTTTTAAATTATGGCCATTCTTGCAGGAGTAAGGTGGTATCTCATTGCAGTTTTGATTTGCATTTCACTGACGATTAGTGATGTTGAGCATTTTTTCATTGTTTGTTGGCCATTTATGTATCTTTCTTTTGAGAATTGTCCATTCATGTCCTTTGCCCACTTTTTGATGGGATTGTTTTTTTTCTTGCTGATTTGAGTTCCTTGTAGATTCTGAATATTAGTCCTTTGTTAGATGCATAGTTTGCAAATATTTTCTCCCACTCTGTGGGTTGTCTCTTTGCCCTGCTGATTATTTCTTTTGCTGTGCAGAATCTTTAGTTTAATTAGGTCCCATCTATTTATCTTTGTTGCATTTGCGTTTGGGTTCTTGGTCATGAACTCGTTGCCTAAGCCAATGTGTAGAAGAGTTTTTCCGATGTTATGTTCTAGAATTTTTATGGTTTCAGGTCAGTTGATTTTTGTATAAGGTGAAAGCTGAGGATCCAACTTGATTCTTCTACACGTAACAGTGCTTCTAAGATGCATCACATTGTATATGCATCTGGACTGTTGATACCAACTGTTTGGTAATATTCATGATGAGCATCTACCACATTTGACTTCCCTACTGTCCCACTCATAGATACCCACGTTGCCTCAAACTTTCCTCTACAGCGGATACCATTTCAGTGAACCCCTATGCCTACTTACATACCTGCGTGAGGTTTTCTTTGGGTTATACAGTCAAGACAGGAGTTGCTAGTTCACAGATTATGCAGATTCAGTTTGAGTAATTAATCACGTTGCTCTCTGGAATGGTAGAAAGTCTGTGCTTCCATAGTCATACATGCCGGAATTTGTATCATATCCTTGCCAACACTTGGCATTATTTTAGTTTTTTATTTTTGCCAGCCTAATCAGTATAAATCGTCTCATAAAATTTTTTAAACTTGTGTTTTTCTGATTACTAATGAATTTGCACATCTCTTCACATACTTGTTAGCCTTTTGGGTTTTCTCTTCTGTAAATTGCCTATTTATATCTTTTACCCATTTTTCCTTTAGGGTTACTTTTCCTGTTAATTTGCAGGAGTTTCTTATATATTCTTGATAGTAATCATTTATAGGTTTTAGACATTTAAAATAACATACTATTTTGTCATAAATTTATTAACTTTGTCCGTGGTGTCCTTTATTGAACAAAAATTTTTAATTTTAATATAATGGATTTCGTTGAGTTTTTTTTTTCTTTATTGTTCGTACTTCTGAAATTTTAAGGAGTTCTCTGCTCTTACAGCTGAAAGATATTTCCCTTTGTTTTCTTCTGTCTATGGTTTTATTTAGCATGTTTAGATATATACAGATATTGTAGGTTTGGTTCCAAGCCACCACAATAAAGCGAGTAACACTAAATAAAGCAAGTTACATGAATATTTTGGTTTCACAGTGCATATAAAAGTTATGCTGGCTGGGCACGGTGGCTCACGCCTGTAATCCCAGCACTTTGGGAGGCTGAGGTGGGCAGATCACGAGGTCAGGAGATCGAGACCATCCTGGCTAACACGGTGAAACACCGTCTCTACTAAAAATACAAAAAAATTAGCCGGGTGTGGTGGCGGGAGCCTGTAGTCCCAGCTACTCAGGAGGCTAAGGCAGGAGAATGGCGTGAGCTCCGCTTCGGGGGGCAGAGCCTGCAGTGAGCCAAGATTGCGCCACTGCACTCTAGCCTGGGCGACAGAGTGAGATTCCATCTCAAAAAATAAAAATAAAAAAATAAAAGTTATGCTTATACTATACTGTGGTCTATTACGTATGCACTAGCACTGTGTCTAAAATATATCCATTCCTTAATTTTAAAATGCCCTATTGCTAAAAAATGGTTGCTAACGGTCATCTGAGCTTTCGGTTATTCACAATCTTTTTACTGTTGGAGGGTCTTGCCTTGATGTTAATGGCTAGACTGATCAGGGTAATGTTTGCTAAAGGTTAGGTGGCTGTGGAAGTTTCTTATAATAAGACAATAGTGAAGTTTGCTGCATCAGTTGACTCATGAAAGAATTTGTTGTAGCATGTGATGCTGTTTGATAACATTTTACTCACAGTAGAACTTTTTTCAAAATTGCATTCTCAAACCCTGCTCCTGCTTATCAACTTTGTATAATGTTCCAAATCCTTTGTTGTCAGTTCAGCAATGTTCACAACATCTTCACCTGCAGTAAATTCCATCTCAAGAAACCACTTCCTTGCTCATCCATAAGAAACAACTCCTCATCTGTTCAAGTTTTATGAAATTGCCACAATTTGGTCACATAATATTCTGAACAGGCTCCACTTCTAATTCTAGTTTTCTTGCCATTTCCACTACATCTTCAGTTACTTCCTTTACTGAAGTCTTGAACTCCTCAAAGTCATCCATGAGGATTAGAATTCCCTTCTTTCAAACTCCTGTTAATGTGGGCATTTTGACCTCTTTCTATGAATCATGAATGTTCTTAATGACATCTACAATAGTGAATCCTTTTCAGAAGGTTTTCAGTTTACTTTGCTCAGATCCATCAGAGGAATTTATGGCAGCTATTGCCTTACAAAATGGATTTCTTAAATAAAAACTTGAAAGTCAAAATTACTTTTAATCCATGGACTGCAGAATGAATGTTGTCTTAGCAGGCATGAAAATAGCATTAATCTCCTTGTTCATCGCCATCAGACTTCTTGGGTGACCATATGCATTGTTGGGTAGTTGTATTTTAAACTAATTTTTTTTTCCCTGAGCAGTAGCCCTCAACAGTTAGCTTAGAATATTTATTAAACCTGTAGAGCACAGGCAGAGTAGATTTAGCGTATTCTTGAGGGCCTTAGGATTTTTGGAATGGTAAATGAGCATTGACTACAATTAACATTACCAGCTGATTAGCCCCTAACAAGAGAATCAGTCTGTTCTTTGAAGCTTTGAAACCAGGCGTTGACGTTTCCTCTCTAGCTGTAAAAGTCCTAGATGGCATCTTCTACCAGTAGAAGGCTATTTCATCTACATTGAAAATCTATTATTCAGTGTAGCCACCTTCATCAGTGATCTTAACTAGATCTTCTAGATGACTTGTGATGTTTCTCCATCAGCACTTGCTGCCTCACCTTGCGCTTTTATGTTATGGAGATGGATTTTTGCCTTCAACCTCATGAGCCAATCTCTGCCATCTTCTAACTTTTTTCCTGTAGCTTTTTCACCTCTCTCAGCCTTCATAGAATTGAAATGCCTTGCCCTGGATTAGGCTTTGGCTTACGGGAATGTTGTGGCTGGTTTGACATTGACCACTGACCAGACCACTGAAACTTTCTCTGTCTCACCAATAAGGCTGTTTTGCTTCGTTATTATTTGTGTGTTCACTAGAGTGGCACTTAGTGAGCTTAAAAAGGAGCAGAAAATGTGGCTTTATAATATTTTGTGATTTCTAGTAGGCAGGTCTCCGTTCTCATGCCACATTTTCTGCTGCTTTTTAAGTTTACTTAGCTATTCCTAGACTTCTGTTCCTTAGCCAAATTTCATGGCATTTTTCTTAAATATGCTTTCTTGATTTAACTTATTCTGACAAAATGCCAAAGAGATGCTGACTATGATGTAGTATAGATGATTATTTGGGGAAAAGCAGGTATGACTTGATTGGATCTGACAAAACGATGCTGCTTGTGGGAGTCCCAATAGCTGCCCTGGCTTACTGTTCACTTGTCTATGGCATAGAAGCTTGTTTGCCCACTTCCTCATATTGTATTTCTTTTCTTTCCCGTTTGTTTTTATGTCTCTGTCTCTCTGCTTTCTTTAACGGTAATTACTGGCAGAAGATCATGAAATTAATTATTTTCTTATTATTTGGTATCTATCCCCCTCTATCATCTTACCTTCCTTTTAAAGTACTAGTTATAATCAAACTAATCTACTGTGTATTTTGCATAGAATGGACCTTCAGTTTAATTTTATTTATGTCTTGCTGAACGAAACTTTTCTTTTTGGATCACTGCACTAATTCCTTTTGTATAATAACATTTCACATACCCTAAAGGCTTGAATGAAATTAAGACCTTCTAATTTCCAAAAAAATGGTGTAATATCTTAGGATTAAGAATTTTGGCTTTGCAAGACTTGGAACCAACCCAAATGTCCAACAATGATAGACTGGATTAAGAAAATGTGGCACATATGCACCATGGAATACTATGCAGCCATAAAAAATGATGAGCTCATGTCCTTTGTAGGGACATGGATGAAGCTGGAAACCATCATTCTCAGCAAACTATTGCAAGGGCAAAAAATCAAACACCACATGTGCTCACTCATAGGTGGGAATTGAACAGTGAGAACACATGGACACAGGAAGGGGAACATCACACACACCAGGGCCTGTTGTGGGATGGGGGGAGGGGGGACGGATAGCATTAGGAGATATACCTAATGCTAAATGATGAGTTAATGGGTGCAGCACACCAACATGGCACATGTATACATATGTAACAAACCTGCACATTGTACACATGTGCCCTAAAACTTAAAGTATAATAATAATAAAATTTTAAAAAAAGAATTTTGGCTTTGCATATATATGTATATCCTGAATTGTGTTTCTGTTTTGTTACTTAGAACTGTTTGACCTCAACAACTTACAAAACATCCTTATGCCTCAGTTTCTTTATATGCATTTTGCATAGCTTGACATATAGTAGGAATCCAGTAAAGATTTCATTTATTCATTCAGTTAATGTATGTTAAGCAGCTTCTATATTTTGGCCATTGTACTAGGCATTAGGGATAAGAAATTAACAAAACAAGCAAAAATCATTGCCTCCTTGGAACTTACTTTATGCTAGGGGGAGAGGGGCAGTAAACAAATGAGATCTTTACTATGATGTTGCAAAGTGGTATGGAGGAAAGTAAAACAGGAAAGGTATGGAGGAAAGTAAAACAGGGAAGGAATGCTAGAGGAGGAGTACTCTTTTAGATTAGAAAAAAAAGTCACGGAAGGCCTCTCTGCTAAGATAAGACTGGAAGCAATTTTGAAAGCAGACCGTTTGGATATATAGAAACAGCAACATCAGTGTGGCTAGAATTAAAGATTGGAGAGGAGAGAGGTTGGAAATGAGATAAGAGAGATGCAGAGTCTTGTAGGTCATTGAGTGAAATTTTTTTTTTTTTTGAGACGGAGTCTCGCTGTGTCGCCCAGGCTGGAGTCCAGTGGCGGATCTCGGCTCACTGTAACCTCTGCCTCCTGGGTTCACGCCATTCTCCTGCCTCAGCCTCCTGAGTAGCTGGGACTAGAGGCACCCGCCACTACGCCCGGCTAATTTTTTTTGTATTTTTAGTAGAGTCGGGGTTTCACTGTGTTAGCCAGGATGGTTTCGATCTCCTGACCTTTTGATCCGCCCATCTTGGCCTCCCAAAGTGCTGGGATTACAGGCATGAGCCACCACCCAGCCATTGAGTGATTTTTAACCTTTACTCTGAATAGGATGGAGATCAGAAATCCTTTATGGGGTGGGTGGCATGACACGATTTACCTTCCAAAAGGTAAAACTGTTTTATTGGGAATGGGCCATTGTGGGGGAAGGGAGGAAGGAGGGAAAATTCTATTTAGGAGGCTATTTCAGTAAGTTGTGGAAGTAATGAAGTGATTAGAAACTGGATATATGTTATAGGAACTGTTCATTTAACCTTTATTTAAAAATATTTTCTGCCCTGGTAGTAATAAAACTTGTTGAACATAATTTTATCTTTCTTTGAAATATTCAGAATTTTGTACTGTTAAAGTTTGAAGTAATAAATGCAGAAGATACTTAAAATCTGTGATACAAATTTATTTCCTGTAATTTGGAATTTTTCTTTCATCTGGTAGTGGTGACAAACACCTCAATTAATCTAGCAAACAGATTAATTTTTTGTAATTGAAATTTTATATTCTAGTTTCTGAGTATATATTTAATTTTGTTTAAAAAATTCTACTTACAAAAATTGTAATAATCTAAGGTGTTATCAGTATGAGCCACGAGTATTAAGAGAGAATGATGACAATGTAACTGTAGGTCTTTGGCAAAGGAACTATTTATAATTGATTCTTAAAGCACTTTGTGATTATTAAACAAAGTAACTTTTATATAAAATTATGCATTGATTAATATTACTAAAACAACTTATGTTGCCTACTTTACATTTTCCAGGAACATCATTTACAGCGAGCAATTTCAGCACAGCAAGTGTTTAGAGAAAAAAAAGAGAGTATGGTCATTCCTGTTCCTGAGGCAGAGAGCAACGTCAACTATTACAATCGCTTGTACAAAGGAGAGTTTAAACAGCCAAAACAGTTCATTCATATTCAGCGTAAGTTTGTTAATTCATTGTTTTCTGTTTGTACTTTAAATTTATCAACCAGTGGAAATCTTTTCTTTTGTCTAAAGAAATTCTGATTTTTTAATTCATACACACTGATTAATAGATATGTTAAACATTAAAGAATAAAATCCCTCTGTGCTTACATCTGAATTTGGAAATCATTTTGAGTTTTAAGTAACATTTGGAACATTTGATATTTATGTAGTATAGGATTTTGTATAGCACTTATACTTTATTACATAGCTAAAAGGTGGTGGATTACTATACCCAAATGAGATTTCCTTTTTTTTTTTCTTTGAGACAGAGTCTCTCTGTTACCCAGGCTGGAGTGCAGTGGCATGATCTTGGCTCACTGCAACCTCTGCCTTCTGGGTTTAAGTGATTCTCCTGCTTCAGCCTACTGAGTAGTTGGGATTACAGGCGTGTGCCACCACACCCAGCTGATGTTTGTATTTTTAGTAGAGATGGGATTTCGTCTTGTTGGCCAGGCCGGTCTCAAACTCCTGACCTCAGTTGATCCACCCACCTCGGCCTCCCAGAGTGCTGGGATTACAGGTGTGAGCTACCGCGCCCACCTGAGATTTACTTTTAAAGGTCCAGTGGCCCTAATGCCCAGGAGTAGTCTTCTGAAATTTTTCAGAATCAAATCTAATGCCTTTACTTTCATATAGTTTTTATTAAAGAATTCTGTGTAGTTCTGCCTCCTTAATACTCTTACTTTTCTCCCACTGTTAGTATTTAAATGATCACCACCTCTAGCGTGAAGACTTTTAACAATCTCCTGTTATATTTACTGTCCTGTATCTCCTGTCCCTATACTCTTCTAATCTAGCTTCTCTCCAAAAGAACTTCTAGAGTAGGATTTTTCAGCTGATTCCACAGACAGATGCTAGTGTCTTGTTATCTTGTCAGGTGTGTAAAAAAGAAATGTTGGATAGCTTGTTAAAATAGAGATCCCAAGGCTCAACATCCGGCCTAGCTGAAGTATCCACCTGTCTGACAACCTACCTGTATGAGAATCTCTGGGTGTGAAGTCTGGTGATTTGTATTTTTAAAGAGTTCCCTGTGTGATTCTGAAACATCACCAGCTTTAAGACTGACTATAAGATTGACTGCTTTTCATTGATTCTGAGATGCACTGTTTTCATCTTTGCAGTGAAATTGCATCTTAAATTGCTGTTGTTCAGGATTGAAGTCTTGTTCTTCTAAAGAGAATTTTCATTTGTTTCTGCCAGGCATTTGGGGACACTACCAACCGGAGACCACGTTAAAGTTTTTGCTTGTTTGTTTTGTTCATTTGTTTTTGGACCACAGTATTAGCTTTAATTTAGGCTGCAGATCTGCTCAAGGTTCAGTTCTCAGGAAGATTTTTTGCTTCTCCTTTCTACCTAAGGGCAAGTTGAGAAATACAAAATTCTTTGCTTTCCCTTTCTGCATGGCTAATTTATTTCTTTAATCTTACACTGAGGGCATAGCCCTTTGGTAATGTATCTTTATTCAGTAGCATTCTATACTAATATTAACACACAAGCATAAAGCTTTTTTCTTTCTTATGGTATATATAGTAATGTTGTGTCTTTTAATTGATGGCAGTTTAGATTTGATAGAATTCAATAATAGTCATATTCTCTAGTATGAATATTAGGTTCTTTGTAATTTGTTCCCGCTTTCTCCTTTAACGTCATTTATTTTTGCTCTTCCCTTCACTCTGTGTACCATAGGGACTACGAAAATTACCCTCATTCACCTTCTTTCATATTTAACATTTCCTTGGATGTGCTATTGAAGTCTTCTTTCCCTTCCTATAGCTCATTAAAGACTTAACTCCCTTATGAAAGCCACCTTGACTTTTCTCACTCTACCTGTCTTCTTTGCTTATCGTAGTATCTTTTACATACTTCTGTTAGAGGACTCACCATACTTTATTGCAATTATTTGTAACCATTCTTTCTCTCCTTTTAGACTGTGAGCTCCTTGAGGGCAGGAACTATATATTTTATTTTCTTTTGTGTTTTCAGAGTAAAGTGCTTGGTTTATAGATGCTCAATAAATGATGTGTTTGTCGACTGAATTGTTTTAAAATGGCTTTAAAAAGTCTTTTGGTGGTACAGCCATTTTCCACAGATTTCTTTTCTCTGAAATAGTCTAGAGAAACACACATGCGAAAATTATTTATGTATATTTTTTTCTCCTGTGTTCTTTGACTTTGAGTCCTATTAGCTTTTTGAATTTGCCTTTACCTTCTATCAGTCAGGAAGGAGATAACTATTCATAATAGAAATTTTAAGGATCTCTCTTAAGCCAAAGTATCAATTATTTTGTATTTTGATAATATTGCAGTTAGGCAGGAAGACCATTTGTAAAAACCATTCTAGGAAACCAAGAACTAAAAATCGGGTGTAACTCATGTGGGTCAGGCCCATCGAATACAATAAACATTATTCTTGTGTTGGTTTTTTTCATTTCATTTTATTCTATTATTGTAAAAAACAATAAAAATAATAGAAATTATTTTACCTTTCATTTTTTCTTTTAGCTTGTCAGCATATACTGCATACTATACAGTATCTTACTGCACATATGATATTTATTCTGCCTTTCTAGTCATATTTTAAGTTTCTCAGATTTTTATATGTAGTCATTTAAAATGCATATACCATTTTCCATCAGTTTGATATTTCACAATTTGCTTATTGGACTTAAGATTATCTGTACTAAATTTTAAACTCATTACTGATTTTTTCCAAGGAAGGTTAAAAAAAATTTTTTTTATGTAACTTTTTGCTAAGCCTTTAAGGAGTTTCAGAAAATTTCACTCTGGATTTTTCCTTTTCTTCTTTTAATGATAGATTAGAGAGAATCCCCATTCACTTGGCTAGAAAAAAAACATTGTAAAGTTGCCACAGTAGGATGGCCTTGTTCAGGTTCATCACATACTTGCCTGGGCTTTGGCAGAAGCCTCCTTCTTGCCCTAGTCTTTATACCTTCCAATCCATCATCCACTGCCACTGTTGTAATTACTATCCATTTCAAAATTTTCAGTGACTGTCTGTTGACTATAGGATAAAATTTTTAACATCTTTGTGTGATGTATAAGGCACTCCTTTGTGCCTGTCTAGCCATGTTTCCCTATGTGTTCTTCCACTATGACACCAACCTTATTGAAATGAACTGTTTGAGGGTCTTTTTCTTCCTCTACACTGTAACCTCCTCGCGATCAGGGGCTCCATCTTATGGTACTTTAGAATTTTTATTACCTAGTACAGTCCCAGAGTGTAGTCTCAGTACACTTTTCCTTCCTAATTTCTTTAACCCATCATGCTTCAAGCTACACTAATAATGAGATCTTTGTAGCTCTTTGAGTTATGCCTTATTTTGTTATGTCTTCACATAGCCTTTTACTTCTCAACTTGTTAAAATACAACTTGCCTCCAGGATTACCTTTAGGAGCCTTTTTCTGACGTCTCTCAGCATTGTTCTTGGTACTGTTTGCCCCACCCCTCCTGTGTCCAGTGCGTACTTTCGTTGTGGCACTGACCACCTTCAGTTGTGATTGTTTGCCCTCTGTTGGGCAGAGTTTATTGAGAGAAGGGACTTTTTTTTCTTTGAATTTCACTGCCTAGTACAGTACTTATAGCATGTGGTTAGGTGTGCAGTTAAATATTTGCTGAATAAATAAATGAGTGAAAGAATTAATGAAATTAAAAGCATATACTCCATGGCATTTTCGAGCCATCAGTATTTGTTGGACTAAAAATTGTACACAGAATCAAATATAAGGCTAAAATTATTAGTGCATACAGTGAAATTGAGCAACCCGCTGTGTTAGAAATTAAAAGGTGAGTTCTGTTATTCACCAACTGTTAATTTAGCCCAAAAAGTGCCGAGAAGGAGTTGGGAGTGGACTCCAATCTGTTATGAAAGTGAGACAAACATTCTTGTTCCTTCTGATCCCTTTCAGTAGCAGTTCTTCATAGTCACCCTTAATCAGCTTTATGCAGAATTTATTGAATCATAACACATTGAGCTGTCTTTACCAGGTGGGAAGCATCCTGAAGGCACAAAGTCTTTGATGACCTAAGATAGTAAAACACTTCAGTTGTGTGCCACATGCAGAAAAAAACACTACCTACTTTCATTAAGTTACATTTACTTTGGGTTCCTCAACCCAAATGTTATAATTTTCATTCCTCTTGGAGTTCAATAATTTTATTAAATTCAGTACCCAAACTTTTCTCTTTAAGGAAACAACTTTGTTTACATTTCAATAGTATCTTTATTTGATCTCCTATTACCTGTTTTATTTAATATGATAACATTTTACAGTTGATACTAAATATCTTGGAATTGTAGAACACGAAGGAACTTAACATTCTCCTCCCCCCGCCCAAACCCTGGTGACGGAATCTTGCTCTGTTGCCCAGGCTGGAGTGCAGTGGTGCAATATCTGCTCACCACAACCTTCCTCACCGCCCCCACCAGGTTTAAGCAATTCCTCTGCCTCAGCCTCCAGAGTAGCTGGGATCACGGGTGCGTGCCACCACGCCCGGCTAATTTTTGTATTTTTAGTAGAGATAGGGTTTCACCATGTTGGCCAGGCTTATCTTGGACTCCTGGCCTCATGATCCGTGATCTGCCCACCTTGGCCTCCTAAAGTGTTGGGATTACAGGCGTGAGCCATCGCACCAGCCTGACATTGTTTCTTAAGTATTCTGAAGTTAATTTGTATCCAGTTTTGAACTCAGTTAAATAGTTCTTGGTAGCAGGACTCTCTTTTCTTATTTTGAAATGAAAGTTTACTTCCCCCATCTCATTCCCTTAGTCTTACAAACATAGAACAGTAGACGGTCCTGACTGAAAGAAGAGTTCAGGAGAAAGGATAGGTGGAGTAATAACTTGTCATCTGTCAGGCAGAGAGAGGAATGCACTCAAAGGGAATTGAAATGTACCGTTTGTGTCTGCTTCCAAGATTTTAAGCCCTAGCAAAATGCCTGTGTGTGGACACTGCTGTACACTTCTGTACAACTTGAAGCTGACTCCTCAGACTGATAAAGCTGACTGTTGTCAAGTCTACATTGGAAAAGAGAAAAAGTTACACTTACCAACATAAAGTGGACCTGTGTATACCACTAGGTTTTTCAGCATGGTTAAAATAGATGCTGGCCTGACATCCAACTTCAGTCTCATTATCCTTGGAAATGTCTTTTGATATTCTCTGCATTATGCAAAAAATGATAATTGACCTGTTCTTTCAGGGCAAACATATTTTGATTGGAAAGAGTTGGGGAGGATTCAGAACAAATGAAGAGCATTGTTTTGTTTATACAGTAAGACTTATTGGTAGAAAGGATGCATTCCAGGAACATCATTTTCTTGTAAAAAAAATACTATTGGATGTGTATTAAGAAATTGGACATAAATTCTGTGAAAGGACATCACATATTCAAATAAATAAAGACTGGTAAAACAATGCCATGGGTACAGAAGCAGATTTTGTCAGATTTGTGGAGAACACATTACAGGTGAAGCTGGATCTCAATTTCAGGTGATTAGAAGGGACAGGGAATAAGGCCAGCCCCTGAGGGCAACCCACATTCAGATCAGCTAGCTCTAAGGATATTCCTCTCTCCTCAGATTGTGCACTAGCTGCAACCGTGTCCTATTCTTGGGCAAAGCTGTGAGTGTGGACATGGGCTGAAATGGTAGAGTTGTATCTGGGTAGGTACTAATCCAGGAAGGAGGAGAAGCCTCCAAACCTAGAAGATAATAGATATGAAAGGAGGCCAGGCACAGTGGCTCACACCTGTTATCCCAGCACTTTGGGAGGCCAGTGTGGGAGGATCACTTGAGTCCAGAAGTTGAAAACTAGTTTGGACAACACAGTGAGACCTTGTCACTACAGGAGAAAAAAAAGGTAATGCCAGACATTGTGTGAAAAGCAAACTAATCATTGGGTAGTCTGAGATAAATGAAAGAGAAGCCTGAGTTTAAAGGAGAACGCCCCTTCAGGCTATGTGCATTTATTTATGTCCACTTTTCAAAAAAGAAAAAAAGGCATTTGCAGTGACTTAGAGTAAAATACAATGCAATAAATTAAAGACCATGGTTAAAGAAATCAGGGAGAGAATAAAGACACTATAATAAGGTAAATTTGATGTATAGTGGCACATATTTTAGCCATGATGTGATTACAAAATATAAAAGCAGTATTGGTCATAAAGGGTGCATGATTCTTGGTCTTCAAGCATTTTGAACCCTCCTATGGGGCCTCCCAAAGAAGATACCCTGAGGTAACTCAGCAGAACTGATTGTGTTAGGAGGAGTTACCAAAGATAGGCCTTCAGCATATTCACCTAGCAACTAATATCTCCATAAATGATTCTCCAATGATGCCACACTCCCCTGAGAGCACCTTACAGCATCTTGTTTCCCCTACCTTAAGAGACTAAAGGAAATTTGCCTTCTCATCTTACTCAGTAACATAATTCCATGGGCTGTCTACCTACAAAAATATTTTCTCATATGTTTATTTCTTGAAAATTTTAAAGAAGTCTAAACTTTTCCTTCCACAGTTATGGGTAAAAGATAGTAAAATAACATTTACTGACCTCTGTATTTACATCCTGTTATGGTTTGCATACATTTTTTGTATGCTAAGCCAATTATTGCTCAAAGGAGCCTTCTGGACAGATAATGTATTTCTCCCATTTTAAACCTAAGATTAAAGAGCCCAGGGTGATGCAGCTAGCAAGTAGTAGAGTCAGAATTCTAATCCAGGCCATCTGGCTCCAGAGTGTGCCTGTTTAACTGTTTTATACTGCCTCTTAGTCATGGTTCATCATTACAAGTTGCAAATATTTCTACACTTTAAACGTAGAAATTCATTACCATTCAAAGGGGGTTGGTAATAGAATCAGTAATGGATTCTTTTTTTTTTTTCAATGGATAAATTGCAGGGTAGAGGCAGGTTGCTTGCTGATAGAAAAGGCAGACGTGTATAACTGTGATGATGCACTGTTCTCATTTGGCCTGGCAGAAGATTAATGAATGGAAGAGCACTATGAATGGGTCAGAGAAGAGGTGCCAAAGGGAGAAACTTGAAGAAAAGGGAACCATGAGAGTAATACAAGCACACACTTCATATTTTACTGTATTGCCTAGAGTAGTGAGGAGCTCTACTGAAAGGGAGTGAATTTTAGCTTTTGGGAAAGCCTAAGATTCAACTTTTAAAAGGGCCTTTTGAGTTTTATAAATCAAAGACATTAGAGGGAGAACCACTAGGGCAGCAATACAAGCTGATCCTTAAGTGCTTCCATTCAAACACATGCATGCATGTGTGCACGCATACACTAGAAGAACACAAAATAAAAGGGTCAGCCAGGACCTTTGGGTTTTAGGGATTAACTCAGCAGAGCTAGAGAACCCATTCTAGTGCCTTTGGGTATACTGGTTTGCTGCAAGTCCAACCTATCTTTGAAAATAATTCCACAATTTGAATAAAGAGAGGCCCAAATTGGGAAAGGGTGTGTGGCAGTTATTGATTTCTAAGCCTCCAACTAAGCACTGTGCCTGACAAAAAATAAGATTTGCTTTCAATGAAATTGGACCACGTAGGACCTCAGTCAAGTGGGCTTTATTTTCTCTATATGTTAACAAACAAAAAAAAAAAGGTTACTGTACCTTTCATGGTTTTAGAGGAGGCTAAAGTAGATAGCAAGTGATGTAAAGAATGAGAGAATGAAAAGGCAGCCTCTATGATGATGATGTTGCTTTTTAAATGAGATGATTTAGTATTAAAAGAATTGTTTCCTCACTAACATTGTTCTTATTAAGAAACTGAAGTTGTTGTAAATACGCAATCTTCCCTCCATGGAGTTCAGTAAAGCCACCTCCCTGCCCCACCGCCCCCTCTAAAATTGGACCTTGTTTGAAAAAGTTTTCTCATTACTGGCTTAAGAATCTCCTGTTTTGGCTGGGCGCAGTGGCTCGTGCCTGTAATCCCAGCACTTTGGGAGGCTGAGGCGGGTGGATCACGAGGTCAGGAGTTCAAGACCAGCCTGGCCAAGATGGTGAAACCCTATCTCTACTAAAAATACAAAAATTAGCCCGGTGTGGTGGTGCACGCCTGTAATCCCAGCTACTCCGGAGGCTGAGGCAGAAGAATTGCTTGAACCTGGGAGGTGGAGGTTTCAGTGAGCCGAGATCGTGCCATTGCACTCCAGCCTGGGTGACAGCGAGACTCCATCTCAAAAAAAAAAAAAAAAAAAAAAAAATCTCCTGTTTCTCTGATAGAAACTAAGAAAGTAAGCTTTTTTTTTTTTTTTTTTGAGAAGCTGATTTTCATGTTCTGATTATAATGAAAAGTAAAATGTTAATTGTGGAAAAAAATAATAATTCTGTCTCTCCAAGATAATTAACCCAGATAAAAGTTGTATTTTCTTCCCTTTTTTTTTTTTAAAAAAAAAGCATTATACTCTGTGTATGTGTGTATGTGTTTGTGGCTTTCGCTTTTTCACTGACTGTCATAGAGTAAGCATTTTTCCATTGTAATCAAATAATTTTAATAGTCTTTGGAAGCTGTAAATTATTACAAGGAATTAGTTTTATATCCTTCCGTAGTCAGCAGGGATCTATAAGAGGGCCAGTAATGAAGGTTTTTGTTTCTACCTTAATTATTGAGAAGTTTTAGACCCAGATTATTAGTAAACTAGTAATTTGAATTAGTGAAATATGAATTTGTATGTCAAGGAAAAATAAGATTTTAGGCTTTTTAAAAAACAAATAAACTATATTTTAAAACACGATTTTAGATTTACAAAAAAGCCAATAACAAAATTTTCATGTGCTACCCCTACACACTTTCTCCTACTATTAGTATCTTGTATTAGTCAGTACATTTCTTACAGCTAATGATGTTATTAAAGTTCATAGTTACAGTTTGCTCTTTGTATTGTACAGTTTTATGGATTTTGAAAAATGCGTAACATGGATCCATGATTACAGTATCCTACAGAATAGTTTCATCACTCTAAAAACTCCCTGAACTTCGCTGGTACATTCTTCCAAATCCCAGGCAACCACTGATCTTTTTGTTGTCTCTTTAGTTTTGCCTTTCCCAGAATGTCAAATAGTTGGAATTATATAATACATAGCCTTTTCAGATTCTCTCATGTCTTTTTGTTGCTTGATAGCTCATTTCTTTTTATCATTGAATAATGTTTTATTATATGGCTATATCACAGTTTATCCATTCACCTATTAAAAGACATCTTGATTGCTTCCAGTTTCACAGCTATAAATAAAACTGCTCTAAACATTTGTATGTAGGTTTTTGTGTGGCTGTGAGTTTTCAGCTCAATTGGGTATATACTTAGGAGTGCAATTGCTGTAAACATGTTTAGTTTTATAAGAAGCTGCCAAACTGCATGCCAAAGTGGCTGTACCATTTTGCATTCCCACTGACAGTGAATGAAAGTTTCTATTGCCCCGCATCCTTATCATCGTTTGGTTTTGGGTCAGTTTTTGGATTTTAGCCATTTTACTAGGTGTGAGATGGTATGTCACTGTTGTAATTTGCCGTTCCCTGATAACATAAGATGTTGATCACCTTTTTGTTTGATTGACATTATTTATATATCTTCTTTAGTGTGGTGTCTGTTCAGATCTTTTGCCCATTTCTTTATTGGATTGCTTGTTTTATTGTTGAGTTTTAAGTGTTCTTTATATATTTTAGATACGTGTCCTGTAGAGATATGTATTTTGCATATCTTCTTCCTCTCTGTGCCTTGTCTTTTCATTCACTAACAGTGTCTTTCACAGAGTGAAAGTTTTTAATTTTAATGAAGTCCAGCTTAACAATTTTTTTACTTTCATGAATTATGTGTTTGGTATTATTTCTAAAAGCTCATCATCAAACCCAAGGTCCCTGAGATTTTCTCCAGTGTTATTTTCTAAAAGTTTTGTAGACTGCATTTTATATGTAGATCTGTGATCCATTTTGAGTTAATTTTTGTGAAGGGTATAAGTTCTATATCTAGATTCATTTTTTTTCATATGGGATGTCACCGTTCTAGCACTCGTTGTTGGAAAGACTCCCCCCCTCCCCCCCGCCCCGCATTGAATTGCCTTTGCTCCTTTGTCAAAGATCTTTTGTCAAAAACTATATTTGTATGGATCTGTATCTGGGCTCTATTCTGTTCCATTGATCTACTTGTTTACTCTTTTGTCAAATTCTTGCTGTTTTGTTTATAATAGCTTCAGAGTAAGTCTTGGAGTCAAGTAATGTCAGTCCTCTGCCCTTTTTACTTTTTTTTTTTTTTTAGCACCAGTTGCTCTGAACCTAAGTCCTCTGCCTTTTTTCTTCTTTACTCTTGTATTGGCTCTTTGGGGGCACTTGTCTTTCTATATGAACTAGAATCTATTCATCATTGTAACAAAATAACTTACTGGGATTTTTACTGAGACGTTGTTGAATCTGTATCACATTTGAGAAGAATTGACATAATAGTGTCTTCCTGTCCATGAACATGGAATATCTCTGCATTTTTTTATTTCTTTCATCAGACTTTTGCGATTTTCCTCATATAGATCCTCTGCATGTTTTGTTAGATTGATACTTAAGTGTCTTTTTTTGTTGTTGTTCTAATGTAAATGGTGTTGTTCCTTAATTTCAAATACCGAGTGTTCATTTTTGGTCTGTAGGAAAGCAACTGACTTTTGTATATTAACTTTGTATGCTACAGACTTACTATGCTCTAATTAGTTCCAGGATATTTTTAGTCAATTCTTTGGAATTTTCTACATAGACAGTCTTGTCATCTGTAAGCAAAGACAGTTTCATTTCGTCCTAATCTGTATACTTTTTATTTCCTTTTCTTGTCTTATTGCATTAGCCAGGACTTCCAGGATGATGTTGCATAGAAGTGGTGAGAAGGAACATCCTTGCCTTGTTCTTGATCTTAGTAGGAAAGCGTCTGGTTTCTTACACTTGTGATATTAACTGTAGGTTTTCTGTAAAAGTTCTTTATCAAGTTGAAGAAATTCTCCTCTATTCTTAGTTTGCTGAGAGTTTTATCATGAAAGAGGGTTAGATTTTGTCAAATGCTTTTTCTACATCTATTGATATGCTCATGTGATTTTTCTTCTTTAGTCGATGAAGTGGATTAAATTAATTGATTTAGCATGCTGAACAAATCCCACTTGGTCTTGGTGTATAATTTTTATATGTTGGATTCAGCTTGCTATAATAATACTTTGTTGAGAATTTTTGCATGTATGTTCATGAGAGCTATTCGTCTGTCATTTTCCTTTCTTGTAATATCTTTTTCTGCTTTAGGATTGGGGTGATGCTGACC